>NC_000012.12:100490431-100793461 GCF_000001405.40 Homo sapiens | reverse complement strand
CTTTGGGGAGCCTGAATACCACAGCTTAAAAGGAAGGGCTGAGCTCCAAGGAAGCAGATAACTCAGCACCAAAATGAGTCACAGCAGAAGGCCATAAAAAATGTTCCACATCAAAGATGAACATAATAAAGTGAAATTTTTTAAACGAAGAAGAAAGGATAGTTTGCCAGGGAAGTCCTTGTAAATTATATAAGGAAAACCTGGGAGACTTTGATTCTCAAATGCTGTTTTGTTATTCTCCTCAGTTCAACTCAAATCAGCAAACATTTGAAGAACATCAATTATGCATCAGGGCTACAGAGATGAGTCCTTGCCTTCAAGAAGTTTACAGTCTCATGGACAAATTTAAATCTTCTTCTTGAAATTTCAACACTATGATTCTTGCCAAGACAGAAAATGTTCTACTATTTTAATGTTCTTCAGATTAAACCAATCCATGAGGCTGGACTTTAGCCTCAAAGCTCTGAATTAGCCTAGTTAGATGTTTGTCATAACCGAAGCCATTCAGGAAATATAAATGCACAAATAATTTCTGAAATCGAATTAATATATGAGAAGGTTCTTTAACTGAATGTTTGTTTTTATCTGCATTAACGGCTTCTGACACTGTAAAAGCATGGGCAGCATATCAAGAATATACTTAATAAGGGAATATTATTTAAAGCTCCTAAATGAATTGAGATTAATACTGTTGATGAAACGGGTTCATACCTTGAATACACAGCATTATAATGATGCATGAAATGGAAAATACTGCAGAAATACAAATTATCTAGTGGATTAAGTAACTGCACATCTATATGACAATTGATCAATAAAAATAGGTATTCCAGTTATTAACTCAAACGCCATTAATTTTTAAAGTTCGGTCTCTTTATTCCTCTCTACTAAAAAAATGACAGAAAATGCCTCCCATTTCAGATAGCAACAACATTAATTTTTGTAATGTACAGATTGTTTATACAAGTCAATTAAACTTGGGATGATATCAGCGATTGTGTCTTGTTCACTGGTGTTGAACTGGTGTAGTACTTAACATATAATAGGTTCTCAATCAGTATTTGTTGGATCGATGGCCATTTGAATGGCCAAAAGAATGTGGCTAAAATTCTACAACAGCACGATTTAATGCCTTTTTCCTGACTACAAGATAAACTGAATTATGTACCTGTATCTGCCACTTATTTAAAAAGAAATAAGATAGCTTTTTCAGGAACTTTGTTTCACAGAAGCTTGTTGACAGAGCTTTCTAAAGGCTAAAAGACAAGTATTCTTCAAGCTCAGTCTTTCAACACCAGGGTAGACACAGTTCATGGGAAGTGGGTTCTGTGTTCTGTAACTAGCCTAAGGAGAAAAAGTGAAAATATGACTATTTTCCAGACCACCGAGAGGGTAGGCGGCCACATAATTCCATTTTTGACATCAGAATATTTTAATGGAGGTATGAGAATTGGGACTTTTAAATAACTTTCTGCCAATTAATGGTTTTGAAAACTAAGTTATAATCTGCATATGGAAAAGTCTGTGTCTCTTCCATCTAACTTCTGAAAGCCAGTGTCTAAAATAACTAAACCCCACCATGTGCCAGAGTTGACTCCAATGGCTCCACCTATCTTTCCAGGCCTTTGCAGCACCCATAGTGTAAGTATTATGTACACTGGGGCACCTGGGGCTCAGGGAGGCTGAAAACGCTCACCCAAGTGGCAAAGACAATGTAGGAACAACTGGAACAGCCTCAGAGCTTCCTTTTATATGGAGACACTGATTTGAACATAGGAGGGGGTCCCCCAAGAATGCTTTTAGACTAAATGTATGAGACAATAGAGGACCCTTCCCACCATGTTACATGAATTTGGATGAGGTGGGAATGACACAAGTCCAAGTTGAAGCCGAAACTTCTTTTACCTCAGAGATTAAATGTAAATCTTTTATGCAACAAAAAATGAATTCCTAATGCTTATAAATTAAAGAGAAAATGATTTGTATTTGTTGATTTTTGTTTCTCAACTCTGACCCTATAATTACCATTTTTGTTGTTGTTGTTGTTTTTTGGAGACAGAGTCTCGCTCTGCCATCCAGCCTGGAGTGCAGTGGTGCGATCTCGGCTCACTGCAACCTCTGCCTCCCGGGTTTAAGCAATTCTCCTGCCTCAGCCTCCCAAGTAACTGGGACCACAGGTGCATGCCACCATACCCAATGGGACCACAGCTGCATGCCACCACACCCGGCTAATTTTCTGTATTGTAGTAGAGACAGGGTTTCACCGTGTTGCCCAGGCTAGTCTCGAACTCCTGAGCTCAGGCAATCCGCCTGCCTCAGCCTCCCAAAGTGCTAGGATTACAGGCATGAACCACCACACCCAGCCTTGAATTACATTTTAAGGCCAAGAGGAATAGTCCTTACTTACTAGAATAATACTATAGAGGGAAAGAATATTCTAGAAAAGTATGGGACTGACATACACATTAAAGTATGGTCCCTCACTAAATTCTAAAATCCTAATTATCCTTCAGCATTCAGCAGGAGACCTGAAATGGAGAGAGGATAGGTTGAACTGCTAATGTTTCCCTATCAGAGGTCAATGGCTGCTAATAATTTCCCCAAAGTGCTTAGTAGGCGGGTTTGCAAATAGCAACAACCATTCCAAATAGTAGGTATCTGCAGCACATAAATATAATGAGAGCATCCAAGTCTTCAAAAATTTGTTTGCACAGTCAGCATTCCTTAGCCTGAAGAATCCTATGGGATCATCAAAATCAAATCATACAGAAAGAATCCATAAGATCACAGACCTATAATTTTTTCTTTTTTTTTTTCTGAAGATAGAAAAATAAATCAGTGGCTGACTTAAATAGTCAGGGAGAATTAGGCTGAGTCTGGTGAAGCCAAAATAAGAAGTATGTGTGTGTGCACCAATGTTAGAAAATTAGCGTGTGCATTTAAAATCTAACTGGAGTGTCTCCACATCCAATCAGTACTTAAGTCTTACCAATGTTACCTCTAAACTTCTTCTCAACACAGAATTAGGGGCTGCAACCAATTCTTTCTTTTAAACTATTATAATGGTTTCTAAACTCTCCTTGGTTCCAATCTGACCTACCTTAGCCATTAGAATTTTCTTTCTAAAATACAACAAATATAATCATGCCATCCCCTTGTAACAGGTCTGGGATGATCAGGCCAAATACACCCACTTCTGCACCTGACATTCAAAGCCCTCTGCAACCTGACTTCAGTCTACATTTCCAGCATAATTTCCCACCATTACTTCCTATATTATCTCATGCCCTGGTTACACCTGTTGCTATTCCCCACAGAGAGTGTATTCTTCTATTGCCATAATCCTTTTTTCCTAGAATAGCCTTCCTGCTTCTCTCCCTGGAGAATCCCTCCCCACCACTATCAATCATCCTTCAAGGCCCAGTTCAATGCCATCTTCACGGTGAGGCCATCCTCAAATTCCCCAAAATGACTTACTTAATCGCTTCTTCCTCTGTGTTTCCGCAGTGTTTTTTCTCGTCTTTTTATCAAATACAAATAGCAGATAACACTGTGCTAAATTAGTACCTTTTAACCTATTTAAGTGGGACCCTTTGTTATTTCCAGTGTCTGACACACAACAGGAGCTCAATAAGTACACAAAGAATGAATCCATCTTTCATGCCTCTTCCTTACAGTCCAAAGCACTTTGAAGAAAGGACAAACTTGTTTTCCAGGAATTCATGCCTACAAGCTTATGAACCATATATATCTCCTCCTTCAACCAGGAGTTTCTATGGTTTAAGTAAAGAGCACTGAATTAGAATCACAACAGCCATGTCCCAGCTCAGTGCGCTGTGTCACCTCAGGCAATCTCTTAACCTAAATGAGAAGCATAAAACTTGTCCCGCTTATCTTTGAGAACTTTTCTGAGCTACAAATGAGGTGCTGTATGATAAAGAACTTTACAAACTATAAAAGCATATGGTAGTAGGCATAGCTATTGTCACCGTTGTCATCATTGCTTTATAATTGTTATTGTTGCTAATATACCAAAAAAGCCATTGCAAATTTTGTTAAGATAGGTATTCCATGCAAGCAGCCTAGGAGGCCAGTGACTCAGCACTTATGTCATTCCAAGTGCCTTGCTTCAGTCCTGCTGGTCTGCAGTTAGGATGAGGTGGAAAGAGTGGAGTGGGAAGGCCTTGACTCTGCCTCACTCTGTGACTTCCTAACTATGTAGACCTGGTCTCTGAGACCCAGTTCCCTCATCTAGGAAATGAGAATAACAATGCCTGACTATGTAGCATGAGATGGGGTATATATATTTATATATGGTATGCATACATCCATTATATTTTTGAGCCTCTAATAAGCATTCCATGAGTGGTGGGAAGAAGGTAGCCATTTCTCCCCAGCTCTATCACATCTACAAGCCCTAATCACTGTCCTCCTGTTTCTTGAACTCACCAAGATCATTCCCATCCCAGGGTCTGCATATCTGTTTCTTTTGCTTGGAACCCCTTTTCCTTAGATCCTGGAATGGCTTCTTATCAGAAACGCTTCCCTGACTCCCCACCTCAATCATTTTCCAGCTCGTTACTCTTTTTTTTTTTCTCATTACATTTATCTCTATCTGTAACCACTGTATTTGATTGCTTGTTTAATGTCTATCCTCTACACTATCATGTACGCTCCACTCAGGCAAGGACTGTTTCTTCTGTGCTCCTCACTGAGCCCTCAGGGCCTAAAAAGTGTCCAGAACATAATACACACTCAATATACACTCAAGATGGATTTCTTGAATATTTACAGCGTGACCAATGTTTATGCAACTGTTCCCATGTTCTCTACATCTGTACAAAATTCCAGCTATCTCTGACTCTTGAGTAGGAATGAAATCAAGGAGATCACTTAGTATGGAGCTCAGGGTAGTATAACAACGTTCAAGTTTATATAGATACATAATAACGTGTAACACCCATTAACAAAGATTAAAATGCTATCCAGTGACAGGAAAACCTACAAATAATATGCCAACTCTTGCACCCTACAGAAACAGGAATGACCAAGAATGGCAAGCTGATCCTCACCTCTATAACTGGAACTAAGGTACTGAGTAAAAACGTTAAATTACATTTATTTAATAAGTCAGGAAGTTCAATAGATCCCATTTCACATTTTTCTTCTCTTATTTTATGTTAAAATCGATCTGGTCCAAGTCTATCCTGGGAAGACTTGATCCCTGAATTATCAACTAGCACAAATGACTTCAGGGAGCCCAGAAATCTAGGCAACTTTTCTTTCCTCCCAGGGAGCTGTCTCAAAGGTGAGATACACAAAATCCTCCCAAGCCTGACCACATCATCCCTCTTTTCTCATTGGCCTAGCCTTAGAGGAGGCCTAATAAATAAATAACCATGGCAATCAGGGATAAAGTATGAAGGTTATTTTCTAACGGTCATTTCAATTAGAGCATTTTCAATTAGCAACAGCATGTCCATCTACCAAATAGGCATATGAATGTATTTGTCATCAGCAGGAAACAGCTAGCTTTGTTTTTTAAAGGAATAAATGCCCTAGACCCAATACCAAATCCAAGCTTTTTTTCCTCCAAGCTTGCACTTCCTCTGACTTTCCATTTTTCCATGTAAATGCATCGCTATCTACTCTGTGGCCCAAAGAAAATGACATTTATCAAAATCCTATATGGATGACTGTTTTGGCCACATTACAGGGCAGCTAGAAATCTCAGTGCCATCCTCACTTTAACCCATTTGTCCATATCACCTCCTGAACATTTCTTTCTTCTTTCTATCCTCACTGTGCTGTCATTGCCCCAGTCTAGCTATTAATTTTCCCCAGAGCGAATATCATAGTCTCAGAAGCAGCCTCCCTGCCTTGAGCCTCACTCTGGCCAACCCCGAGGATTTTTAAATGAAGATGCCATCGTGCCTTCTCCAACAGAAAACTCTCCTCTGCGTCTTACTGTGTGCAGGATGAGACCTGTCACAAGCCCCATGACTGCTCTCCTACCTTTCTTCTTGCCATCATTCCCCACTTGCATCCTCTCATTCACTTACATCCTCATACTCAGAGTTGCAAAACTCACCAAGCTGTTGAAAACTTCAGGGTCCTGGCACAGGCTTTTTCCAATGCTTGGACTTTCTTTTCCCTGCCCTCCTCCTGTGAATCCTTATTTATTCTCCAAGGACCACCCAAGCATCTTTCTCCTCTTTAAAGCATTCCTTGACAGTCCATCTGCATGTCCCCAATGGAGTAACCCATCTCCAAGTTTTGGCACCGATCACACAGTAGCATAACTGTCTTACTATGTGTTTCCTTCAGAGAAGTCCCCACCCTGAGTTTTATTCATCTTTGTATCCCAAGAGATAAACTCTCTCTGGAGACACTCAAATACGTGATTATAAAAAGACTGGATGTCTCTGTGTGTCTGGCTCTCTTACTAGACTATATGTTTCCTCAGGGATGGGAGAGTGTTTTTACCTATCTTTCTAACCTCTCAGCTTATTGTGATGCCTGGTACATATGGATCCTCAGTGTATATCTGTAGAATTATTTAGAGTATGATTGGCTAAAAAGAAAAAATTCTTCAGTACAAAGAATTTTAAAAATCCCTCTGAACTGATTTCTAATTAGCTCATTTATTAAAATTTAAATCTAAAACATCTCCTTCTCCTTGAGATTATAAAACACCACAGGCATTAATTTATCCCACAAAGATTCATCCTCTGAAATCCTTGGCTTTTAATGCTAACCCAAGTAATTGAGGCACCTTGGGGATAGTAAAGCATTCCAAACACACTTTCTAGTTGGAATTGCCTGGCAGAGAAATAGGTATTGATTCTTCCAGGCAGAAGGGGCTTGATGGAGAGATTTCACCAGCATTCAAATTTGGAGGGAAAAAAACCCTGTCTTCCTGAGCACAAAATTTCAGTGTAGAGACTGGGGCTATCCCAATGGGCTGCTGATGTTCCTTGGTGGCCCAGTGCCCTGCCCCAATGCAGAGGTACCATTCCAAGAACAGGTGTGGCTTGAAGAAGTAGGGCAAGACTGGGGCTTACAAGGGACCCTTCACACCAGCTTGAGGATTATTTAATTCCCCCCCACCTTTTCCTACCTCACAGGAAGTTAGCTATAGTGCATCCAAAGAAGTGGAATAAATTAAATGCCTCTGCTCATAACTGCAATAACCATCAGCGCCTAAAGAACTACACTCCCCTTGGTCGGGTTAAATTCAAGCAAGCAAGAAAGCCCACTTAGGCAATTGCAGGGACCCAGCTTGCTTTCCCCATTCCTTCA
This sequence comes from Homo sapiens, assembly GCF_000001405.40. Lineage (NCBI taxonomy): Eukaryota > Metazoa > Chordata > Mammalia > Primates > Hominidae > Homo > Homo sapiens. The sequence goes on along the minus strand of NC_000012.12, from coordinate 100,786,159 downwards.
GTGTTGCTGATCCATAAGCAGAAAATTAAGAATGAACTCTAATATCAGTGCTACAGGAGTGATTAGCTAGTGTGCCATTGCTATAGAATTTCCCCTCATTTCTCTGCAACCAATTTCAAGTTCTATTACTTGAGCTGAGAGGAGAAAGCAGAATGAGCATTTTAAAGGACTGTGACATGCTCATATTTTGGTAAAATAAAACTAGGCCATCCACTGAACATTCTACACCTTTATAGGGATGAATTTTTCCTTTTATAAATTTTTAAGAAGTCCTTTGAACCTCCTAAATCTGCATTGCTGGAAGGAATGCAAAATGGTACAGCCACTTTGGAAGATACTAGCAGTTTCTTACAAAACTAAACATACTCTTACCTTACGATCCAGCAATCATACTCCTTGGTATCTTCCCAAACGAGCTGAAAACTTATGTCCACGTAAAAACCTGCACATGAATGTCTATAGCTGCTTTATTCATAATTGCCAAAACTTGGAAGCAACCAAGATGTCCTTCTGTAGAGGAATGAAAAATAAAACTGTGGTATATCCAGACAATGGAATATTATTCAGCACTAAAATAAAATGAGCTATCAAGCTATGAAGAACATGAGGGAATCTTAAATGCATATTACTAAGTGTAAGAAGCCAATCTGAGAAGGCTACATATGATATAATTCCAACTCTATGACAGTCTAGAAAAGGCAAAACTAGGAAAACAGTAAAAATATCAATGGTTGCCAAGGTGGAAGGAGGAAGGAGGGATGAACAGGCAGAGCACAGGAGATTTTTAGGGCAGTGAAACTACTCTGCATGAAACCATGATGGTGGATGCATGTCTTTATAAATTTGTCCAAACCCATAGAATATACCATACCAAGAGTGAGCCCTAAGGTAAACTATGGACTTTGGGTGATAATAATGTGTCCATGTAAGTTCATTGGTTGTAACAAATATACTAACCTTGTGGGGGATGTTGGTAGTTGGGGGAGCTATGCATATGTGGGAGGCAGAGGGTGTGTGGGAAATCTCTGTACATTCATCTCAACTATGCTGTAAACCTAGAAAATAAAGTCTATTTAAATACAACAAAACTGAATTTCCCTGAAGACTAGGTAGCCTTTTTACTAATTTAAGTTGTCTTACGAAGTAGATACCTCTAGAAAACAAAGGGCTTTGTTTAAAAAGAGAAAGAGAGAGAGAGAATAGAAGAAGAAAGAAAAGATGAAAAAAAAAATAGTGAGAGGATTCCCTACACCCCACATAAAACAAAGTCAAGTTCTAAGGAATCCACTGGGGCAAGCACACAGACAAACGGCATAGCCCTGCTTTTACAGCACTGAATCCAAACATGAATGTTAGGGGAATGGAATATTCTTGTAATACACTTACCCTGGTCAAGGCCTAACAAACCAGAACACTGGGAACATATCGTGAATTCCACTGAAAAAGTAAAAAGAAACCTATAAACAAGAATTCTTCCTTTTTCCTTTGGAGGATCCTCCCATTTTAGATTTATTTTGTATTTCTGTCTAGGGCTAAAACAGGAACTATGTTAGCAGAGGAGAAAAACTGCATGTGGGGTTCTACGCAAGAGTAAAAACGAGAGAATCAGCTACAAAAGATTTAACTACATCTGTAAATTATTGACTCTCAACTGCAATTACAACAATAAGAGAGAGGAAAATGAATATCCTTAGAAGAGAACTGCAGTTGCTTTGCCTGGAGAAAAGGAGAAGGAAATACTGAATAAACCCCAAGGTAAGGGTAGAGGAAGAGTACCATATCAATGAAGGAAACAGTCGCTGTGTTCCAAAAGGGGACAAGGGGTGTTCTGGGTGTAGTTAGAAGATCCCTACAAGAGGGAAGATTTGGTTGGGACTTAGAGAAAGAGTAGGAGGATTCTGGCAGGTAGAAGAAGTTGGTACAGGCCAGGAAGGGCATTCCTACTAACATTATGGCCAGAAGGTAAGAGAGAATTGGGTCAGGAGTGGATTCCTTCGTTCATTAATGCATTCAACAAGTATCTGTTTAGCAACTGCTAGTGACAGAAACAGATGGCGGAAGACAAGGGGTTAAGCAAAATACAACAGTGAAAAACCACACACGGCTTTGAACATTAGATTGCACTTGCCGTAGGCAGCAGACAGCCTGGCTAGATGGAGCCATGGAGTGTGTTCTTCCACACTACACTCCATGGCCTCCACAAATTAGGTTAGGTCCCACTAATTAGTTGCCCTTATCTGAGATTTGGAAGGTGGAAATGAGAGGGAGACCATCTTCCTGATCTTTATGGACAGTTTTCTACTTTGACAAGTAAGATCACAGAGATGTGAGGTTTTTCTGCAGCAACACCCAGGGTACATCACCATTCTGAAGTGAAGAAACGCAGTTGTGGGCTAGTAATATCATTGCCTTCCCGATCCAAGAACAGCAGATAAAGCTGCAAATTCCTGACCTCTAGACTTGCAGATCCTTGGCACATGGTTCTTGTGCCTGCTCATCTAGCCACCCTTAGATTTTATAAACCTACACCCCACATTAAATCCTTTCCTGATTAAATACTTAGAGTGCCTTCTCTTTCCTATACTGAATCCTGACTGGTATAACCGATAAGGATTTTTAACAAGGGAAATAAATGATCAGATTTGTGCTTCAGGAAGTGATCTTGACAACTTCTTAGAAAACAAATTGGAAAGGAGATGGATTGACTAGAGACAGATTTGGGAAGGTCTTACGAATGTCCAGCCAAAACGAGGTACCTGGAATACTTGGATTGAATGAAATAGTTATGGTAGGAATGAAAAAGAAGGATGGAAACAAGATATTTCATAAATTGAAAGTAAGATCTATTGAAAATGGGGTGGGTAGGAATAGGAGAAGAAATGTAAACTTGGCCATTACCTCATCCCAACTCTGCTGGGGATCCTCTGAAGTGCCCCCACTGCAGTCTGTCCTCCTACCATCAGCACCCACCACACTTCCTCAATCAGATCGCCTTTGTCATACTCCTCATTGTACCGTAGGTGCAAAGCACACTGGATGGCCCATAACAGAGTGCTCAAGACACAGTTGTTGGGTAGATAGAAGAGAGAAGGAAGGAAGGAAGGGAGGAAGAAGCCTCCAACCTCGGAGCCACTGTGAGGATTCAGATTCTGTTAACAATGAAAGTAATCACAGGCTGAGTATTGCTTGAATTATGTTGAGTTTTGGATTAATGAAGCATCCAAGTGAAGAAAATTAGCACCTGGTAGAAATATGTGTCTGGAAGTTGGGAAATATGTGAGCTTGATACAAATTTTGGAGTTAATATACAGAATGAAAGCTGACTGCTTCGTGGGAAAGAGAAAGCCTCAGTACACTTTGGATAATACCCTTAGTATTACAAACTACAAAGGGAAGGAAGTCTATAAAATATCAGTTACCATATCTACACACTGATTGTTCTTTTAATCCTTACAGCAACTTACAAGTAAGGTATTATTATCCCCATGTTCCAGATAAGGAAACTGAAGCTGGGCAAAGTTCAGCATTGCCCAAGGTCACACAACTGGTGACGAAAAAGCAGAGATTCAACCCTATGTCTGCCTGACTCTAAAACCTATGCTCTTCATTATGCCTCCATGAAAAAAAGAAGGTAGAGAAAGTGACTAAGGACTGGCAGAGGGGAAAGAAGAGAGGCAGATAAATGCAATGATGCAGAAGCCAAATAAGTAGACCCAAAATAATGAGAGCAGACTAGGAAATGCCAAGAGGAATCCATGGTTTTTAACCATAATCAGGTGACCTTAGATAGGGCCAAGTAGGAAGGAAGTACAGAAGTAAAACGTAAGGAGAGAAAGAATAGGTTCTTTCTATGGGCCACATTCAAAAACTTGTATGGTCATTGGAAGGATAGAGATTAGATGATTGTAAGAGGGAGAAACAAAGTCAGGCATGAGTTTCTTTAACATCGGAAAGATGTGAGATGCATATGGGTCACAGAAATAGTGAAGAGTGGAGATCAGAGATGTAGGAAGTAAAGGCAATGAATAAGAAAGGTCCCCAGGAGATACTGAGAAGGGATGACCCAGCTTTTGAGAAAGGAGAGAAGACAGACTAATGATAAGATTAAGTTGTGGTTCTGAATCTGATGTCCACAAAGGAAGTGATGAAAAGCTGATGAACAGTTTCCAGATTGCCAATGAGACTCACAAAAATTATGTATTTGCCTCTGATCAAGCTGCACACAAACAGAAACCAGTTATTTCCTTTTGACTGGAATTATATCAACCCATTTGTAGTACTGATTATCTCATGCTGATAAGAAGCTCTGATAGACAGTTGAATTTGTCTTTGGTTAACCAGAAGAAAGTGATCACAAATTAAACATCATTAATTAAATGCTGTCTTTTTTATTAGTCTTCAAAACATGCATCCATGGCAGGGGATAATGAAAGGAGCCCTATGTAGCAAAACAGTTATTAACTGTCATTAGAACTAAAGGCCATTTCTCCAGAGCTATAGAAATACGCAATACAGTAAGACATTATTTAAATGTTGTGGCCAAAAAACAGAAACAGAATACAATCAAGCAGTAAATAGATTAATTAAATCCAATCTAGTAGGGAAGCAAGCTGGGTGGATGATTACAGACTTAAATCAGACTAGACAAGGTATAACCAGAATCCAAAGCAGGGGGACTATAAGACCATTCTATGGGCACAGGCATATATGGAAACCTCACTGATACAGCATGTAAGGAAGAGGGGTCTATGCATTGCTTGTAGTTGTAAGAAAAATCTGCCTGGATACCTGAAGCCTCTAACCTCAAGAACCAGCAAAACAGCTCTGTGGTTGATAGTGGAAATGCTCCCACTGCAGTGAGTAAATGTCTACTGAGCCAGGGAGCGCTCCAATACTGTTATAAATAAAATCTTTCTTATCAATATTTTAATGTCTGATATTAAAAGTGTTTATAATATTTAAGAGAGTTTGGCACATTAGAGTATCTAATAAATGAGCATTGTGACTAATGTAAATTGAGTGATTGAGTAGCTGAGACTTGTGAGTTCAAGTTAAAAGCTATGACAGAATTTTGCTAAATTTGTTACAAAATCGGAATGTTTAAGAGAATCTAAGTTTCACTGTGTTCATATATTTAATTTACTAGATTTATGAGAATTAGATTTTGTTTGCTAGGCAGGCAAATGAAGTTTAAAAGACAGAATATTAAAATTATTAATGCCTTAAAATAATTAGGATAATTTTATTAAATAAATGAAGCCAAACAATGACCAACAGATTCCTTGTGACTATTAACACCTAAAAATTTTAAATTGCGGCTGGGCACAGAGGCTCACACCTGTAATCCCAGCGTTTTGGGAGGCCAAGGTGAGAGGATTGCTTGAAGCCAGGAGTTCAAGACCAGCCTGGGCAACATAGGGATGAGGTAGGAGATCAGCAGTACTTGTGTTCCGACCCTCAGTCAGGACTCTATTGATCAAAACAGGATGTAGCAAAGAAATGGGCCAAAACCAGGATGGCAACAAAGGCAACCTCTAGTTGCCCTCATTGCTCATTATACACTAATTATAATGTATTTAAGACATTCCCACCAGTGCCATGACAGTTTACAAATGCCAAGGCAATGACCCAGAAGTTACCTTATACAGTTCTGGGAGCTACCTAATCCTTTCCCAGACCAGAAAGTTCATGAAGAACCTGTCCCTTAATTAGCATATGATTAAAAGTAGGTATAAATACAGCTAGCCAGCAATCCACGAGTGCTATTGGCTGCTACTCTGTCTATGAGATAGCCCTGCTCTGTCTGTGGAGCAGCCATTTTGCTGCACCCCGTTGCTCTAATAAACTTGCTTTCTTTCACTGTCAGCTTGCTCTTGAATTCTTTCCTGAGTGAAGCTAAGAAACCTCCTGAGCTAAGCCTCAATTTGGGGGTTTTCCTGCATTAGTGAGACCTCATCTGTCTAAGAAATTTTAAAATTAGCTAGGCGTGGTATCATGCTTCTGCTACTCGGGGGAGGCTAAGGCAAGAGGATTGCATTAGTCCAGGATTTCGAGGCTGCAGTGAGCTATGATTGTGTCACTGCACTCCAGCCTGGATGACAGGGTAATACCCTGTCTTAAAAAAAACAAATTGAAAATTGGAAAATAAAGTTTGTAAGTTAAAAGCTTTAAGAAAAACTAGGTTTTTGAATTTGTAACATTAATGAAATAAATATTAATTTTTTAATGGCTGGGAAATACAAAGTATTTTTGGAGCATGAAAGCCCTATCAAGGATACCAAACAATTCGCAATGACATTGATCACTGATATAAAGGGACAATATCTACAGCCTACATGGCAAGCACCTACTATGTGCCACCAACTGGGGGTACAAAGATGAATGGGACAGCATGGTGGAGATGACAGAACAGACAAGCAATGGCAACTACATGTCTGAGAAAAATACTTTAAAGGAGGAAAGGCTAGCATGTTTGGGGAGTCTGGCATACCAACCTACATATGAGGGGTAGAGAAGGTTCTCCTGGAGAGAGCCACACAGTGTGACTGGGGAGCCACCTACAACAGTGGCTGGCAATGGTGTCAATTGAGGCAAACAGATTATTTATAAAGAGATAAAAGAGGTGGTTTTAAGGGCTCAATAATAGAGGTCTGAAACAGCTGCCATGGTAGAATCAATAAGAATAAAAAAGAAATTGCCAAGAAGCAAAGCTGCATCTCATGCTTCTGAGGTTGTCTCCACCTACACAGTTCCTTTGCTGGCTGCAAGCTCATTGTTATGCCAATAGCAGCATTCGGCTGAATGCCCAGTATGAACCAGGAAGAATCTGGAATCAAACTAGAAGAAGCTGGAATCAATCTACTACAGAGGGGAGCTTCAGGTTGTCACTAAAGAGATTTCATAAACTCTGTGACTATGAAACCCCAGTGGCACTTCAGAGAGGCATAGTCCTGTGTTCTCAATCCTGGCTACACTTCAAAAAATACTAAGCCCCACCTCAGATCTACTGCATCACACTCTCTGGGGGTTGGTGGCCCAGGAATATATGCATATGTGTATTTGTTTTGTTATGGGTTTTTCTGTTTTTTTGTTTTTTGTTTTTTTTTTCTTTTGGTCATAGTAGTAGTAATACATGCTCACTGTTAAACAAAAATCTCAAACACAAGTATATAAAGGAGAAAGAGAAATCTCCCTTCTTCACCCTGCCTAATACCCCAAAGGTATATATTCTACAACAGATATGAGTGTGTTAGTGAAGCTTCCCAACTAATGGATATATAAATTGGTATGTGATAAAAATAACTTTAATACGATGCTAATGGTAGAATCTACGTGGCGGGTGTTCACTGCAAAATTCTCTCAACATTTCTGTGCGTTTTAAAACTTTGTGATGAAATATTGGGAAATCTCCAACTGATTAGGATACATAGCTGTGCTGACAACCACTGGTCTAAGCCGTAACCCGAATTTACAAATGAGAGAACTTTGGGCAAGAGAGGTAACATTAACTGTCCCAAAGCACAGGTGGAGATCCCAGGAACCCAGATCTTTGGATCTTCTGTCTAGTGTTCTTTCTACCACCCCATACAACCTCCAGCAGCAAGAGACAGCCCTAAACCAGATCCAGAAAGGAGGCTTATGGGAGGTGTCTTTGCTGGACTTTATCTGACTAGGATTCTTGCGTTTTGCATCTTCCTGGTAGCAGAATGCAACACTAAATGTTCTGGAACTAGGCTGCCATAATATTTAGTTTTTATATAGTTAATTAAATTATACTTGTCTACCTTACTACCTCACATTGCCTTCAAGAACCTTAAGATCCCAGAAAAAATTCAAGCATACATTCACCCCCACTTGTCACAAAAGGTATTTAAGTCCACTGAAACTCTTCCTATGGCAAAGAGAAAGGAAAATGATGTTTCAAAAATTTTAAGCATTATCGGCCGGGTGCAGTGGCTTACACCTGTAATCCCAGCACTTTGGGAGGCCGAGGCAGGCGGATCACGAGGTCAGGAGATCGAGACCATCCTGGCTAATACGGTGAAACCCCATCTCTACTAAAAATGCAAAAAATTAGCCGGGCATGGTGGCGGGTGCCTGTAGTCCCAGCTACTCGGGAGGCTGAGGCAGGAGAATGGTGTGAACCCGGGAGGCGGAGCTTGCAGTGAGCCGAGATCACGCCACTACACTCCAGCCTGGGTGACAGAGACAGACTCCGTCACAAAAAAAAAAAAAAAAAATTGTAAGCATTATCTTCTAAAGACAAGAAAGTACCAAGACCATTTAGCTTGTGAGAGACTCTCACAATGTGATGATAAGTAAGAACATTCCTGAACAAAGTGAATATTAAGACAGCAAATCACAATTGTTGAATAGAAAATATTAATATGAGTAAAAGGTTGTAAAATAGTCTTTATAAATGCTAAAATTTATTTTGTGAGAGTGGAAAGATGAAGATTAAATTTATAAATCTGAATTCCAAGCAATAATATTACAAAATAATGGCACTATTTATTGCCATATTTTATATACAACTTTTTCCTTTTCCCATATAAAACTTAGAAAAAGGGTTTTAACTAATGGAATCTATAAAAGAACCCAAGCTTAGGCAAACTGAATCTTCGGGCTGTGTCTCCCAGCCAAGGGGAGTTTCTAAGGGCTGCCTCCTTCTCATGGCTTTTTACTCTACCCAAGCAGCAAACAGTATAAAAAATGAAAAGGCATAGAAATCAGGATACGTGGGCTGGGCATGGTGGCTCATGCCTGTAATCCCAGCACTTTGGGAGGCCAAGGCAGGCAGATCACCTGAGGTCCGGAGCTCGAGACCAGCCCGGCCCACATGGCAAAACCCCATCTCTACTAAAAAAAAAAAAAAAAAAAAAAAAAAAAAGATACAAAAATTAGCTGGACTTGGTGGTGTATACCTGTAATCCCAGCTACTTGGGAGGCTGAGGCACAAGAATTGCTTGAACCCAGGAGGCTGAGGTTGCAGTGAGTCGAGATCACGCCACTGCACTCCAGCCTGGGTGACAAAGTGAGACTCTGTCTCAAAAAAAAAAAAAAAAAATCAGGATATCTGGTTTCTAGTCCTGGCTCTGTCACTAAATTGCTTTTCTTCATCTTCCTTAGCTGTAAAAATGAAGACTAAATTGTCTTCAGGGTGCCTTATAACTCTAAAACTGGACTGAATACCCATTGTGCCAACTAAATGACATTTGGTAAGCAATGTCCCTAAAGAGTCACTGTAAATACCACTACCTGCATATTTCCTCATATTCTGTCACTCTTGCACATCATCCTCTCATCCCCAGCCAGTCATCCAAAGTTAATCTACAAGGAAAAATTACTCCCAATGCAAAAGAGAAGGAAGTCTTTGTAAAAGGTATTCACTTTTCCTCTTGTTGGCTTAGTATTTACAAAATAAATTAAGGCAAAAGGTCAAGTGACCAGCAGGTGGGCCCTAAAGGTGAAGGAGATTTAAACAAGAAAAATCTTAAGTCAATTAATCCTTAGACTAGCTCTTAAAGGCTACCATTATTTTTATGGCAAATTCAAGCAGCCCCTTCACATTAAAAGTTACTCTTGCTCAAACAATGGTCCACAAAAGAGATCTCAACAGATTCTAGCAATTATACTAGAGCCCTTGCCCCTGTATCCCCCAATGAAAGGTCTAGAAACAAGAGTAAACTGAAATGCAACCCTCTCATCTTAGGCAGGTGGGGTCCTGGGTCATTTCTGATGCTGAATCCCTGGGGTGGTTATGAACCAAACCATTAACTTATCCAAGCTCTGGGGTCGGTCTGGAGAGCTACAAAGAGCCCTCGCGAGGTGGTTCTGAGAGCCTCGGCTCCAGCAAGCAATCCAGTCACTGCCCAGATCAGGCTGGGGAACCTGGGCATCCAGGACATAGGACAAGCCCAGAGCAAGCGTGAAGCCAGACTGCCTGGCCTGGACTCCTGGGTCTCCTCATTCCTGGCTATGAAAACTGGACAGGTTACTTTACCTCTCAGTGCTTCCATTTCCCCTCCTGTGTAGCGGGGATAATAACACTGCTACCTTATAGGGTTTTCTGAGGATTAAAGAAACAAATTCATGAATGAACAGTGCTTGGCATATAGTAAGCACTCACTAAGTATTAACTATTATCATCATTCAGCCTGTTAGCTTTTTTTCTCAGTGCTGCCTATATTCATCAACTGGTAAGAAAAATCAGTGGCCGCAGTACACATTAGTACAGACTGCAAATTAAAAAAAAGAAATCATAGGTACTTAAAAACACAACAGCTGGGGGAAAGCCACTAGGTTTTTTTTTTCTTAAAAAACAAACATACAAATAAAAAGCTCTTATCTCTAAGAACTCATAATCGTAATAGGAAGAAAAAATCTGGACTAGGTGTTAGTGGCATCACTTCTAGCCTTGGAGTGGCTGCTAATAAGCACATGAATGCTGTGCTCTTATTTCTCATCCTTTTACTACATTCCAGGCTACACGTTAAGACTTTTTATAGGTATTATTTCATTTAATACTTCAAACAACATAATGGTAAAGATCCATATCGTTTTCATTATTCAAGTGAGATACTTGAGATTCTGAGAGACAGACATATTCCCAAGGTCACACAATTATAAAGCGTAGATGTAGGAATCCAGCCCAGATCTGTTTGATAACACTGTTCCCCAACCACTTGTCCCACTATCAGGTATCGTTTATATTCTGCTTTAATAAAGAATGCAAAGCAACTAATAAAAAAAGAAATATGCATTCACAACCATGGATTGGTTTTCTCTTAGACGAGAGGGTCTCAGTTTGGGTCTATGGTCTCCTTCTGATATCAAACTCTGTGAGTCTATGCTCTATATGTCATTTTTAACGAACGTATTTTCAAGGAGGTACACTTCTAGCAACCTCCTTTGGGGATGAAAAAATAATTTTCTGTATGTTTGAAAGACTGCTATTTTAGTGTGCTCAGTTTTTCACTCGGACAGCCCCAAACAAGCGTTCTTTAAATGCAAATTTGAAAAGCAAGATGTTTTTATATATAATTATTTTTCAGTTGGGGAGAGAAGATTTAAGGAGGCAGTGTAATCAGGCTTTGAATGGTGTATCTCTTTCTCAGATTACAATTCTCTCTTTGCCTCAAAGAAGTACAACAAAAGGTACTTCCTTATGAGCATTAGAGATCTTTAGACTGAAATACAGTTTGCATAAGAAATTACACTTGATTCTTAAAAAATGAACTTTATACAATCATTTGTCTTCAAATGCATTTCCCCTGTAGGCAGTTAAGTTATTTCCTACTTTTCATATTCATTTACAAGATTGTCCAAGGAAACAAAATCGGTTTTGCTATAGGGAAAGTGACTGATGATTATAGGAAAGAATTAAAGCCAAAAGTTTCTGTGTTCATAGTAGAAAACACGTGGACAGTGGCCATCTCGTTTTTGTTTGTCTTTGACTAAGCATCATTTCTTGTGTCTGTGTGTGTTCACGTGTGTGCAAGTGCATTCGCATATGTTGTGGGGGAAGGGTAACTGTGCAAATGCACTTTCCAAATGTCAACTAAAGAATGATGTGTGCTCTACTCTATTTCCTTCTAGGTCTTTTCATCTACTTGGATGTTTAACCTCTACTCACTAAGGAATAAGTTAATCAAAAAACTCAATCTGTTTCAGGTGTTGCCTTCTCCAGGGATATAATCTCAAGATGTTGATCTCTTTTTCTATTCAATTAGTTACACCCCATGACCTAAAAAAATATTGGGTTGCTCCAGTCTTCTAGCTATAAAATGTTGTTGATGCAATTCAGCAGACCCTTAAGGAGGTCAAGATTTAGAGATAATTTGCTTTGGGTTTAGTTTCTGGCTATTCTTAAGATTTCATTAAAATAGACCATAGAGTTTAATATTTTTGAATGTTATAATTATTTAACTTCCTTTTCTCAACCAGAGATTCACTAGACTTGTTTTACTGAGAGGGTAAAACCACATAGGATGCACAGACGGTTATATTTTTTTCAAGACAGACTTTAGAACAGGAGTTGGCAAATTTTTACATAAGAGGACTTGGCAAACTTTTTATATAAAAAGGCCAGACAGTAAATATTTCCTTTGCAGGTCATTTGACCTCTGATGCAACTACTCAACTCTGCCATTGTAGCATGAAAGTAGCCATAGACAATATGAAAACAAATGAGCATGGTTACGTTCCAATAAAGTTTTATTTACAAAACCAGGAAGTGGGCCATATTTAGCACACAGGTAATAGTTTTCCAACCCTTTCTAGATCATATCAAGGGGCTGAATTTCTAAAGGGCTGAACTTCAACCTGGCATCACAATAGAGGTTATTTTAAAATTTACTTGGTTGCTACGTAATCATTCATTATAGTGTACATTTATGTTTTATGCACTTGTCTGCATATATGTTATATTTCACAATAAAGTTGGGTTTTTTAAAGCAAAGAACCAAGGGATCCAGGGAAGCTGGTTGGTCAAGACTTAAAGGCAGTTCCCTCTGTATACTAAAGGGAACTTTTCTGGATAGGTCAGAGATTTTCCCAGAGATTGAGAAATGTTGGAGTTGGAAGAAACTTATGTAGTACAAGATCCTTCCCAATGTAGGAATTCCTCTTGCAACATTCCTGGCAGGTGTTCAGTTAACCACTGAGGGAATGTGTCTAAATGTGGGGTGTGGGGGAAAGGATAATGCAAAATTGACCCTCTTTAATTATTTCATTCAATAAATATTCTTGTGCAATGACCAGGTTCAATCTGTAATGCCTGGCTCTCTGAGAACACAAATATCTAGGACACTCTGAGTCCCTTATGGAGCTTGTAGTCTAATTGAAGAAATAAGACAGAACATAAACCCTAAGGTGATGGTATTTGAAGGCAAGGCATTTGGAGATGGGGCTCAGCCTTCATGACTGGCATTAGTGCCTTTATCAAAGAGGCCCCAGTTTCCTTGTCCCATCTACCATGTGAGGACACCCTGAAAAATACCATCTGTGAATGAGGAAGCAGGCATTCACCAGACACTTAATCTGCTGGTACCTTGATCATGGACTTCTCAGCCTCTAAAACTGTGAGAAGTAAATAAATTTCTACTGTTCATAAGCTGGTCAGTTTATGATATTTTGTTATAGTAGCCTAAATGGGCTAAGACCACCTCAAATTTAGGAGACTGGATACCTCTAACAGGAGAGAAAGAAGAGGATAGAATTGGGACAGGAAACAGGAGACTTCAAAGGCAACATTCACGTTCTTTTGTTTAAACTGGATAGTGCATATACAAGTGTTTGAGATCGTGTGATTTTTTACATCTTCCTTACACATCATAAATAATTTCTATCTACTCAATAATTAATGAAAACCCATTTTTAAAAAGAATTCAAGGGGGTTGGGAGGTTTCTTCTGACCAGGAAGAATGAAAGGCTGAAGGTCACCATGGCAATATGATTTTTCCTTTGTATCTACTTAATCGGTTGGTAGTAGTTTACTGATGAGCTGCCTTGGGATCTGCAGCTGCGTCAGGCTCCAAAGGGAAAATTTTGCAATCAATTAGCAGCATCTGCCCTGGTCACATATTTCGGGAAGTATCAGGACTCCCTGAGGATTTGACATCCCAGGGTTGAGGTTTTCCTGCCCCATGCTCACTCCACTATGCCACATGGACTCCCTGGGAATCACATGTCGTCTGTGTTGGGTTTTGAAGGACAAGCAGAGATTTGGCGGTGAGGGGATGTAATGTGCCAGGCAGAGGAGTAGAAGCAGTAGAGGCATTTAAAGAAAAGAGGTAGGGAAACAAGGGCCTATGCGTAATTCTATAATTTGAATCCACACTAAACGCCCTTTCGATCTTCTAAACTCATCAACAAATACATATTGCATAACTCATACAAGCACATGATCATTCCTTCACATATCTGAAGACAGCTGTAGAGCTATAGTCCCATGTCATGCTTCCTCAACTAGTACCAAACTGAATGTTCTTATGGTGGTAATAATAGTGGCCTTGAGTTCACCACCTACTATATCTATGACAGGCCCTACTAAATATTCTTTAATTGCTGACATACCTGCTTAGCCCTGATATAGTCCAGCTCAGTTCTGGCCCTCCAGGAAGAGTCAGTTTCCCACTGAAGGTCTTGAGGAGTCTGGCTCCTACCAAAATCCTATGTGTGATTTTTCATGTGTGATCATAGGCAATGACAAAGGCTTTGCCTAGAAGAACTCACAGGGAATGCTGCCCTCCCCACACCAGACTTGGTGCACAAATGATGTATGGCAGTCTCTGCAGGGAGCTGCAGTCAAGGACTCAGGCCCTCCTGCCTGACCACACTCACGTATACCCGCATTCCTAGCCTAGGCATCTTCATGCAGAAGCCGATTTATCTATGGCCACTGGTCACCCAGGCCTTCCTCAGGTCCTTCTAACAAGACCTCCTTGTCAGGGGTAGGGAAAACTTTGAAGATGCTTTTCTCCATTCTGACTCAGTACTCAGTAGCTTTTCACTCCTATCCCTTCCCCTCTCCCTTCTCCTAGCCCCTGGGTCCATAAAACTGCAGAAATCTTTTATTCAGGGTTCCATCAGCAGTGAGATAGCCCTCATGTCTGCACTGATAAACCTGACCCTGGACAAGTATACCAGTCCATGGGGGAAAATGGAACTGGGGTGGGGGGTGGTGCTTTCTCTAGCTTAGCTGCTTGCTTACACTATTGCAGTAAGTAGTTAAAGGCTTGACTGTTGCTTTCATTTTGGCTTGTTAACTTAATCAGCTACCCTGACACCTGACAGCTCAGCTATCTCCAGCTCAGTTAAGATCATGACAGATCCGTCTGGTCTATGCAAGAGTCAGTAGAGTTGGTTCTGCCTGTCATTTCCATGGTCTAGCTTTCCTGTCCACCCACTGATCTGACCCTAGATGAGCTCTGATGAACAGGTCTGCCATGGCCCCCATCAAACCCTTCTTTCCTGCCCATACCTGCCTGCAGCAGGTCGGTTCACTGGCCAAAAATTGGTAGTTCCAATTTAACCCGTTCCTCTTCAATATGACAGTGATATGAAGAGTATTTGATCATATTTTTAAATAACTTAGATTTGGCTCTAAAATGTGTATTTTTAAAGATCGGCATATTCAATGATACAAGAATTCTCAGTAACTTAAACCAATAGGTTAAATTCGGATTCTCAATGCCCACCAGCTCCACTAATTTACCTTCCATTTTTCCATCCTTTCATCTTCCCAACTGTGTTCTAAGTGCTAAACACTGTGCTATTTCTAAGAGGTATAAAACAGAGTCCCTGCCCCTTTATAAGAAGGGATCCTACAATCAAAGTAGATACAGATAAGTAATGCAAAAAAAAAAAAAAAAAAAATTCAAGCCAAGGCCTCTTCCACTCTGTTAATTCTGAAATCTATGGATCTCCAGGGCCTTTTGATATCTGCATCATCAATTCTACCAGAAACAGGGGGTTAAATATGAGCTCAGAGGTCCCAGCTACAAGTCCTCCTTCTCACCTCCTTCAATGCAAGAGGTGTTTGTGTCCCTTACTTTCACCTAAGGAAAGAGAAAACAAGGAAACTGGCAGAAACTATTCTCTTTAGTTTGACTCTATCTTGGTTTCTATAACCTTTTCCCATTGAACTTCTACGTTTTCAGCTATTCTGTCCTTCATACTTCTAAAAAGGCTATGGATGGTTTAGGATAAGATAGCCAATATAGCTACTAAAATAGAAACAGAAAATCAAAATCCATGTAATGGGAGGAAGAAGAAAGAATCTGAACTCTTAGGCCAGTAATTTTCAAACTTTAGTGTCTAAGAATAAACAGTGTTCTGTCTAAAATGCAGATTTTCAGGCCCATAATAGAAAAATTCTACATTAGTACATCTGGGGTAAGAACCCGAGTCCACATGAACAAGCACTCCCGGTGATTCTGATGGCAGTAGTCTAAGGACAGCCCTCTAAGAAACACTGACACTGGCTAAAACATTCTATAACTGAAAGTTGAGTTTTGAGTGTCCTGGTAGCCAAAGCAAAAAGGGAAAACACGGTGTTACATAGCTATCGCAATATTCAACCAGAGACAAACATTTTTATAAATTCTAAAAGTAATATAACGTGTTTTATTGCTGTCTGCATAATGAACAATCTCTATGCTGAATTACTTGGAATCAATACATGGTAACTCCTAAAACTTTAGAAAATTTGGCTAAGAAAAAAATTATGTGAAAGTATATCAAATAGTACTCAATAAAATTCAGTTTATTTTACTACTGGAAATATGTGTTAAGCAAATATCTTATAACCAACTATTATAATTTTGCCTCTGGCTCCAAGGCTTCCATAAGAGACGGCTTGTGGCAAGTGTTTTAAGTTCAAGCAACTTAATGCAGCTCTACCACACAGCTATGGGGTGGGAGAAGTAGAGGTCATATTAGATATAATGAGTGAAAATACATCATTCTAGAATGCATCTGCACTTAACTATGTCCAAAGAACTGACTTAATTATTTCCTAGGAATAATCTATAATCCAGATGACCTGCCCTTCTGTAATAATCCTTTACCTTGTACATCCTTTTTAAGCATCATAATAATACTATGCAAATTTATAACAGCCTCATTTCACAAATAGAAAAACTAGGATCAGAGTCTATGAGACAAGCCCATGGACAACAACTGGTAAGGGTAGAGGCAAGACTGAAACCCCAGGGTATCCTCTTTCCACCCCAGTGGGATGCCTACACTATAAACTCTCCTTATTAGATCATAACACCAAAGTAACAATTACATTTCTATTACCTTCATGATATCCTATTTACCTTTCTGCATTATTTATTAAGAGTTCGGATCAATTTCAGGAGCCAGCTAGATCACTAGCATCTTTCCTTTATATTAAAATTACAAATGCATACCTCTCAGGATATTCTTTCATCCTTGATGAGGAAAGTGAGGATGAATAATTTTGTAATTAAATGAATATAATCCAAAAAATGATTTCAAAAATCCTCCTGTGACAAAATATGGATTTTTAGGCTGAAAAATGATTGTGTGAATAGGTTTTTTTAAAATAGGTTTTTTGTCATTGTATTTTGGTTGTTTCCTGGTTTCAACAGAGAAGCTACTTGACACATTGTAAATAGCTACCTGAACAGATGGTTTTTCACATGTTAGATGCTATCACAGGCACAGAGATTCATGACATGACATTTTTAATATCTGCTAATTACTTGAATCTAAGAGAGTCAACATGTCTTTGAGATTTTTATAAAAACAGAATTGTGATGCCAAACTTAATTCTACACCCACACTCCCTGAAAGGTCTAACTGTGATATCAACTCACTATGGGAAATATAAAAATTCAGGAAAATTATACCATTTTAAGTTTCACAAAAATATCAAATTTTATGTTGTTCAGAAATACTAGTAAAACCATTAACATAAAAGTATGGCATTTACGACTCAAAGCCATAATAAACCAAGTAAAGCAATTAAATTCAACAAATACACTGAAGAATTACTATGTAGGGGCACTGTGCAAGACACTGAAAATAGAGAAATAAGAAAAAGTTCTTGACCCAGAGGCACTCAGAAACCAAATAAAGAGCCAAATATGTTGGCATATAAATTTAAACACAGTATGGTAGAATGATGTTCATCAGATGGCAGAATAGGACACTCCAGTGCTGGTCCCCCCAAAGAAACATCAATTTAAACAATTATTCACACATAAAAATACCTTCACAAGAGTCAAGGAATCCAGGTGAGAGATTATAGCATCTAGGTGTAGCACAGAAAGAAGATACATTTAGAAAGAGTAAGAAGGACAGTTTCACATTATCCATGTCATCCTTCTCCCAAGCCCAGCCAGCACAGTGTGGAGATACCCTCTGAATGGTGGAAGAAAAAGGAAGTGGGCACCCAACTTGGCTACGGACCCTAGCACCAGTGAAACCTGGCACCAGGCCAGCCCCTATGGCCCCAGGATCCAAGCTTGTTTTCATGAACTCATGCCCCAGGCCTATGCCAGTGCCAAACCAGCTCCAGAGCCCTAGGCTTCAGGCCAACTCCCTCAACCCCAGGCTTCAGAACTGCCCCAGTGCCAGGTCAGCCCCCATGGCCCAAGGGACCAGGGCGGCACCCACAGAGACAGGCTGACTGATGAAGCCCCATGTTCCACTAGATCCAGGGTCCAGGCTTGCCCCACTAGCTCCCCACTCAGCTTCCAGTACTGCTCCCTCAGAACTAGTTTCTAGTCCATCACCCACGGACCCAGCCTCCATGTGAGGTGGGGAAAGTGTAAAGTTTTTGTACGTGGTCAAAGTAAAGTTGTTATCAGCTTAAAATACACTTTTATAACTGTAGTGGCTTCCCTTCTCCATGGTTTTGCTTTCCAAAGTTTCAGTAATCCATGGTCTAATATGGTCCAAAATTATTAAATGAAAAATTCCAGAAATAAACAATTCATAGGTTTTAAATTGCATGCCATTCTGAATGTATGATAAAATCTTGTGCTGTTACACTTTGTCACACCTGGGAAAATGAATCATCCCTTTATCCAGTATATTCATACTACTGTATACACCACCTGCCCATTAGTCACTTAGTAGCTGTCTAAATTATCAGATTAACCATCATGGTATCACAGTGCTTGTGTTCAGGTAACCCTTATTTGACTTAATAATGGCCCCAAAATACACAAATGAGATGCTAGCAATTTGCATATGCCAAAGAGAAGCCATAAAGTACTTCCTTTAAAGGAAAAGATGAAAAAATATTTTGTGTATCTACTACACACATGAAAAAAGGAATCAAAGTATACCACTAAAAAATCAAAAATCAAATCACAAAGAAACACAGTTAAGAAAGGAAGAATGGAACAAAGAAACTACAAAACAGTCAGAAAACAATTACAAAATGGCAGTAGTAAGTCCTTACCTATCAATAATTACTTTAAGTGTAAATGGATTAAATTCTTCAATAAAAAGACATACAGTGGCTGAATAAATTTAAAAAGAAAAAAATATACCTATATGCTGCCTACAAGAGACTCACTTTAGCTTTAAGGACACACATAAGCTGAAAGTATAAAAAATGGAAAAAGATATTCCATACAAACGGTAACCAAAAGAGAACAGGAGTGTTCAGAATATAGACTAAATCACAAACTGTCACAAGAGACAAATAAGATGATTATATGATGATAAAGAGGTCAATTCATCAAGAAGATACAACAATTGTAAATATATATGTACCCAGTGCTTAGCACCTAAATATATAAAGCAATAGTAACAGAAATGAAGGGTGAAATAGAGAGAAACACAACACTAGTAGAAGACTTCAACACCCCATTTTTAATAATAAACAGTTTATTCTGCCAGAAAATCAATAAGAAAAGAGCAAACTTGAACAACACTATAGATCAAACAGACTTCCATCCAACAGCAGCAGAATTCTTTTAGGTGCAGATGGAACATTCTTCAGGATAGATCACATATTAGGCCATAAAGTAAGTCTTAAAAAATTTAAAAATATTGAAATCATAACTAGTATCTTTTATACCACAATAGTATAAAAATAGAAATCAATAACGAGATGAAATTTGAAAAATTCACAAATATGGGGAAAGTAAACAACACACTCCTGAAAACCAATGGGTCAAAGAAGAAATCAAAAGGGAAATATAAAAATATCTTGAGACAAATGTAAATGGAAACACAACATACCAAAACTCACAGGATGCAGCAAAGGAGTTCTAAGAGGGATGTTTATAGCAATAAATGCCTACATTAAGAAAGAAGAGAAAGATCTCAAATAAAGACGCTAACTTTATACCTCAAGGAACTAGAAAAAGAAGACTAAGCCCAAAGTCAGCAAAAGGACAGAACTAAGATCAAAGCATAAAGAAATAAGAGCACAGACAACAGAATACTATATAGCTTTAAAAAGAAAAGGAATTCTATCATTTGCAACAACCTGGATGAACCTGGAGGACAGAATGCTAGGTAAAATAAGCCAAGCACAGAAAGGCAAATACTGCATGATCTTACTTATATGTAGAATATTTACAAAGTCAATCTCATAGAAACAGGGAGTAAAATGGTGACTACCAGAGACTGGGGATAGGGTAAAGGGAGATATTAGTCAAAGGGTACAAAATTTCAATTAGATAGGATGAATAAATTTTGGAGATTTATTATATAGCATGGTGACCGGAGTTAATAAAAACACATTGTATATTTCAAAACTGCTAAAATAGACTTGAAATGTTCTGACCACAAAAAAAAAAAACTAGTTGAGGTGAATAATATATCTATTAGCTTGATTTAATCCTTCTACAATGTATTCATATATCAAAACATCACATTGTACCCCATAAATATACATAATTATTATTTATAAAATCTAATTAATTAAATTTAAAAATAGAAAAGATCAATCTAAGAACTCTTTTTTTTTTTTTTGAAAACATAAACAAAGGCCAGGCGTGGTAGCT
Organism: Homo sapiens; assembly: GCF_000001405.40. Classification (NCBI taxonomy): domain Eukaryota; kingdom Metazoa; phylum Chordata; class Mammalia; order Primates; family Hominidae; genus Homo; species Homo sapiens. Next base: position 100,765,658 of record NC_000012.12, on the reverse strand, counting down.
CACATCTGAATTCCTAGCATTCTGGGAGGCTAAGGCGGAAAGATCGCTTGAGCCCAGGAGTTCAAAGCCAGCCTGGCAAGACCTTGTCTCTACAAAAAACAAAATTAAAAATATTAGCCAGGCATAGTAGCCTATGTCTATGGTCCCAGCTACTCAGGAGGCTGCAGTGGGAGGATTGTTTAAGCCTGGAAGGCTGAGGCTGCATGAGCTACTGATCATGCCACTGCACTCCAACCTGGGTGACAGAGTAGAACCCTGTCTCAAAAAAAAAAAAAAAAAGAAAGAAAGAAAATATAAACAGAACTGACAAATCATTAGCTAGGCTTGGAAAACAAGAGAATACTCAAATAGAATTATAAATGAATGAGAAAGTATCAGGACCAAGACCACAGAAATACAAAGGGTCATAAGAGAGTACAGATAATTATACACCAATAATCTAACAGAAATAAGTTCCCAGAAACATACAAACTACCAAGACTGAATCATGAAGAAATAGAATCTCGGAACAGAAGAATAACAAGAAAGGAGATTGAATCAGCAATCGAAACCTTCCAACAAATAAAAGCCCAGGAGCTGATGTCTCCACTGGTAAAGTCTACCAAACATTTAAAGGATTAAAACCAATCCCTCTTAAACCCTTTCAAAAAAATTGAAGAAGAAACAATTCCAAACTCATTTTATGAGGCCAGCATTACCCTAATACCAAAGCCAGATGAGGACACTACAAGAAAAGAATATTGCAGGCCAATATTCCTGATGAATGCACATGCAAAAATCTCAACAAAATATCAGCACAATGAATTAAACAGAACATTTAAAGATTATACACCATGATCAAGTCAGCCTCTAAGGAGACCTAATATACTTAACTGCAGGCTGCATTTAAACTGTGGGAAAAGTCTCCTAACAGCCATGGACAGCTAAGGTAATTACCAGGTGACCATTTTTGTTTATATGCTTCCTTGGAGCATCATTTAATCAAACATGTGCTGATTATGTATAAAGTAAAAACAAATACCGTTGCTCACACTCTTATTGGAGAATGCAAGAGGTAACTTCAGCAACCATTGCTGATTATATGTGTTAATGGTATTGCTTGCTTGATTATACTGTTATTGTTGCTATTAGAGTTTGCAAGGAGAAAGTGTTCTGAGAAGGATAATTAAAGTGAGTAAAAATGTCAAATTGCTTTATTTACTTATAAAAAGAAATGTCCTGAGATGAAATAAACATTTAGCAAAATCTTGAGTTTTCTTAGAACTCTGAGGCATAAACACATTACTGATGTCCTGACGGCAGAGCAAAGTAAACTTCTTGTGGAGGGAGTCAGGATCTTGAGCTGGGTTCCTAGATAGTTAAGTTCCAGTTCCAGAACTGCTTTGTCAGAGAATCTTAGACAAATCTAAGTAGTTCATATCCAATAATGCCATATTGCACTGTATATTAGCTGCCTTTGAGAACCATTTTTATGATAGAAGCTGAATGTTATTAATGTAATGAAATTGCATTTAAAAATGACAATAGCAGAAGATATTCAAGCTCTTATTTGCAGAATGCCTAGATACACACTACTTGAGATCTTGTGGAATTGTAGCAATGGAAAAATATGAGTCTTGACATAGTGCTCACCCAAGTACTACATCCTGCTATTCTCTACCCCAACAGGAAACAAAGGCAAGAATCAAATCCTAAAGGAACTTGAGATACATAACAGTTGGTCTTTGATTTAAAAATTTAAAAAAAAAAAGTGGTTCCTAGGCCTTTTGTTTAAAACCCAGAAAACAAGCTCTCCATGTGACTATGGGAGTAAGTATATTCACCTTATAGTGCCAGGACATCATAACACAAAACCCAACATGTCCTCAATAAAGAAGGATTGATAGATGAATGGGAGAAATGGGGTTATAAGTGGTGGCAAAATTCAAGGTCAATTCATGAAAGCCCACATGACCCGAAATAAAACACCCAAGCCTATGTGAACTGAAAAGGGAGCAGTATACCAGACACCAGCTGCTCCTGCAGCAGGACTGGGGGAGATAAGGAGGCTCTGGCAAGAGCTGCCCATTTGAAAGTCAGCCATTTGTAAACAGGTGACTGTGGATGGAGAAGGGGAATGATGTGTAAGGAGCTGGAGAGCTGGGCTAGCACAGCAAGGGCTAGTCAAAAGCACTAGAGATTCTGCTTACCTGAGTATCAAATACCCTCTGGAGTACTTGATCTTTAGTGTGAAATATGTGTCCATTTAACCTTTTTGCTTGGTGGAAATATGCCTACTTTGTTTCTGTTATGGCTCAACTGCTTCAAAATAAGAAAAAATCTGTTACTCAAATCTGTTGCAGGGGCAGTACCCACTGGCTCCTGGGGTGATAGTGCTGCCACGCCTGTGGGTTTCTGTTCAGTGGGTACAGACCCTTGTGGCCATATGGAGTCCAGAGAAACTAGGCTCCAATGCTGACACTGAGCAAAAATTACACAAGACAAACTCCCTGCCAGTAGAGTATGCCATATCCAGAATTCTAAAGGCAAGCCAAGCAGGCATGGTTTTTGAAGACCCCTATGACTATAACCAGACAACGCTGGTTCAAATCCCTGCTCACCCATTTACTAGGTTCCATGTCTTGGGCAAATTATTTAATCTCACTGACTTAGATTTCTCATCTGTAAAATGAAACCAATATCTCATCTAGTACTTCAAAAGGCTGTTCTGAAGACTCAGTGGAATAAATGATTCATTCAACAAACATCCACTAGGCGCCTACTATGTTCTGGGCACTGTTTTAGTGCTGAGGACTCAGCAGCGAACTAAACAGGAAGAACTCCCTGCCCACATGGAAACTGCATTCTAGTGGATTAATGCATGTCCACAGACGAGGCATGGCACAGAGTATGTGTTCAGGACATGTCAATATTAGAACTTCTTGTTTTTCTAAGGCCTGATCCAGAGAGAAATTGAGCAGGTTCTGGAAGGGCCTGAGACCTCCGCCAGCCAAGCAGAGAGCCCACTTGCACTTTCCTTTGACTACAGTATCATCTAGTGTTGAAGATGTGCACTTGTCCCCAGGGAAGTAAGCACTTGTTCTCATGTCTCTGGGTTTTCATGTGGAGAACTTTCTAGAATAACTGATCCTTCTGGTCACCTGCCCTTGCCAGGGGAGCCTTGCTTTTCAACTGGGAAAAGGTAGTCTAGTCAAAAGTCAAAAGCACTAGAGATTCTGGTCTCCTTTCTTCCCTCTCCACTGGGACCAGCACATATCAGTGGTTGCTCTATTGGCTCAAATTGTGCCTGAGGTGGCTAGTTCTGGGGCCTGGATGGAAAGCGCAGAGGGAAGCATTATCCAATTCGGGCCACATTCTCCCCACAGCTCTATCAGGAAAAAAGGTGGTATTTTCACCTCCATATGCTGAGCATCTGCACCTGCCTCTCAACTGTTCCAAACTCTGGTGGGTTAGTTACTGGGTCCTGAAAATCCCAGCATTTAGAATCATCTGGAAAGCCTCCAGCACCTTATAAAAATGACTTTTGAAGAGTAAGAAATGGAAGCAGGATATGCTCACAATTAAGGGAACTTTGTAAGGTTTCTACTACTTTTGTTACAGCCCCTTTCCCCCTAGTGATTAATAATAAAGCCTCTGTGTGCTCAGTGAAGGAGAGGCAAGTACACTGGAGGGCAGGAGAGGTCATAGCTTCTTCCACTATGAGCTCTGGAAAGGAAAAACCCAGAAGCAGAGAAAGAAGGGCAGCTTTGGAGCCATGGGTACAGGTGGGTGGGGAGAGATTCAGAGAACAGCTGAGAAACTAGGACCTAGGTAGGGAAAGAAGACTAGAATTGTGCAGAAAAGTCAACATAACAGGCCTGAGATTGCTTTCCTTAGGAAGTCTTGCTTGCAGGGTTGGCACATGACTGGCATCTAAGAACTTAGATTTCAGAAGGCTTTTCTCAAATCTCTAACTGATAAGAGTGGCTCACTGTGCCTAAACAGTTTGTGCAGGCAATGTGGTTTATGTTGAACACCCACTTTCCTGGGATTTTTGCACATGCTAAGCAGAGGTACCTACACGGCCAATAAAATCCCTGGGTGCTAAGTCTTTAAGGAGCTTCACTGGAAGACACTTCACACATGTTGTCACAATTCATGCTGAAGGAATTAAGCTCATCCTGTGTGATTCCACTCTGGGAAAACTTCTAAAAGTTTGTTCCTGATTTCCTCCAGAATTTGCCCCATCCACCTTTTCTGGAAACTTGGCTGATTTCATTTTGTATTCTTTTGTTATGATAAATCTTAGCTGTGAGTATGTGCTGAGCCTTGTGAGTCTTCCTAGCAAATCACCAAATCTGGAAGTGGTCTTGGGGACCCCTAATGCTAAGGATCCACTGGAAATCACCCCAAGAGATGAGACATAGGCCTGGGGCTTAAGCAGCCAAAACTTCTTCATGCCTTCTAGACAGATGCCTTCCTTCCTCCACCACTGAGGATCTAGGGAGAATTGGGGTTTTGCTTGGAGTGGGGGAAATACAGTTAGGAGTTGGAACAAAAGAAAAAGAAAAGGAGGGATGGAGCAAAAGGCACCACAAAGATAGGCTTTGCCGTTAATGGCTAGAGGCATTAAGGAAGTCCCTGGTAGCCAAAGGGGCAAGAGAAAGAACTCTCCCAGAGAAAGAAGAAGGGAGAAAGTTAAGATACATAGGATGAGAAGCAGGAGAGTGCCTACTTCAAACTTAGCCTGAGTCTCTCTTTACCCAGAAAGGACCATGTTCCACCTTGATGAGTTTCTCCACCTTGACTTCGCTATCCAAACAAGCCCAAAAGGTACAGATGGCAAGGAGAAGATGGGCAAGCCAGCTTGAGTATTTGGCATTTCTCACCTCTTGGGCTGGCCCATGACGATGTATAGAAATCTTCCTCCAAGCCTGCAGAACAGAAGAGGAGCTGCAAACTGACATGGGTGTAACCAAAACGAAGTTCTGAGTGATAAAGTGATATCTACCTGAACGTTTTACAAGACTAGAGGGGAAGGGCCTGAAATGAGACTCCACAGCATAAAGCATTTATATCCACAGATTTCTAAGAGATGCATAGAATTTTAAAACAGGAAAAGTCTTAGGGATTGACTCAATACTCCTCATTTTAGAGAACAGGAAAGATCAGAGAGGTTGGACACTCAGTCTAAATCACACATCCAGCACTCCTGACCAGCGCCCTCTTCACCTCTCACTGAGAGAGAAAGGAGCTTCAATTTGAGGAGAAACACATGATGGAGTCAAATAGGTATCAGCTGTTAGACTTTGGGGAGGTTATTCACCATCTCTGCTTTCTATTTTCTTGGCTGTCAAACAAGGATAATGACTCCAAACAGAGAGGGCTGCTGTCAGTGAAAGCTCATGGAAAACACAGAAGGCAATACATAGTAGGTATTCAATGAATATTAGCCCCCAAAATCTCTCCTAAACGTCACTCCAAATGACCTTCTTTAAAGCCTGCTGAAGTCCAGTGTTCCTTTAGGATCAAGACTGTGTCACACAAGAATAGAGGCAATGAAGTAAGATTGTAAAGAAATGCGTGGGAATGGCAAACTCCAAATTCAGAACAACAGTTACCTCTGACAGGGAGGAGAGGGGTACATGGGGGCCTCAAAGCTATCAGTCATGTCTGATGTCTGCAGGTGAGTGCTGGGTATGTGTGTTCTTGTCATATTGTTTTTATGCCCTTTCACATGTCTGAAATATTTCATAAAATGTTTACATAAATAAAAAGAAACAAATGTTTGACAAAGTAGCACATGAGACTATAAAGTCTTTATATGGGGGGAAGAAGAAAGGAAAACCTTGGGAGCATGGGAAACTACCCCAGCAGGGGAGGCCCAGAGAACAGGTTAGCAATAGACACTGGGTGTTCCATGGGGAAACGGGCTCAAAATGGTACATCACAACCTTGACCTCTAGCACAGTTTCACCTGGCCCTCCTAAGAAATGTGCTAAGAAACTGAAAAAGTAGTTCATATTTACACTTCCTTTCAAGCTTTAGGCTTGGCATGTAGGTATCTTCTGTCCAGGGAATGAAGGAAGCAGCATAGCTCCCATTTAGCAGGCATGTGGGAGGGTTCTCGGGTCTTACCAAGTTAGCTCAATCACACTGACCACATAACCCTAGAAGCTAAGCTGTGCCCAGTCCCTCTTGATATCCCTGAAGATGTGGGAAAGAGAAGAACAAGGAGAAAGAAATGACTGAGCCAAGATAAGAATTCATCATTGACTTGCTTTCTCCTGATTCTAGTCTCAGCCACGAAGATAAGAAAGCTCCAATTTTTCAGTCTGTTCTTAGTTGAACAAAAATATATATACTTCATCAGGCATGTAGTAGGTGCTAAATAAATACACGAAAGGAAAGCAACATTCTCACCACACAAAAACACCCACATATTGAGAGACTAATATGATGCAGCAGAAAGCATGTAAGATTTGGCATCCAAAAACTTGAGTTAGAGTCCATGGTCCAATGTGTCTCTGTGTAAAACACCTACCATCTCTAGGTTTCCATATCCTCAAATGAGGATACTAATACCAAGTGTGGTGAGTTAAATAGTGCCTCCCAAAATATATGCCCATCTGGACCCTCAGAAAGTGACTTTATTTTGAACAAGGGTCTTTGCACATATAGTTAAGATTAAGGATCTCGAGCATCCTGAATTAGGATGGATTTTAAGTCCAATGACAGGTGTTTGTATAAGAGACAGAAAAAGGGAAGACAGACACAAAGAGAAGGCCATGTGTAGACAGAGGTAGAAACTTGAGTAATGTTGTCACAAACCAAAGAATTCCAGGAGTCACCAGAAGCTGGAACAGGAAAGAAAGGATTCTCCCTCAGAATCTTCAGAGAGAGCAGAGCCTGTTGACATTTTTATTTCAAACTTCTGGCCTTCAGAACTGTGAAGGAATAGATTTCTGTTGTTTTAGGTCATCCAGCTTGTGGTCCTCTGTTGTGGCGGTCCTAAGAAATTAATATAACTCCTTTACAGGGTCAATATGAACATCAAACAGGGTCATGTGTGGGAAAGCACACTGTCAATTCTTTAGAGTGATATAAGTGTCAGCTGTCATTATGGGATCACAACATTTAAGAGAATAACAAATCCTCTCAGGAACCAAATCCCAGACTTGCACCTAAGGATACATCCCCAGCAATTCTCTCCAGAGAGGACAGAATGCTGGTGACTAGCTCTAAGGTTATGCCTCCCCTTGCTTTGCTGGCTCCAGACTGCCTCACTCCACTTGCACTTGTGCCTTTGAGGAAGATTGGAGTGTCATCTGGTACAGAAAGAAGGTGCCCATCTGCTCCCAGGCACCAGTCACATGGCAAGCATTACACACCAAGGCCACCATCTGCACTAACAACTCACATTCAAGTACAGTTCAATGTCAGCCTTACTCTAATTCTGAATGAGCCAAGACCGCGGGCAGGTGACTCTGGGGCCAAAATCTTTCCATGAGCAGTGCAATTCTGAATCAGAGCATTGCAGTTAGACAAGCTGGAGGCTGAAGAAGGAAGAACCTGTCACATGGCCCTCAATTGCCAGTCTCTGATCCAAAGAGCCTGTTTAGGACATTTCTGGGTATGGTGTGATCCTCACGATCTTTTCTGCCTTTTCTTTTTAAAGGAAGTTTTGAGTGTTGAATTTTATTTCTTTATATTAAAATCCACAGTCCTTGAAGGAGTGAACAATACATACAAATTGATCATAGCAGATGGGCGAAAAGAGTAAAATAGACATAGATGGATGAAGACCCACAGAGGAGGAAAAACTCCTACAGAAACCATAAAAGCAAAGGAATCCAAAAGAAAGGTGAGACAATTGCCCTTGATAAATTTAACGGCACTTTAGACTTTACAATATGTTTGTGTGAAAGTTGGTACTGTTCCCATTTTATAAAGAAGAACAAAGAACAGTAGGCAGGTTGGCAGTCTGTGTTCAGAGACTGGACATCCACTTATCAGGAACTAACGGAGCAAGTGGACTCAGTGGCCTTCAAAGGTTTTTTCCAATATTGAAATTCACTCTCCTTGAATGCAAAGTCAGCAGTGGCTCCACCCTCCATAAAGTCAAGTTCATGGTATACGGTATCCAAGGCCTTCACAATCAGGCCCACCTTTGTAGTTACAAGAGAAAAAGAAGAGTATGTAGGAGTAATCGAAGATAATATTGGGCAGAGGCCCAATCATGAAGCATTACAGAGAATAAACTTTGTTCTCTAGACAACACAATTGGGAACAACTAAAAAGTTTTACAAAAGGAAGTGACATACCAGATTTGCGCTTTAGAGAGATTAAGTCGACAGCCATATGGAAAATGAGAGGGACTCCAAGGAAGACAAGTGACAAAGTAATGGTCCAGTCAAAGGTGACAAGGCTTTGAACCAAGGCAGGGAGATTGGGGATAGAAGGAGATAGACTCAACAGGCTTACCACCTGGATGTGAGGAGCAGGGCAGAGGACAGCCTATGATTCTGTCTTGGGCAACTGGGTACATTCACCAATTTTTATCTGTCCCTTCTGGAAAATGCAGAAGGGACAGATTTTAAAAACCGTCAGACTAACAGTTCCACATTTTCCAGAAGGGACAGATAAAAAAAAACTGAGGCAACAGGACGATTTTTGGCTAATCTGAGTCAGAGTGCCTGCAGGACATCCCAGATGGAAATGTCTAGAAGGAAGTCAGAGAAGTTCAGGTTGGAGGTCTGAGATAAAAGTACAGAATACAGATTGCAGGTGAAATAGGGGTAGTGGTGGACAAGACCAGGAAAAGCAGAGAGAGCAAGAAAGAAGAGCCAAGGACAAGCATTTGAGACGCACTGACATTTAAGTGACATGAAGAAGGATTAGGCAAGGAAAAGAAGAAGTAGAACAGAGAAGTGGGACAGAACCCACGTCTGAAGAGCTTCAAGGAGGAGATCTCCCAAGAGTTGAAATATCCACCAAAGAGTCAGAGAAAACAAGTGAAAAAAACAAGTTGAGGCCGGGCGCAGTGGCTCATGCCTGTAATCCCAGCACTTTAGGAGGCCAAGGTGGGTGAATCACAAGGTCAGGAGTTCGAAGCCAGCCTGGCCAACATAGAGAAACCCCATCTCTACTAAAAATACAAAAATTAGCCAGACGTGGTGGTGGGCACCTGTAGTCTCAGCTACTCAGGAGGCTGAGGCAGGAGAATCACTTGAATCTGGGAGGCAGAGGTTGCAGTGAGCCGAGATCATACCACTGCACTCCAGCCTGGGCAACAGAGCAAGACTACACCTCAAAAATAAAAATAAATAATGTTCTATACATACATTTAAAATGGTATCTTCAATTTCTTCCTGAATCTTCACTAATCTGCTTATTATGTAGGAAGGCTCCAAAGTAAAGTGGCATTTCAGGACACACAATATTGAAATATTGGCCCTTTTAAAGCTTTCAAAAACATTTTAACAGCCCTTACTATGTTGTAATTCGACACCAGCAGTATAGATGGATAATATAAAGCATTTAAAAGCACTTCAATATAACTTTTAGAATTTTGTAATTGCATTTTAATTAATAAGAAAAATGTATCTGACACTTGAAAAAATAATAAACGTAATTAAAATAATGACATGTGAAGACTCCCTGACTTGAGATTAAAGAAGGAAAACTACTTTATTTCTCCTAGTGATAACTATTCAGAATCTCTTTGCAAACTATGTCATCCTAAGACCCAAAGATCCTCTAACAAAACAGTGGAAGACTCGTCCTCTGTCACATTCCCCCTAGCACAGAGAAAGTGGTTAAATGTTAAGGTTTCAAGGGACTTTGGATAGCAAAGGGAGAGGAGAGAACATCAGCTGCACTGTTAGCAAACTTGAAAACAGGTGAAAGCTAAGTGAGTGCTCAAACTGCCAAGAAAACAAATATTTGGGTTAAGCAGGTGCAAGCAAACTAGGAAGAAATTTGCTATTAGCTAAGACAATTAATGGTAATTAGATGAAGATAATAAAAAATGATCGTAAACAAAGTACAGGCATAGTGATCATTACAGCATTTTAAATTAAGGATTAGGGACACAGCATTAGCTTCAGGATAGAACCTAGACTTAAATAATCAAGTCATTTAATTCAATAAATATTGATCAACTATTATGCATCAAACACAAGGCTAGAGGGATCCAAATTCAAATCAGACATTCTCCCTGCATGGTGCTCACCATCTGGCAAGGCAGAGATACACACTCAACTATGATTCATGGTGGCTAATCATCTGAATAAGGTGCTATGGGATCACACAGGAAGAAGCATGGGGTATGAGGAAGCCCTTGAGGAGGAATCGGCATCTGAACCAGACTTTGGATTTCACCAAGCAAGAAAGAAGGGAAACAAGGCACTCCAGGTGAGGGATGAGCATAAGCAAAAATGTTAACAGTACACCAGGAAGAGCTGGAATGCAGGATGCTTGAGAGCAACAGAGCTAAAAAGATAGGCCAGGTTAGACCATGAGGGGCATGAACCCCACACTATGAAATCTGGACTCAAACTACAGGTTGCCAGAGATCATTGATGGGTTTTGCAGGTATAGAAGGACACACATTTATTTTATTGTGATAAAATGCACATAACATCAAATTTACCATTAGTGACATTCAGTACATTCATAATGTACAACCATCATCACTACCCAGTTCCAAAACATTTTCATCACCACAAAAGGAAACCCTGTACACATTAAGCAGTCATTCCTCATTCTCCCCTCCCCTGGCAATCACAAATCTGCTTTCTGTCTCTATGGATTTGACTACTCTATTTCATATAAATGGAATCATACAAGATGTGGTATTTTGTGCCTGGCTTATTTCACTTAGCACTATGTTTCCAAGGTTCATCCATGTTGTAGCATGTATCAGTACTTAATTCCTTCTACAGCTGAATAATATACCATTGTATAATATATTATACCACATTTTGTTTATCCATTCATCCATGGATGGACATTTGGGCTGTTTTTACCTTTTGGCTATTGTGACTAGTGCTGCTATGAACATTTGTTACAAATGTTTGTTTGAATACCTGTTTTCAATTCTTTTGGATATATACCCAGAGTGGAATAGTTGGGTCATATGGTAATTCTATGTTTTACTTACTGAGGACCACCAAGTCCATGATGGCTTATAAGCCAAGGAATCACAGATTCAGATCAGTGTTTTAGACAATGACAACACGTGGTGGGGGTGGGGGTTGGAATAGACTGGGAAAAGAGTGAAGATAGGAAGGCCAGCCAGGAACTACTACCCCTGCCCCGGCAAGAAAGTAGAAAGACTTGATCCATGGCAATGACCACAGGACTAAAGAAAAGAGCATAGACTTGAGGGACATTTGTGAGGTAGAATGAGCAAGAATTGATGAGCAATTAGATGTGGGAAGGGTGGAAGAGAACACTGTGTTCATAGGTGCACATTACATTGTGAGTTATGTGTTCACAGTTCACCTCCTTTGCTAGATACTGAGCTTCTAAAAGAGAGAGTCATGTCTTAGTCACCCTCACATCCCCAGTTCTTAGCATAGAACCTGGCCCAGTAAATGAACAAAGAACAATTTCAGTGTCTGGTTGAATAATGGTGCCAGCCATTATTCACAAGAGCAAAAGAACTGAGGGATGATGACTGCAAATGAGTGGTTGGTTAAAGATGACTCTTTGCTCTGTGTTTCAGAAGCAGGATGGATGATGACGCAGCTTGTTGAAACAGGGAACACAGAAGTGGCTTGGACAGGTGCTTGTGGGAACATGTGGGAACACGTCCAATAGACAACCAGAAATTCAGAGCTAAATATTAGGGGAAAAGTCGGAACAAAAGGCTATTTTTGACATGTACTGTACTATTGATAGCTTTACGCATTAAAATCTCTCATTTAGATATCTAATTTCATGAATCAACTAAAACTACTATAGTATAATGCTATAAATCTTTTCCTAGGAAGAACTGAAAAATGGGAGAAAAAAATACAGTGTGGGTTATGGCTTAATATAAATTTTGCCTGTAGCTAGGGTGCAGGTAGGCCCAGGCACATCTCAGATATTGGCAGAGCAGGCTGCCTGCAAGTGTCTGCCTTCCTAAAGTGATGTACACTGAGGAAGAGAGGGCCTTTATAGGCAACTTCAGGTTGGAATAGGTAAAAGGAGGACAATCTACCCAGGGTATGAGGAGGACAGCATGATGTCTCTTTCAGATAAATATTCCTGGCCCAGCCTAAAGGACTCAGATCTGAGCCCACTTGAAAAATAAAATGGCCTCTTTGGGGTGAAAGAGATCATGTACGTGAGATAGAGAGGCTGTGATAGATTGTGTCTTTGGCCCCAATTATTCACAGTTCCCTAATTCCACAGCCTTTCATCATGTGGCTTAGCAGTGTTGTTCCACTGAGAATAAGACATTCTGCCCCATCTTTAATTTTGGGCTCATCCATGTGGCATGGCTTTGGCTGATGAACTATTAGCAAATACGCTGCCATCAGAAGCTTGGAGTGCTTGCATGATTGGACTGGCCCCTTCTCTGGCACTTCCACCACTGTCATGAGAATGTGCCAGGAAGCACATTCCTGTGCCTACTGGAAGAGGAGAGACTTATGGAGCACAGCTGAGTCATCCCAATTGCTCCCATTGAGGACAACCTAGATCAGCCAAGAGCCAGCCAACTCCAAGATACTGAGTGAGCCCAGCCAAGATCAGCAGAGCTCTGGCCAAGTCCCAGCTGATTCTAGATAAACGAGTAAATGCTTAATCCTGTATGCCACTGAGGTTTTGGGGTTGTTTGTTATTCAGTATTATCATAATAATGGTTAATGGATATAGATCCTTTGCCACAGTTCTTCACTGACTCCAGAGATGTCAGAACTGCAGGGAATACAGAGCCCTTTTGAGGGATCACATCTTTGCCAACTCTGGGAGACAGTCTCATTGCCATAGGCACCATAGATGTTTTGAAATGAACATTAATAATCAGTCTCAAAGAGAAATAATTTCCTTGTACAACAGACCTCACACACACACACATTAAAAAAAGATTGCGTGACCCCTATAAGGTTTCCAAAGGATTTCAGGTATTATATTATCTAAATCAATCTTGTTCAAATTATGAGTTGCAATTCCTTCGTAAGCAGTGACATCTGTTTAATGGATCTTGACTTGTTGTTTTTGGGGAACAGAATGGAATGGAATGAAAAATATCAGAGTATGTAATAAATAATAAGAATTATTTCCTTAAATTTTTTTTCAGGTTTGTGTGTGTGTAAGAGGGAGAGGGAGGAAGGAAGGGATGGAGAAGTAGTAGTAGTAGTAGGTCACAATACATAAATATTTCTTACTTTAGGTATTGTTCAAAAATGTTGAAAGCCATAGGCTAAAAGAAGGTAACTACATAGCATTTTACTATTAACTAAACCTCAGCATCGAAGCCCAGCACAGGAAATATGAGAAGGAGACAGTTAAGAGAAGGGAGAGAAGGAATCCATGGGCTAGAATAATTAATAGGAAAAGTAGCTTTCGCTAACATTTTAGGATTTGAAAAACACTTTGCCTATTTTATCTCATTTGAGTCTTATAACTGCACCATTTTACAGATGAAGAAATTGAGGCTCAAAGAAGTTAAGTCTTTAGTGTGAAGGTAACATGATAAGTCACAAAGCTGAGAAGACAAGCCAGGTCTTTGTCTCCTATTCCACATTCCAACTATATCTTCACCAGCTCCAACACATCCTTGAGATCTCTCTCAAATTACTACCACATCCTCAGTCTTTCCCCATCTTCAAAATCCAAATTAAATGCCCTCTTTATACACCCCCTAATAGTGTCCTTTGCCTTCACTGAGCTAATGAAATTTCCTTATTTGGGTGATTATTTCATATCTCTCTCTTCTACTAGCCTATCCCACTGCCATTCCATAAGAAAGGAGCCTTGTCTGCTTGGGTCACTCCAGTACACCCAGCACCTAATGTAGTACTGGGCACAAAGTAGGCACTCAATAAATAGCTGCTGAATAAATGAATATGAGTTACACGACCTGGGACAAGGAAAGTGAGCCAACTCTTCCATTCTCCAATTACAACCACAAATCAGTTGTATCCTTATTTGCCTGAAAAAGACAAAAACTGCATAGTTTCCAAAATATATACCCACATAACCAGGAGGAATAGTGACCAGAGGGTGTTTCCCAATCTGTTAGGTGCCTCTTTGCTGGAGAGAACTACAAACTGAACCAGAATCCAGATACTCAGCAGTTCCTGGGGGTTGGAAAACCTGCTCAGATTCTGGGCCTTTTTCTTAGGTCAGCAGAGATTTTCCATGCTTGCGGTCAAACTGAGAATTCCACCATTCTCTCCCACTTGCTTTCCCGCGTAGATCTTTCTAAACACTTCACTTCCATCAGCTGATGTCATGGATGCTGTGGGCCCCATGGTACACCCCCAGCTGCTGATGGCTCTCGGCTGAATCTTTCTTGGGAAACTGCCCGCAAAGAGAATTCCCCAGGGTCACATTCATTCCTCGTGGCAGCTTGCATCCAGGCAATGATGGCAGGTTACAATAGCTTTGTTGTGGGACAATGTTGAAGGACTGTCCCAGCTCCAGGTATCCCTCTGTGAGGGCTGAGGCCATGTTTGTGCATCATCACAGCTCATATCTTCCCTCTGCCTGGTTATGCTTCCCTCCATCTACCACACACACACACCATACATACGGATCCCAACTGCTCTCCCCAGGAAACTTCTTGCATGCACATCTCTGGCTCAAAATCTATTTCCCAGAGAACCAGAACTAAGACAGCTAAGCTCCCTCTTGAGTCAGTACCATGGTTGCTGGGATTTTCATTTGGTTTTTAATATCAAAACAATGTCTGTGGAAACGTTTGGACACTTATATATCACAGACAAATAATATTCCTGTAACAGGGCATAAGCAGACTTCCCACTTATAACTGGTGGTAAAGAAAATTTTCTTTATAGAGTACTGTTTTGGGAACTCAGAGGCGTGTTTTGATAAAAACAGTATTGCCAAGAATCTTTAAGAAGAGGATTATTCCTATCCTTCAAAGCATCTGCCTGTTAGTGACCACAAATTATTTGGTATAATATTTTTTGTTACCTGTGTCTTGTACTGAATCCCAAGCTCCATGACTGACAGCATGGGCATCACTTGGAAGCTTGTTAGAAATGCAGAATCTAGGCCAGGTGTGGTGGCTCACGCATGTAATCCTAGCACTTTGAGAAGCCGAGGCAGGTGGATAACTTGAGGTCAGGAGTTCAAGACTAGCCTGGCCAACATGACGAAACCCTGTCTCTACTAAAAATACAAAAAAAAAAAAAAAAATTAGCCAGGTGTGTTGGTGCATGCCTGTTATTCCAGCTACTTGGGACGCTGAGGCACAAGTGCTTGAATCCAGGAGGCAGAAGTTGCAGTGAGCCAAGATCATGCCACTGCACTACAGCCTGGATGATGGAGTGAGACTGTCTAAAAAGAAAAAGAAAAAGAAAAAAGAAAAAAAAAAAGAAATGCAGAATCTCACTACCCCTTGCCCAGACCTACTGGATGAGGATCTGCAGTTTAACAAGAAGTCCACTGGGCTTATATTGACACTAAAGTTTGAGAATCACTGGCCTAAACTATGAAGCTTCAGTATCATATTTTAACCTTATTGAAAATATACGGGACATCCATTCAGTCATATATCACATCCCATTAATTACGAAGTGCTATTGAAGCTATCTCTAAAATGTCCCTCGCATTATCCCTTTTGGACGATATTTTTAAATCCAAACTCAGGCTCTCTTAGCTCTTGTGGACCACACTTTGAGTAGCAAGAGTTTAGATGACTAGAAGAATGGATGACTTTATTGGAGCATCTTAAAGCCATCTGATTTTATGGCTGAAATATATAATTATTTGCAAATCACATTCAACACAGCTTTAATTCAAGTTCTTCAGTCTCTTATATTAGAAATCCCCAAGTAACTTCATAGCTACATCATTAAATTGACTTTGTCTTCATCATTTGCCACCAATCATTCCCTGATTCATTGGTGTTTTCAGTCTTCTAAAACTAAATAACCAGCACACATGGAGGAAGAATGAACAGGACTCCGCTGGAATCGATAATTAAACAACAAGAAATGTTCTTGAATTCTGAAAAGAACAATATAGGCAAGTTTAGGAAAATAGGAAATTTGAAGAAAGCTCAGCAATGTATTTCTCTTAGCCAATGCTCTTGTCAAAATGAACATTTCCAATGATCCTCTTAGTTCTAAAGTCCAGGCGGTTCCCAACTTAGTTTTTCACAGAGAAGTAGTATACATGGAGGTTAAAATTCTGGGCTTGCTCACAAATGTCCATTAACACATGGAATGCACCATGGAAGACCAGAGTAACAGCCCCAGAGAACCCAGCCACCCTGTGCGGCAATACCTCTATTGATAACACATTCAGCACTCAACTTCAATGTGAAGGAGACATTTACCCCCAGCTCCTCTGGAATCAGCCTTTGCACACTGTCCTGCTGCTTGGAACACTGGTCCCTCACCTGAATAGCCTCAACTCAAATTTGCCTTCCCTTCCACTGTGACATCTTCTACCCAGCCAGCATCTTAGGAAACCACAAATCACCTTCCAAAATGCATAAAAATGCCCTACTTGTTACAATATCCTAACTTAAGTAAGTTAACCCTCATATTCACACTCCATATAAACCAAACCGGAAAATTTATTCCATAACATACGATTAAAATCTAAATACCCCTTCAGGGCTATTTTGACAAAAGGGAAATTTTTAAAAGCAGAAAGGGAAGTAGGAAGATGACATCCCATTTTTTAAAAATCATATACAATGCTCAATTAAAATCAGAAAAGGCAAGAGAAAAAGTAGAAAAAAAAAGAAATGGTGAACAAATGTAATAATAGAAAATGGTTACAAACATGGCAGATACTAATTCAACTATGCCAATCATCACTTTACTTGTGAATGGTCTAACGACATCAATTAAAAGAAATTGTCAGAATGGATAAAAACACTAGACCCAACTCTATGTTCTCTAGAAGAAACCCACTTTAAATATAATGGTTTAGAGACTTTCTAATTTATATTGCCCTGGTTTTTGTAGAGGGTAGCTGATCTTCCATTACTCTGTGCCACAGATTTAGCTGAACTAACACTCTAGCAGAAAGGCTCAGGCTGGCTGGGCACATGGTGTGCAAGCAGGGACAGGACAAGGAGTGTCTCTCAGCTTCTCTACAAGGGAGCACATGAGTCTCCTGGTGAGGTCCAATTACTCTGCATCTCGTGGTCACATCAGTTGTTCAGGTTGCAGGGTCACTGTCTGCGGCACTCTATCTCTGAAATCAAACCTGTTTCCTTTGGCATCCGTTCTGAAAGTATCTGGTCACAATTTGTTATAAGACATTGAATTCATGCTATCAAATGGGCACCTCTTCTAAGGTATTCTATACCCCAGGCAAATTCATAGCAACATAACATTGGGCACCTAAGATTTCAGAGCTTGCATATATGGAGTACCAGTAAGCTCGGTAAGGTCACCAGGAAAGGTGAGTGAACATCTTCCCCGTCAATATAAGACACCATGCTCTGCTCAGACCTTAGGTGCACAGGTAAAAGCTAGACTCCTGGGAAGTGATCTGGAACAGAAGATAGTCATTTCTCAACTCCTTTCCTGATGAGGAACATATTTGTAAAGTCCATAAGGAATGTTTGGAATTCATTAGTATTGTTTGTTTGTTTGCTTTTAAGACAGAGTTATGCTCTTGTCACCCAGGCTGGAGTGCAGTGGTGCAATCTCGAATCACTGCAACCTTCACCTCCCGGGTTCAAGTGATTCTCCTGCCTCAGCCTCCCAGGTAGCTGGGACTACAGGCACATGCCACCACACCCAGCTAATTTTTGTATTTTTAGTAGAGACAGGGTTTCACCATCTTGGCCAAGGTGATCTCGAACTCCTGACCTTGTGATCCACCCACCTTGGCCTCCCAAAGTACTGGGATTACAGGCGTGAGCCACCACACCCAGCCTAGTGTTCTTTTTTAGAAACACAATCCCACCAGAAGACCACTAAAGGGAAGATGGTGAGGCCGGAGAAGGAGGGCACAAGGCAAAGGGAAGAGTTCTCAATGATTCCTGCTTATGGAAATGCAGGGAGATTACCAATGGTCTTGAACACATACAGAGGAGGTTTGATTCATGACATAATTTCACAGAGAGGTGGGGTGTAGGGAAGCAGGCAGGGCAAGTGTCAAAGGTGTTACCTGTAGTCTTAAGGGGGAAAAAAATCTTCCTCTTTGGAAAAAAATTCCCCCCATGTTTTTGATTAGAGTATGGTTGGCAAAAGGCCCTTGCTAAAATAGGATCAAATGCATTAAAACCCATGAACCCATTATCAATGATTAGGGTACCAGACTTCTGCCACTAAGCAGAGCTTCAGAGAACAGGATCAGACTTTGGTGTAAGTCAGTGGTTCTCAACTGGGGGTGATTTCGCCTGCAAACATATATTTGGCAATGTCTGAAAACTTTTTTCAGATATCACAACTGACGTCTGTTGGGTGCAGGCCAGGGATGCTGCTAAACATCCTACAATGCACAAAACAACCCCCACAGCTAAGAATTATTCAGCCCAAAATGTCCACGGCACCAAGGTTGAGAAACTGGTATTAGCAAAAAAGAAAGGCCTAGGTGCAGCATGAGATACAATTTAGGGAGAGTTAAAGAACACAGAAACCTGAGAAAGGGGAAATCAAAGGTGCTAATCATACTTCACCAAGCACAGCCCTAGGAGAGAAACGAGAGCCCTGGGAATGCCCTAAAGGAGGGGACCCATTGCAAGGGCAAGGTACTACACACAGGACAAGAAACACCCAGGGAGGAAGGAGAGTTAAGAATTGACAGTGAACATGGGACAATGAGTTAGGGACCACGTCTTGTGCATGTAGGATGTTTAGCAGTATCCCTGGTGTCCACCCACTAGATGCCTGTGATACCTCCTGCCAAGTTGTGTCAACCAAAAATATCTGCAGACATTGCCAAATGTCCCCTGTGAAACAACATCATCCCTGCTTGAGAAATCATTCTTCTAAGTGGGATCTTTTGAATTTTTATATACATATTTTTCTTATTATTTCATCGTTTCTTCTAGATTCAAGATCATTCTTTTTAATAACAGAGTCTCACTTTGTTGCTCAGGCTGGAGTGCAGCGGCACCAACTCAGCTCACTGCAGCCTCCGCCTGCCGGGTTCAAGCAATTCTTATGCCTCAATTTCCCAAAGAGCTAGGATTACAGGTGCATGACACCACGCCCAGCTAATTTTTGTATTTTAGTAGAGATGGGGTTTCACCATGTTGACCAGGCTGGTCTTGAACTCCTGACCTCAGGTGATCTGCCTGCCTCAGCCTCCCAAAATGCTAGGATTACAGGCGTGAGCCACCATGCCCAGCCAAGACCCTTCTTTTCTAAACTAGGTTGTTTAGTCATTCTTTCAGGAGGTGTGCATAGAATACATTTTTCCCAGTCTTTTTCCAAATAATTTCTTATGCTGACCTCCCTCTCCAGTGATCACTTAGCTGTATCTGGAATTCTGAATTGACCTTCGTTTCCTTCAGCACTTTGAAGATATCAAGCTGCTGTTTTCCAGCCTCTATCATTACTACTTGAAAGTCTATCCACAATTTGTTTCTCACTTGCAGGTAATGTGTCTTTTCTCTCAGGTTATTTCTAAGATGTTTCTGATTTTTGCTGACTCACCATACATTTACATATGGATATATTTTTATTTATTCTACTTGGCACTCATCATGTTTCTTACATCAAAGAATTTGTGTCTCCTCATCAATTCTGGGGAAACTTTCAGTCATTGCCTTTTTAAATATTCCTCATATATATACATTCTATTATCTTAAAGCAGGACAGAATTTCTATTAAATGGATGTTGAACTTTTTCATTCTGCTTTCTACATTTCAACCTTCTCCTTCTTGTTTTTGTATCTCATATATCTCTGTACTGATAATGGGGTAATTTCTTCAGCTCTATCTTCCAGGCCTAGTTCTCTCTTCAACTGTGTCTAATATGCAGTTTCAATGGTCATAGAAAACATACTTCTTACATGCCAAGCTCTGCACTGAGCGAACAAGTACATGATCAAAACATTAATTCCTAACTCAAGAACTTTATTTACGTCTATTATGGTAGCCATATGAAAAAACTGTATTGGAGTACAATAAGAGCAAAATTAAATCTGTGCATAAGAATTGCCAGTGGAAACAGAAAGAATAACAAAATATGCTGAGGCAAAAAGGGAAAGAATTCACAAACTCTTAATTGAGTTTGAAGAATAAGAATATTCTAGGAGAAGAATGTAAGGAAAGGTATCAAAGTAGATGGCACAGATGTGCAAAATCATGAGCTTTTAGGGAACAGTAAAGAATCAAGTGTAAGTACTATGCTGACACATCTGTACAGAGCGGTGAGACATGCTGGAGAGTCAGTTAAAATTAGTTAGGAAGGCCCTTACGTACCTGTACCCTGTATGAAGTGTTTAGACTTTATTCTATTATGGAGAAGCAACAGAGATTTTCAAGTGGAGGGCAGGAGGAGGTGGAAAAAGAGGAAGAAAAGGTGGGAGAGGGAGGGAGAGAGAAAGAGCAAAAGAGAGAAGGGGAGAGAGAGGAAGGGAGAGACAGAAAGTGAGGGGGAGTGAGGGAAAGGAGGGAGAGAGATGAATTGGGAAAGCTAAACTATGGTCATGGAAGAATTAAGATTCAGGAAGACTTGTAACAAGACTGCTAGCAGCACTAGTCTAAGGAGAGATAGTGAGAGCTTGAGCAGAAATAATGTCAGTAGGGATGGAGACGAAGCTTTGAAGTAGCAATATTTCTAAAATAGACATAATTAATAAGTTAGCCAGCTGGCTGTGGAGGCTGATGGCCAGCAGAAGGTTAAGCATGAGGGGGTTAACCCAAAACACTGGATTAGGACTGTGGATGATGCAATTAATTGAATGTTTGTGTCTCTCCAAAATTCATATGTTGGAATCCTAATTCCAGCGTGATGGCATTTGAAGGTAGGGACTTTGGGAGGTGATTAGGTTATGAGGGTGGAGCCCTCATAAATGGGATTAGTGCCCTTATAATAAGAAGCCAGAGGGCCAGCTCGCTCTCATTCTATCCTGTGAGGGTACAGTGAGAAGACCAGCCAGCTAGAAACCATGAAGACAGCCCTCACCAGACGCCAAATCGGTCAGTGCCCTAATCTTGGACTTCCTAGCCTCTTTTTTTTCTTTTCTGTGAGAAAGAAACGTTTGTTGTTTAAGCCACCCAGTTGTATATTTGCTATGGCAGTCCAACTAACACAATGAGACTATGCCAGCATTAAATAGAATAATAAATTCAACTTTGAGAGCTACCAGAAGGAAGTTCCATTCGGGATATATAAGTTTTGATAGTATGGGATATATCCGGGTTGAAAGTTCCAGTAGGCACTTATAAATACACATGTAAAACTTGTCAGAGAAATCAGACATGAAAATATGGCTTTGGGGGCATCAGTATGCAGCTGGGGATTGGATAGAAAGGAATGGAGTGATTGAGGATCAGCTGGGGATATAGGAATGACTAGAAAGAGAAGTTGTGAGGCGGAGGTGGTAGTGGTGATGGAAGTTACAAATCTTGGTTATCAAAAATTGCATGTTAACATGGACACACAGAAGGGAACAACAGACACCAAGGCCTACTTGAGGGTGGAGGTTGGGAGGAGGGTGAGGATTAAAAAACTACCTATGAGGTACTGTGCTCACTACCTGGGTGATTAAATAATTTGTATAACAAACCCAAGCGAAATGCAATTTGGCCATGTAGCAAACCTGCACGTGTACTCCCAAACCTAAAATAAAAATTGGAAGGAAATAAAGTGACAATAGTTTTACTCTTTTTCTATGACACTTACTAAGCAAGAAGGAGTTATTTCCATTTTAATTTTTAAAATACCTTTCATGCCTTATTTTTGTCCTCAAAATATTTCTTGATTTAACCAGAATTCTTACAGTATATCCCAAAGTCCAGTATCTAGTAGCAACTTTTTGAAGTGTAAAGTTTCTAATTACTTTTCTCTTAAACCAAAGCTTATAAATTATTTGTAATGAATTTAATATCAATTGAATACTATCATCATTTACTTTTTTAAAAATTGTGTGTCAAACCTACTAAAAGTATCTGAGATAGAGATCATTTCCAAGCTTTCCTCCTATGGTTGTCTCAAATTTACCTTCTTTTAATTGAAGAAATAATTTAATAATATATTCTGCATTCAGTGTATTTGTACTAATATTTTAGATATATATTTTAAAATATTTTAATACTATTAGTATTTTAATAATATATTAATTAAATAATTTAAAACAAAAACATATGTGATCACGTCTTGTGAAATCATCTATCTTAACACCACACTGAATCAGAATGCTTGCCTTACTTGTCTGCCTCCTCCACTAGACTCTGAGCTCCTGAGATAGAGGTGATGCCTTACTTAATTTTCTCTCCCAAGGACTTATCACAATACATAACATGGAGTGGTAACTTAGTGTATATTGGATGGATGAATGGGTGAGTGGATGGATGGATAGATGGATGGACCAAGCTGGACACTGGAAACAGTTTTTCTGTCATAAGGAAGAACTACATTCAGGACCACTATGCAGTTTCACAAGTTGTTCACTGCACAAGGTGACAAGCAGGGTTAAGTAAAGTCTAATACAAGAGAATCTACTATAGAAGTTAGTCACACAATGAAGGGAAAGAATGATGGAATAGGATGGTGACAATAGCGAACACAGCTAAATAAAATGAGAGCTCAAGAAGCTCTAGTCATTTAGTTAGTGTTCTGCTATTAAGCATTCTTTCTAGGACTGCAGAATGGTGGGATTTATAAAATGGAAAAATGATTTTATAATGTGTTTGGGAAATTCTTAAACATAAGAAAATTCTCACAATCCATGAATAATTGTATAGTTATATTGTGCCTAAAACTTGTCAGCTCCTCTATATCAGTCCAAAAGTTTATAGAGAAGAGAGATAGCTTAGAATTGTGAAGGGATGTCTGGCAAAGTCTGGAATTTGTAGGGTATCCTAGTATAGCTGAACTGACTTATCTCACCTCAGAGTTTTCTTTTAACTAGCAAAAGAAGCAAAAAATTAAGTATAAATGAGTAATAAAACTGTATTTTTTAAACAAAATGAAATTAACTTTATTCTTTAAAACACAAATAAAAAGAAAGGAAACTATAAGCTTTCACACAAAAATACATATTAAAATCAACAATTTGTTCTAAAAAATCAAATAAATGTAATAATTGGCCTACACATAGTCATTGTCGAGACTTACAAAAACTATACCAGCATCTATAACTTTCTATGATAAAATGATTATCACATGCTTGTGTAGTATATATTTGGATGTCCAGGCTTACTTTGTTAGGATACTAATAGTAAGAATAATAATAAGCAGTTGCTTGGAACAAATCAATATTTTATTGCTAATGGAAAGTCCCCAGGAATGAAGAGAATTATAGGCTTTTGTTTGTGAAAACCTCCAAGTTAAACACAGAAACCTTTATCCAAAAATCAGATTGACTCTGAGTATAGTGCTCTATGGAGGAGAAAAAAAGTCAACTAAGGGAACCATGATAAAATGTTAATCTGGCAGCTGCCATTTCACACCCCTCTTTGCCAAAAAATGCCATAAGCTTTCAGCTACCCTGGGTTAATATATAAAGGAGGTACTTTATATATTAACTTCTGATTTTATTAAACTAAAGCAAGAAGAGTCAGCTTTCCTTCACAATAAAAGCAAAACCCAGAAAATTTTAAACTTACTATACAGAAACATTTTCAAGCCCCAGATAGTGATTTCTTTCCGCTGTCAAACTGACCTTCAACAAGGACAGTCAGAAAGATGATTACTTTTGCCATGTGCAGAACTGATGGTATGCAAATGTTCCCCAGTGCTCTTCATTACCAATCCCTGATATTTCAATTCAGCCATTTGACTAAAGAGCCTTTGGAGGGGGTCCTCCAGGTATGTTTGTGAACCGCAGGAATCAAAATCCCAGGAAGGAAAAGCCTGCCAAATGCAGATTGCTGAAGCTCACCCTGTGCCATGGACACAGCATCCCCTGGGGTAAGACCCAGGAATCTTCATTTTTAACAAGTGCAGTGCTGATTCTTAACCTTTAGTGAAGTCTGCAATCTACTGCTTTAAAGATTAGTTTTGATAATCTGGAACTTCTGCAACCTCAGCATCTTACCTCTAGGTGGCAGCATCTATAAATTGTTGAGTGTCGTGGTATCCCAACATTCAAAGATTTATTTCCAGAACCAGAATTACACATTGGATTTGGCTGACTAAACCATTACCTCTAAGTGCTGTATCTATAGAAGGAAAACATGGCAGGATAGATTTTGCATAATTTAAACCTCCAACTCAGATTTTAGAAATAAAAACAATTAACTGGCCATCCTTGCATGGCCATTTCTGCAGCTATTTCCAGTGTGATATAAGCGATAAATTTTAAGGCAGGATGTTGTAAGCATTCTTCTTGCCCTGACTGTTTAACTCATGACTTCCAAGGATCACATAGATCAGCAGTCAGCAAACATTTTCTATAAAGGGCCAGATAATAAATATTTCAGCGTTTGCAAGAGTACAATTACTCAACTCTGCCACTGTTATGTGAAAACAGCCATAGACAATACAGAAATGAATCAGTGTGGCTGTGTCCCAGGAAAACCTTATATATAAATACTGAAATGTGAATTTTATGTAACTTTCATGTGTATCAAAATATTGTTTAAAAACTTTTTTTCCAACCATTTAAAAATGTAAAAACTATTCTTAGTTCTCGGGCTGTACAAAAACAGGTAGCCAGCCAGATTTGGCAGTAGTTTGCAGACCCCTGAAATAGATCAATTTGGTGGAGCAACATGAATTGATATTAACTACGGTATTCAAAGATGACTTTTTGATGACTTTTTTGAATACACGAGTTTAGTCCAAGATAGATATCTTGTCACTAAATAGAGCATTCAATAAATTAAAGCCATATGACATATCTTGAAATTCTGATTCAGAGTTGATTTCTAGATAACATTTTACCAAACAGAACTAGCACTTAGGTCAAATATTTCTATACACATTCAACCTTCCTTCTGGTATAGCAAAGCTATTAAAGGCCAGTGAGAGCTGGGCATGGTGGTGTGCGTGCCTGTAGTCCCAGCTACTCAGGAGGCTGAGGTGGGAGGGATTGCTTGAGGCCAGGAGTTCGATACCAGCCTGGACAACAAAGTGAGACCCCATCTCATTAAAAAGAAAAGCCAGTATGAACATAGAGGTATTGTTGGGGTCCATCATATCACACAAGCAGAAATACAAATGCAATTTATTCAGCAGGCAAATGCATGAAGGAATCTTATACACACCCAGTCCCGAATCTCCAACAGGAAGCCAACACTTACCTGTTGTGTCTTGACTCAGGGTTTCCTGGCTGCTACTGCTGTAAGAAGGCACTGGAGTGATAGACAGTGAGGCTGGACAGGACAAAGGTGTGGCCTGGTCAGTCTTGCGGGTGAAGGATCGGTGGTACACAGGGATGCCTGCATCTTTGGAGACGAAGAGAGGCAGATCTGATGGGAGGGTTGGTCTGCCTTGTACGTATGGATTTTTCCAGTGGGTAAGCCCAATTGCCACAGGCCCCGCAACGTCATAACCTGGTGAGATAAACATATTAGGTGAGTGGCAGCAATCAAAGCCATATAGTGTGCTTATTTTCATACTTCCCCAAAATCTTAGCTGTTAGTCAAACCAAATACCATTTGAGCTAAGAATGCATGTTCATAATAAACAGGCAGGCATCATCCCTCTTGATGGCTCTTGTTCACTTAATCAACTTATGTTTATTAAGCGCATGCTAAGTGCCCACTCTGCCTTCAAGGAGCTCAGAGTCCAATCAATAAAGGAAATAAGACCTGTGTTCATAATAAAAAAAATTACTTAAGGCCTACTATAAGATAGAAACTGCAGAACTGATCTAGAATCCTCACAGCAATTGTACAAGGGGACTATCACAATTTCAGTTTTACAGATGAGAAAACTGGATCTCAACCTGGCCTACATCAAGTTCCAGAGGCAGAACTTCAGCACAGATTTGACTCCAAAATCTATGTTCTTTCCCATAAACTACAACTAACTACAGTACAAAGCAAGATGAAAGAAACCATTTTAAAGTAGATCAGAAACTGCTCCTCAGGAGTTCAGGGGAGGGAGGCTTTCTAGGGATAGGGTCTGAGACATGGGGAAGGTAACATGAATTTGGACAAACCTGGGGAATATTATGCTAAGTGAAATAACAGAAAATAAGTTTATGATCTCACTTATACACAAAATTTTTACATATATAAACTTTTATATATATATAAATTATAAGGATTAATTTACATTAAATTATAAAGATTTTATATATATACAAATTATATATACATAAAGATTTAGATATATATAAAGATTTAGATATATATATAAAGATTTAGAGATTATATATATATAAAGATTTAGATATATATAAACAAAGAGTGGACCGGTGATTACCAGGAGCAAGGAGGATCAGAAGACGTAAGTAAAAAAGTACCAAGTTGTAATTAAGTTATGTAATATGAATAAGTCTAGAGATTTAATATACAGCATGAGAACTAGAGTTAATAACTTCATCTTGTGTGAACTGGAAATTTGCTAACAGTAGATTTTAGGTGCTCTTACCACACACATGTTAAAAAAGGTAACTGTGATATGATGGTCATGTCAAGTTGCTTGACTGTAGTAATC
This sequence comes from Homo sapiens, assembly GCF_000001405.40. Taxonomy (NCBI): domain Eukaryota; kingdom Metazoa; phylum Chordata; class Mammalia; order Primates; family Hominidae; genus Homo; species Homo sapiens. The sequence goes on along the minus strand of NC_000012.12, from coordinate 100,738,742 downwards.
ATTTCACTATGTATACCAAGACATTATGTTGTGCACCTTAAATATATGCGGTTAAATATATAAATATATAGTATCTGATTCATCATAAACACTTAATAAATAAATATATGTTCTTTTTCCAAAAAAATAAAAAGTCTCTAAGGAACTCTGGACTCTCTAAGATTTCAGGTTTTAGCATTTCTTATATAAAATTATAGCTAATTTATAGCATATATTTAATTTTGAAAAAATATAGTTCACACAGCTAACAAGTCTTTTTTGTTTAGGAAATTTCTACATCATTTACTCTGAAAATGGAGTTCATTAGCAAATATTTTAATCTGCATTATTGATATAAACGAGCTATGACAAGATCTGCATAATTATGATGGAATATAAATAGATGAGTCTCAATTTAAAAGCAACAATGAAGCCACAGTATTTTGAAGAGACAACCATCCAAGAGAACAGCTGATACCCACGGGGCAAAGAATAGAAATGTCACATTGGCAGCATTGATAGCCTGCTCATCCTCCCTCACCCACCATCATGTCCCCTCTTGGGGAGGGAGGCAGGAATAGGGGTCTCAATTCCCACTGAACCCAAAATTGTGAAGAAAGAGAAAGAACACCCCAAATTGTAAGCTGTCTTGAGAAAAAATAATGTTAACTATGTGGTTCTTAAATCTCTCATACATGGCTAAAATGGGAATTTATCTAGAAAATAAGGAGCTAATCGAGTATCTCATGGATAAACAGAATAGTTTTAGGAGGAGTCTTTCTTCTGTTCCCTGGATTTTTTGACCCCCCTGCTTTGGGCAAGACATAGGTTCATCTAGGAACCACATTACTAGGAAATCCACACATATGCTATTTTCCTAAATGGAACACCCTCACAAATGTGACACTTCTGTGTGAGATGACTATTCTGTAAGAGAAGGACTGAAGTACAAGAAATGAAAGAAAACAAAGGAGATTTTAGAAAACACCTCTTGGATGATCCATAGATCTGTCCTCCCTCTAGTGCTTTGAGTCTAAGGTTGTAAAGTATTTTTGTTCTTACTATAAATATTGCAAAAGTGCTTTGCACTGGACAGACTGTGAGCAGTGGATATTGCCCATTGCCTATGCAGAATCATTCCCCTCCTCCCTCCCAACAGAGCCACGACTTCATTTGGGAATCTGTCCCACCCCACACAGCCTTGTGACCCAGGACACAAGGCTCCTTCCCATCCTCATCCCTGTCCAAAAGCCTCAGGTGGGCCTGATAGGGCCAAAGATAATGCCATCTCCCTTGTCAATGATTGGCTCAAGGATGGGGTCTTGGGACGCAGACCTGCCTAGTGAGATAGGAGGAGTCTGTCAAGGAGCTGCAGGGGAAAGTTTCTCAGCTCCTAGAGCAATGGCCTGAGGAGGGCACCAAAACTTCTTACCCTGTGATCATTGTCAGGTCTGAATGCAATTCCTGAAACCCTGCAGCCATGTGGCTGCCACCATGAAGATAAATTGAGAGAGGAAGGCACAGGGGAGAAGGCCTTTCACAATGTCACTGAGCAGCCTAATCAACCCATCCTAAAGACGGGCCTGCCTCTGGTGTCCCTGTTATGTGAAATAATAAATTTCCTATCGTTTCAGCCAATTTGAGCCAGGGAACTGAAGCAGTATTCAAGAGCCTTCTTGTTACACTGGCACCTTCTGGGAAGATTAAGCATCTGTCATACCTACCTCCCCTTCAGAGGTTAGTTTTCTAGGGCTGCTGTGACAAAGTACCACAAACTGGGTGGCTTAAAACAACAGAAATTTATTCTCTCATGGTTCTGGGGGCTGCGAGTCCAAAATAAGGTGTCAGCAGGGCTGTGCTATCTCTGAAGGCTCTAGAGGAGAATCTGTTCCATGCCTCTCTCCAGGCTTCTGGTGTTGCCAGAAATCCCAGGGTATTCCTTGGCTTGGAGATGCATCACTCATATCTCTGCCTCTGCCATCACACAGCTCTCTCTGTATGGTCTCTGTGTCTCTTCCCTTCTTATAAGGACACTAGTCACATTGGAGTAGGGCCCACCCTAGTCCAGATGACCTCATCTTAACTTAACTACACCTGCAAAGACCCTATTTCCAAATACAGTCACAATCACAGGTACTGGGGATTCGAACTTCAAAGTACCTTTTTGGGGGATACATTTCAACCCAACACCCTGACATGGTAGCTAAAGCTGACTGGACCAGGGAAGGCCACTTGGCCCAAGTCTGCAAGATGTCAGGTAACAAGAGTGTCATCCAATAGGAGCCCAATGACCTGGGCTCAAATTGCAGCTCTTACTCTCATATGTCCTCAGGCAATTCTTTACCCTCTCAGGGACTCCATCTCCTCATTTATAAAATGGGGGAAAATATCACTGTTTACCTCAGGATCTTTTTGAGGATTAAATGAGTAAATACAGAAAAAGTAGTTAGAACACAGTGCTTGGCAAAAAGAAAGCTCCCCAAAGTGTTTGTTAGCTACTGAATCATCCTCACACTATCTACCCCTCCATTTTCATTGAAAAAAGCACCTTAAAAGAGAATTCTCTACTCACAGCCCTCCTCTCCCTTTTCAGAGCTCTGCAACGTGGCTCCCATCCCGCCACCCACTCACGTGGCTCTCACGATGTCACCAAGGCAGACTTTAATTTTCAACCTCCTCAGTCTGTCCTAGAAATTCTCTGGGCTTTCCAAGAAAGGTGCTTGCTTGGTTCTCCTACCTCTGTCATTATTTCTACCCTCACCGTGCTTCCCCCAAAGATTGGTCCTTGGTCCTCCAAACACACACAACGTACTAATTCTCACTCTTATTATCTCATCTTCTTCCAAAGATTTGACTGAACTCTCTGTGCAGATAGTGCCAATATCTTCATCTCCTGAACATGTTCTCCATATTTCTAATTTTCCGTGAGGCATTCTGACGTGAGAAGTCTCACGGGCACATCAAATCAACACATCTAACCTATCACCATCACATCCTCCCTCTTCCTGACTTCCACATTCCTGGGAACAGCTCAGACTCTGTCACCCTGATGCAAAATCTCAGGGAACACTTACTATCCCCATATCCAGCCAATGACTAGTCCTGCCAGCAATTCCATCCCTCTCCCCCTAGACCCGCCTCTTCATCCCACCTCCCTAGTTGATTTCTGTCTCATGTCAAGACCACAGTCACAGCCACTAACTCTGTTACAACACCAGATTCTCCCATAGGAACTCCATCCTGTTCACCACCATAATAATCTTCTCTCATCCATACATTTGTCTTGTCACCCCCCTACTGTGAACCCTAAATGTCCTCCTACTACTTAGCTAATGTTTAATGTCTCACTGATGTCTCTGGGAATGGCATTTTAGGTTGCTCAGTGTTTTCAAACCAGGGTCTGCGAGCTCTCCACGAGAATTTTTAAACTATCTTTGTTTCTCATTTAAAAGTTAATCATTTAAAAATTAATACAAGCATATTCTGAACCAAGTCCTGCCACTTAATTTTAATGCCTGGGTTTACTTTTGTGTTTCTATCAGGTTTGGCACCAATTGGTACAATGAATGAGAAAAGGGGAGAGATGGATATGCCGAGGTACATTCATGGCAAATGAAGATTCAATAACCTCACATCAGTGAGCATTAACATTGATTTCACAGGGGGTTGAACTCAGAAAGGTGGCAGCAATGCAGAGTCATCATGAAGTACCTAGCAGTAAAACTGTACTGCACTCAAAGAACCAACATCACTGCAGCCAGTACCCCATTGCATTACAAGCAGTGACTGCATTTCAGCAAAATAACAACATACATCATATTCAATTAGTGTGGTAAATTTGTATTTTTATTTGGGTTACTGAATTTTAAATCTCATCTGCAAAATCAATTTTAATGGCTATTTGGAATGCAAGGTGTCTATATATAGTTCTATGTTTGAACATACTTAAGTAACCTCATAATAAAAATAATTTAAATCCATTTTAGAGGTTCATCATTAATGCTTTGCATAGGCATCCACATTGCTGGAGTTTGAGAAGCCACGGCATAGTGTTTAAGAGTATATAGGATTTAGTGTCAAACAGACCTAGAATGAAATCTTGGGTAATTAATTTCTAGCTGGGTGGCAAAGCGCAAGTTTCCTCATCTGTAAAATGGAGAAATAACAGTAACTTGCTCATAGAGTTCTGATTAAGTAAAATAATGTATGCAGGGAGTCAAGAGCAGCTGGCAGGCAATAAGTGCAAAATAAGCATAAGCTGTAGCTATTATCTTCACTTTTCTTTTCTGATCTCTAAGTCACTGCCCAACATTCTAGAATCAAGAAAGTTTTGAAAGGAAATGGAAAGGAGAAGAAGGATTCAACCAAAAGAAAAATGGCACGGCTCACTCTTCTACTTTCGACCAAAGTAACCAGTGTTTAAGGTTGAGTGAGCATAACAAGGAGAAAGTCTCACTTTGATTTTCAGCAGCACTCTAACACTTGCTTAGCATGTTCTCCAAACAGCAAAGAGTAGACTTTTACCATGCATTTTCAATTTGCACTTATTTCTTTTAAAAATAGATTAATATAAATCTTTAAAAAGTAATTCGATTGTACTATCAAGTGCATAATAGTACAGGTGCTACAAAAACAAAAGGGTTAAAGCAAATGATGAAGATCTGGGAACAAGAGATGACTTCTTATCTCCCTGGACATTTCCTCCATCTAATTCCATGCAAAAGCAGTAGAAATCCACAAGAGGGCGATCCAGAAAAGTGAGTCCACAAGCAATTGCTCTGATTCTGAAAATAAATGCCTATGCATTTATATTTTCTTCCCTCTCCTCCCCAGCCACCCCCTTGACCTCCAGCTTTTCCAGGCAATAATATTTTTTTAAAAAAATCAAAATGACACTAGTGCTCACCTATGGTGATCTGGCTGACACAACTGTAGTAGCTGCCCGTCGTTGCAGAGGAAAGGTTATAACTTCCGCTGCTCACATCTTTGTCTGTTAAGAAAATAAAAGACAAGAAGGTTAATTATAACTTAGTAGACACCATGACCACAATGTAAATATATGACTGGTGGTAAATAAACCAGCTCTCCTTGTCTATGACACGGGTAGTCTCATACTCATTCAGTGGTTCACCCATCAACGTTTAGGGAGAGCCAGGTGCCAGACCCTGGGATGGGCACTTAGAACATATCAATAAACAACCCAGACAGCTACACACAGGCAATTGCAGTTTCATGTCATCATTATTACAATGGGAGAGTGAAGGGTGCTTGGGCAGTTGGGGGCAGGGAGTTAGACAGGAGAGAGGGTGCCTGACCCAGACTATAGACTAAAGAGTATCAGGTAAGGTTTCCTGGAGGAAATTTAACATCCTAATGAAAACCTAAAAGGTGAGTACTATCTGACTGGGCAAAAAGTGGATGAATTGAGGGAAACGATGCAGGCAGGGGAGCTATCATCCCCATCCTCCATCCTCTGGAGGCTGAGAGGCCACAGGCAGCTTCGTGGGTTAGCAGCTGAATGCAGTAAGAGAAGGAGAGATGAGCAGCAGCCAGGTTGCAAAGTGTCTTGTAAACCAAGTTAACAAGTTTGGCTTCTGCCTAGAAAGCAGGATCCTATTTTTGTTTTAGGAAGATCACTTTGTGGCAGTTTCCAGGATAGATTGGAGGACACTGAGATGAGAGTAGAAGGACTTATTTGCGAGGCTGCTGCAGTATTCTGACGAGAAATAGTGGTGGTCAAACCATGGGAGGAGTGGCAGTGGAGACAGAGAGGGGCAGATGCAATGCCCTCAAAAGCTAAAAGTGCAGCACAGGAATCAATTTCCTCATTACCGTGAACAGAAAATGTTCTAGGCAGAGGGGGGCAAAAGAAATCAAAGCCTCACAGGTGCATTGCATATCAGCATTTTCACCCACAACATTTCGTGCACGAGGTAGGTGCCACCCTTACATCTCTGATGGAAAGGCTGAGAATCCAGGTGGCTGAGTGCCGTGCCCAAGGTCACACTGACAGCATGTGGCAGAAGAGAGCTCAAATCTAGATCAGGAGTATTTGAAATTGTTTATGAAACATTGCAGGAACACAAAATTTAAAAACTCCTAGAAGATAACATAGGAAAAACATCTAGATGGCAGTGATGTTTTAGATATAACGCCAAAGACAAGATCCATGAAAAAAATAATGGATACACTGGATTAAAAACTGCTACTCTATGAAAGATAATACAAACAGAATGAGAAGACAGGGCACAAACTGGGAGAAAATATTTGTAAAACACATATCTGATAAAGGATTGTTATATAAAGTATACAAAGAACTCTTAAAACAACAATAAGAAAACAAATAAGCTGACTTAAAAAAATGGGCCAATCACTTTTACAGACACATCACCAAAGATGATACAGATGGCAGATACACACATGAAAAGATGCTCCACGTCAGACACCAGAGAAATGCAAATTAAAACAAACATAAAATACCACTACACATTTATTAGAATGGCCAAAATCTGGAACACTGACAAGACCAAATGCTGGCAACAGGACCTCTATTGCTGGTGAGAATACAAAATGGTACAGCCATTCTAGAAGAGAGTTTGGCAATTTATTACAAAACTAAACATACTCTTACCATACCATCCAGCAATCACACCCCTTGGTATTTGGTATTTACTGAAAGAAGCTGAAAACTTACGCCCATCCAAAAACCTACATACAGATGTTTATAGCAGCTTTATTCATAATTGCTATAACTTGGAAGTAACCAAGATGTCCTTCCGTAGAGGAATGGAAAATAAAACTGTGGCATATCCTAGCAGCTTTATTCATAGTTGCCATAACTTGGAAGCAACCAAGATGACCTTCCATAGAGGAATGGAAAATAAAACTGTGGTATATCCAGACAATGGAATATTATTCAACACTAAAATGAAATGAGCTATCAGGTCATGAAAAGACATGGAGGAACCTTAAATGCATAATACTAAGTTAAAGAAATGAATCTGAAAAGGCCAAATTCTTTATGATTCCAACTATGTGACATTCTGGAAAAGGCAAAACTATGGAGACAATAAAAAGATTAGTGGTTGCCAGGGGTCAGAGTGGAGGGAAGGAATAAACAGCAACACCACATAGGATTATTAGGGCAATGAAATTAGTCTGTATGATACTGCAATGGTGGATACAAGTCATTATTAAATTACCCAACAACCAAGAGTGAGCCCTAATATAAACTATGGATTTTGGGTGATTATGACGTGTTGATGTAGGTTTATCAATTGTAACAAATGCACCACTCCAGTGGGAGATATTGATAACAGGGGAGTATATGTGGGGACAGGAGGGTTTGGGAACTCTTCTGTAACTTCCTTTTAATTTTGTTATGAACCTAAAACTGCTGTAAAAAAATTAACATAGGGTATAAGTGATTTTAAAATATTACAATAAATACATTTTGTCTAATATAAACCACTACAGGTTACAAGAGTCATATTAAATAGTTGCAACACTGGTCTAAAGGCAACATTTGAACATTATGTGACAATAAGAAAATTCTGATCTATAATGGTGGAAAGTATAGGTCTGAGGGGAAGAAGTAATTATTAGGATTTAGTCAAATGCATCCAAAGAGAAAAGGTGCCTAGAAACGTATCAATTCAGACTTTAATGGGAACACAATGTGGATTGACAGAGAAGATGGCTTTGTAGGTGAATGTTCTTAGCAGGAAAGAACAGCAGGTACCTGGACAGAGAAGCCAGGAAATAGGAGTCATCTTTAAGGGGTTTTCTATAGGTGCCCTTGGTTTGAAAGCAGTTGGGAAGTATTGACAAAAGCAGGTGGCAAGCCAGAGGACAGAGAAACAGTGGTGGCTCTCAGAGGCCAGTGCACATTCACAAACAGAAAGGTAAATGCTAGGAAATATTTTTAAAACTATTTTTAATATGGGAAAACTAATTCTAGCAAGTGTATGTGGCCAACTCTTTCCCTAAGAAACATCTCCAAACCATCTCCAATCTCTAGAATGCTTCCTGAACAGCTAGCCACACCTCCAATAATAGCACTGGGCATGCAAGATTACACTGGTTTACACATCTCCTCAACCATGAGCTTGTCCAGGGAAGACCCACATGTTATCCAATTTGCAATTTCCAGAGTTTAGTGCTGTGGCTGGCATAAGGTAAATGCTCAATGAATGTTCGTTGGTTTTAAAAAAGGAAGGAACAAAATTAAAGAAGGAACAAACAAATAATTAATTCTCCTTCCTATTAATTTCAGAGAGGTTGCTGTGATCAAAGAGAAAGCACTGGGATGAGAGTCAGAAGACCTAAGTTGGAAGCCCAGCTTTGCTACACATAACCTCTTTGAACATGGCCAAGCTGTTTAATTTCCTTAAGTACTGATTCCTCCACCTGCAAATGGTAACAATAGTGCTTATCTCACTCTTGGGGGGCAGGGGAGGAGGTACGGTTTAAAAAAATAAATCAGCTACATGAAATCCATAGTTAGCAAATAATTCTGTATATATTTGTGGAATTTGCTGAATCAATAAAATTCAGACTTAAAACATATCAAACTAAGTACTCTAAAGTTGTCATTCCTCATTCTTTCTAAACCCTTCTCTAGGGCTCTATCCTGATCTATACTTATAAGATTTTGGAAGGAAGAAGACTTTCATAGGACAGGTCAATGGCACCAAAAAATGTATACAATCAGAGAGAGAGAGAGAGATTTATAAGCACAGAAATGACTATGAATGAGGAGGAGAAAAGGAATGAAGAAGAAAAAGCATAATGAGAAATCAGTAATCAACAAACAAGCAGAATGCTTGAATTAGGAAATGAATGCCTAGGAAGAGGCTATGAACAGCAAAACTATGGCAATTTGAATCAAGCCTGAATGGTAAAACCAGGGCAACAATTTTGGTGGCAGTATTTTGAAAAGACTCCAAGAGCAAAAGTACAAAGAGCCGTGGCAATTGCCAAGTGCAAAGTGATGACCTGAAGGAAGGTATTCTTACCTACTGGAATTAAAACAAAAAGGCTAGATTTTACAGAAGAGCCTGAATATCCATTTAATCCTTTAAGAACCACCTAGAGTTAAATGATAAAATCATGTAACTAGTGGGAAAACTTGAGACTATGAATGAGATTAATGAACATTGTGGGTTCTAGAGTCAGTATCCAGATTAAACAGTCTATTCCAACCCCTGGACACATTATTTCTTCTCTATGTGGCTTTGTTTCCTCATATGTAAAATGAGAATAATAAAGGCACCTATATTATAACATTATATGAGCATTCAATTATTTAATACATGAGAAAGTATTTATATAACAGGACCTACCACATAGAACGTGTTCAATTAGTGTTACCTTTTTTTTTTTTTTTTTTTTTTTTTTTTTTGAGACAGAGTTTTGCCCTTGCTTTTATTGCCCAGGCTGGAGTGCAATTGTGTGATCTCAGCTCACTGCAACCTCCAGCTATATTTTTATTTCATACTTATAAGAAACAGGATATCCATAAGATGGAATCCCACATAGCAAAGAAAATTAAAGTGAAGCTACACAAAATATTATGAATGAGTCTCACAAGCAAAATATGGAATGAAAGGAGCAAACTGAAAATAATATCTGTGAATCCACTTATAAAAATTTCAACAACAAACACAACTGAATTATATTGTTTATTACTGCATAATGGATGGTAAAACTATAAAGAAAAGCAACAAAATAATTAGCACAAAAGTCAGCGTGGTGGTTCCACTGACGGGGAAGAAGTGAGTTTGCGTTATGAAAGAGTATGGGGCAGGGGTGGGTTCGGGGATGCTGGAAGTGTTCTGTTTCTTAACCGAGGTGGTGGCTACATGGCATTCATTTTATAATTATATATTACATTACACATTTTTCTTCCTCACTTGTCTACATGTATATTATAGTTCACTATAACTTTTTTAAAGAAATAGAGAAGTGCGGAAATTATGGCAGGGCAAACCTAGAATACAAATTCTGTAAAAGTACCTAGGAAAAAGAAAAGGTGGTGGAATTAGACACCATCAGTTACTGAGCACTCACTCTTTGTCAGGCACTATGCTGAACATTTATTATTTCACTTATACCCATTATTTAAGCTTCAAAACAACTCTTTTAAGGTATAACTCTATTATGCAGATGAGGAATTAGGGGCTCAAAAAATTAAAGAACTTGCCCAGAGTCACACTCACAGGAAGTCACAAAGCTGGAATCAGAATCCAGGTTTGTCTTACACTAGAAAAGCAATTGAGAGCAGAGGCAAAGACAGGAGGACAGATTAATATCACAAGTTGGGTTAGGCAGGTTCCTCCTGTATCTGGTGTTACATCTTTGACAGTCAGTTATCTGATGTGCTAAGCATTGAGGCTCCATACAGAACAAGATCTACTGTTTTCAGAGGACTGCTTAGCGAAAAAGTGTGGACAAAACTACACACATTTTATTTATCTCAAATTATTTGGGGGCGTGTTCATAAACAACACAATCTTATAACAAAAGAAAATAAAGCCCATCTCAACAATTAAACTATCTTACCTTTCATCCTAACCGCCACGAAAAAGAAAACACAGTGCCTATTTATGTCTTTCCACTGAATGTGGAATTCTTGTAAATATGTGGGCAACTCTACTGTCAATATAAAATAATAATTTTAATGTCTAATATAGGAGGGTTTAAAAAAAGAATAAAAGTAAAATACTAAATAATAATAGAATACAAGCCAGGAGCTGGGTGCTCAAAGTATTGTTTGGAGGAGAGGTTAACATATTAAATTTAGAGTTAGTTAAACAAAATATAATGAATAGGTGTAGAATTTGTTAAGTAAGATTGAAGTAAAAGTACAAGGGCAATTATTAAAACAGCAGAAATAGACTACATTTCCAAACCAGTTAGTTGTGTTCAAAGGGGTAAGGATGGGGTAGGGTGGTGAGGAACAGTGGGAGAAGGAATATAACAAAAAAGTTCAACTTTGATAAAGGAAATAAATGAGGGGGAAAGTCATAGGAAAAATACAGAGAAAGAACAAAGTAAAATGGTTAAAAATAAGTTCAAATATAGTAGTAATAACAATACATGTTAATGGTCTAAATTTGCTATTTAAGAGACTATGAGATGGATTTCTAAAAACAACAACCAAAAAAAACTAAATGCTGTTTGTAAGAGAAACATCTAAAACCTAAGGACACAAATGTTGAAAGTAAAATATTTATAAAGATGCAGCAAGCAGATACTAACCAAAATAAAGCCAGGGTACCTATATTACTTTTAGGAAAAAGGCTTTAAGACAAAAAGCATTATTAAGGATAAAGGTGGTGAGTAATAATGATGAAAGGTTCAGGGTTCAATTATCCAAGAAGGTATAAACAAATGTTAAATCTATATGGCCAGAATAAAATAATCTGAAACCTATGAAGCAAAAATTAACAGAACTACAGGGAATAACAGACAAACCTACCATGAGAAGAATGATTTTAACATACTTAATAACTGATTGCTTGGGCAAGAAAAATTTTAGTAAAAACACTGAAAATTTGAACAGTACAATTAATCTCAATTTAATGGACAGTTACTGAATGCTTCATCTGACAGTCAGGGAATATATATTCTTCTTAAGCCCATGGTGAAGTATTATAAAACTTGACCATACTTTAGACCATAAAGCAAATCTCAACAATTAAAAAATAAATCAATATCATTACAGGCCATGTTTTTCAACCCTAATCTGTGATGATAAAAATCAGAGTAGAAGTCCTTTTTAGGGAATGGGCGGGGGGGGTCCCGGGGCAACTATTAAATATTATTATCTGCACTTTTCTGTGTGTGTGTGTGTGTATAAATTACCAATTTTTTTCAAAGTTTTTTTAATGTTGCACTACTGGCCAAACAAAACAGAGAATATAAGCATATTTCTATCAAGCAAAACACAACCAAAAATGTCTAAATTAAAAGAACAGAATTCCAAGTCTAGTTCCTTTAACCAGGGCCACTTTATACAGTTCACATGCATAAGTCATGGTAGCATTCACTATATAAGCACCAACTACTGTTCTCTACCACCCTGCTCCTCCGAGTGCAGTCTCTTGAACAGCAGCAGCTGCACCACCTGAGAGTCCATTAGAAATGCAGAATTCCAGGCTCCCCCGAAGCTACTAAATCAGTATTTTCATTTTCACAAGATATCCAAATGATTTGCAGTCTCATTAAACTGAGCAGCACTGATCTACAGCTTAACTTTAAGGCCCATAAGCAAAACTCTCAAGGCCTTAGGAATCAACCAAAGACTTTTTAAGGACCTGTATGATCTGCCCTGCGCTAGGAATGGGAGAATTACAAGTGTAATCAGGAAGGGAGAAACACAAGAAATAGATTAGTTCAGAATATTCATAGACTGAGGCTGAGAAGAGAAATGGCATGCATCGTGTGATTCAAAGAGCTTCTTTTTAAGAAAGACCTGCCCCAAGGCAGAAGGGCCTTAAAAATAAAAAGAAAGGACTTTTTTTTTTACTGAAGTTTAACACAGATACAATAAAATGCCCAAATCCCAAGTGCACAACTCAGTGAAAATTATCACAAAATGAACACATCACGTAACTACCATGAGGAGAAGTCCATCTCCAAGTAATTTCAGGTGAGAGGACATTACTTGAGAGAATTACCTGACAATCATAATAGGAAATGCTGAGTGGCTTTCACATCACGAGGTAAATGGCAAGTTAGACTGGCAGCCAAACCCAGGCTGGGTTCTGAGGGGTGACCGCTCAGATTGCTAGAAATACAAGAATGATGGGCTCCTTCCCTTTCTTTTCTATTGAGGTAATGGCACCTGGAGGGTTAAGTCATTTGCTCTTCATCACACAACTAGAAAGTGGGAGAACCAGAACTGATATCCTGACATGAGTCTAGCCCAAGAAGTAAGTAGCATTTACTGAAGCAATTGTTTTAAGTTATTCATCTTCATGTCATCCGTTTCACTCTGATTTGGGGAAATTTCACTAATTCTTATAATTGCTTGATTATTGTTTATAAACTATGAAGCTCCAAAGTCCTTATTTTAGGCATAGGCCAGGTTGACAGTTAAGATAGCAATTTCCGGCCGGGTGTGGTGGCTCATGCCTATAATCCCAGCACTTTGGGAGGCCGAGGCGGGTGGATCACAAGGTCAGGAGATTGAGACCATCCTGGCTAACATGGTGAAACCCCGTCTCTACCAAAAATACAAAAAATTAGCCGGGCGTGGTGGTGGGCGCCTGTAGTCCCAGCTACTCGGGAGGCTGAGGCAGGAGAATGGCGTGAACCCGGAAGGCGGAGCTTGCAGTGAGCAGAGATCGCGCCACTGCACTCCAGCCTGGGTGACAGAGTGAGACTCCGTCTCAAAAAAAAAAAAAAAAAAAAAGATACCAATTTCCCTGACAAAGACACAGGGACTAGAAGCTGAGGTAAAGCCTTCTCCTGGAATCCACAATCCACAAAGGCTGAGCAAACAAACATCTCACTCACAAGAAAGTAAGGAGAAATTTTACAAAGAAAAGGTTTTCATTAAACCTTTCAAAACATATTACAAGCCTGCTTATATACAGGGACAGATGAAAGCCAAGAACTTACCAAACAGAAGAATGATGCATAACTACTGACTTTGCAAAAATATTCACCATCTGATTCCTTTAATAACTACCTACACTGGCGCACTAGAAATACCATTTAATTTACAAAATATATGTTTATTGTATAGAGTGAGTTATAACTACTTACTGCATCTGATTTTTTAAAAAGCAATCTAAATTGTTTATAAAAGGTTCTAAAGAACCGACTAGTAAGAAAAAAATGTAGTTCACTTGTGTATGTACATGTATACATGTGGGTATTCCTCAGAAATATCAATGTGTTGATTTAGTCCATGTTTGCTGTGTAAGTTAATATTCAAGACCTATTCTTTCCTCCTAGCTGGGTAATCTCTATCTCCTCACCTAACCTCCCTGGGCCTGGACTTTCTTTTTGTTGTGACTGAAATTCATCCATTCAAAAAACATATAGTAGACACAGGCTGGTCCTAGGTAGAAAGTGGTGGCTTGGGAGGTCTCTCCCTAAGGTGCTGAAAAATCAATCAGAGGATATAAAGTGTGTTTCCACTGGGAAGAGCTTTTCCTATGCAAACAGATCTCTTTGTTACTATCATAAAACAAAGACAGTATTGCTGTTTTCATAACGTTTTTTCATTTATTATGTGCCACTTCACTAGAAGACAGGCAGGAGAGATACTAGTTGAAGTAGTAATAGTTCTAGTAGTATTCTCCTCTGCAACCTGCATCAGACCTGAGTGAGACCCAGACTCCCAGAGGGCAAAGCCATCTTTTACTCATCTTGCATCCTCAAACCCTGTCTCAGCCTAATGCATAGAAGGCACAAGAAATGTTTGCCAAAGCCTCCCGTAAGCTTTCAAATACTTGAATCACCTTTCCTGCATTTTAAATACTGTGTCTGGTGCTCATTATCCCGGCGTCCCTTTGATTCCACTTCTAGCAGCAGGCACTGTGACAAAAGCCCTTTCATGAACCCTAATTAGAGAAAAGCCTTTCCTTTCCTACTTACACCTACTTGATTCACTGTTGAAAATCTTATATTCTGTTTTCATTATCTTCAGGAGGTAAAGATTCATGCCTTATTATTACATCATAAGATCCATGAAACAGGCAAGGTTTTTTTGTTTTTTTGTTTTTTGTTTGTTTTTGTTTTGCTTCCTGAACCTACAACAGTGCCTGACACACAGTAAGCACTCACAAAGCCTATTTTAAATTGTTTGTTCTAGAAACTTCCTTGGGAGCTGTGGACTGTGTGTCTAGGACTACATTCTAGTAGAAAAATCCACATTGTTACTTATTGTGAGCTGAATGTGTCCTCCCAAAATTCATATGTTAAGGCCCTCACTAACCCCCAGTGTGATAGTATTTGGGGATGGGGCATTTGGGACATAATTGGGTTTAGATTTTAGATTTTTAAAAGCACTCTAAATTGTTTATAAAAGGTTCTAGAGAACTGACTAGTAAGAAAAAAATGTAGTTTACTTGTGTAAACTTGTGTATGTACATGTATACATGAGTGTGTTCCTCAGAAATATCAATGTGTTGATTTAGTCCACGTTTCCCGTGTATTTTATAGGTTTACGAAAAAAGTTAATATTCAAGACCTATTCTTTCCTCCTAGCTGGGTAATCTCTATCTCTTCTATCTTCTTGTTCATGAGGATGGGCCCCCGGTGATGGGATTAGTTCCCTTATAAGAGACAGAGATCCCACTCTGTCCCTGAGCACACACCAAGGAAAGGCCACGTGAGCATCCAGCAAGAAGATGACTATCTACAAGCCAGGAAACAGGCCCTCACCATACATTAAATCTGCCACCACCTCCAACAGGGACTTCCAGCCTCCAGAACTATGAGAAATAAATGTCTGTTGTTTAAGCCACCCAGACTTTGGCATTTTGTTATATAGCAGCCCAGAGCAGACTATGACACTGTTACAAAAAAACATAACGTTTTAAAGGAAAGAATTAAAATGCTGCTTCTCAGAATCAAAAAAATTTTTTAATTTAATTTTACCCCACAAAGAAATTTACAAAATATGAAGGGCTGAAGGTCAAAAAATAATCTGTACATGCTTTGCTGCAGCTTCTTAATCAAAAGGATCCTAATCGATGTTGACCATGAGTGTCTTGCTTGCATAATAACAAGCATGTCAGGTGGTGTAGGGAAAAAACAAGAGAAGTCATTAAAGAGCTCCTTGGATTTATCTAGTAGGTAAAGCATAAGTCCCAGCCAGCTAGCATGTACCTGATCTCACCATGTAGTCTGGATGCTTTTATTCTTTTGCTTGTTTGTCTTTTCTGAAGGGTAAAAGTTATTATGCTTATTATTTGCAATAGGAAAAAGGAGTTTTTAAAACTTCCACATGGTGTACTGCCCCCTACTATACTCCATTCACTCCCTCAGTCACACACCCAAGTACTGGTCACCTACTATGTGCCAGGCACTGTGCGAGGCACAAGGAACACAAAGATAAAATAGCTGGTCCTTGTCATCTGAGTTTTACAACCCACAGAGGGGATTACTCACCGCAGTACAAAATTAGAACCTGCTATGGAAAGGGCTTACCCTAAGAAGTCCCAGAGGAAGCACCAAGTCAGACAGAGAATGTCAAGGGGAAAAGAGAGGGGGCCTTGTAAAGAAGGAGGGAGTCGTTCAGAGCATGCATCAAGGTCCAGAAACCTGAGAAGGCCTCAAACAACCTCCCGCCCAGAGGGTGGGATGCTAGGGTCAAAGGCAACAAGAGAGAAGGGCAGGAAGTTCAATTTTTAGCCCTACACAGAGAAGAGCCACTGGAGAATTTTAAACAAGGAACAACAGGATCAGATTTGCAAGTGTAATTCAAAGAAGCCAGGACTAGAAGCAGAGGAACCAGTTGGGAGGCCACTGTTGCAGCCAAAGTGGGCAATGATGGTGGCCTGGACTAGCATAAGAACAGAGGGCAGGGCAAGGAGAAAGCAAAGTTGAAAGATGTTAAGGAAAAAGGACCAACAGGACTTGGTGATTGAGAGTATACTGGCTAGGAGCAGGAGTTGATAATAATACCTAATGCTTACTGAGCACTACATACTGCTCCTGCGCACTTGACAGTACTATTGCATTTTAACTTCTTAGTGACCTCATTTTACAGATGAGAAAACTGAGACACAGAAGGTGAATTAATTTGCTCAAGGTCAGGCCAGGCGTGGTGGCTCACACCTGTAATTCCAGCAGGGATTTGAGAGGCCAAGGCAGGAGGATCACCTAGGAAAGACCAGCCTAGGAAACATATCAAGACCCTGCCTCTACTTAAAAAAAAAAAAAAAAAAATTAAAAGTTAGCCTGGCATGGTGACCCACACCTGTGGTCACAGCTACTATGGAGGCTGATGAAGGAAGACTGCTTGAGCCAGGGAGGTAGAGGCTGCAATGAGCCAGGATCATGCCACTGCAATCCAGCCTGGGCAACAGAGTGAGACATTGTCTCAAACAAACAAACAAAAATTTACTCAAGGTCACTGTTAGTATGTGCTGGTAAGGGAGGACTCCACAATGACTTCCAGGATTCCAGGGTGACTGGGTAGAGCATGCTGGCCCCTTTCAACCTCTAGCCACTCTGTTTCAGATGTCATGTTCCACCTACCAGCACCATGCTACTAGTGGCTGCCTTCACACCCCTGACATTTCTCCCCTTCATCTTCATTCATGTTGCTGTTGCTCCCTGGAATGACCTCCTTCTCCCAGTTGGCCTTCTCCCAATCTCCTCCTCCAGGAAACTGTTTTGGCCCATCCCTTACCCTACCCAGCCCTTCCCTACAACACTGCATTATAATTCTCCATTTAGGAGTCTGTCTCCTCCAGCTGACTCTGCCATCTGTCACAGAAACAGCGGGAGATCTTATTCGTTCTAGTAACCCTGGGTTAAGGCTAGAGCCTGGAACATAGTTAGAGCTCAGTAGTTGGAGATACTCTATAGAAAACAGGGACAGGAGAGGAAGATGGGGGTTGTTTTGGACACATTGAGTTTGTGATGCTAACACAAAGAGAGAAGAGCATACAGATAGTCTGGCAGCTAACTATACAAGCATAGCACATGCAAGAAAGAAGTTCTAACTGGTGATTTCTATGTGGGAGTCACCTGAATAAAGATGAAGTCATGGGAGGGGAAATGATGTCCTAGGCTCTCATGTCTTCTCACCCCATTTGATTCCCACATTCCACAGTTAGGCTTAGCTCTCATTACACTCCCTAAATAAGTTCCTTAACCTATCTGTGCCTCAACTTCTTCAAATGAATATAGGGCTGACTTTGGATCAATGTCTTAAAAGTTGCTGTGAAGATTAACTGAGCTAATTCACATAAAGTGCCATTATTATTATCTTCATGCCCAGGCACACCCCACACTTCTACTTACAACTCTGAAAACTTTCTTGCTCCAGTTTACAGGTCTCCCACTACGAGACTGACTCTGCACATGGGGTCATTGTTTAGCATCTGGGAGGTATCTAACCAATGTCATCCAAATGGTTGAGAGTCAAATTATTTAAAAGTTTGAGAGAACCCAGGCAAACATCAGCATTAGCAGAAGGAGTCCACACACAAAAAATCAAGAGGTAGGAGGAAAATGAGGGGAGAGGAGTTATATAACAACACCGGCTCAGACTGCACTGTCTTCCTGTCTTCTGCTTGCTCTCTCTGCTCTAGCCACAATGACCTTCTAGCTAGCCTTGAACATGACAAGCTCATTCCTGACTCAGGGCCTTTGCACTTACTGTTCACATTGCCAAGAATCCTCTTTCCCCATGTAATGGAATGCCTCATTCCTTTTCTTCATTTAGTTCTCTGCTTAAGTTTCTCCTCAGAGAGGGCTTCCCTATATGAAACAGCCATCACTGTGCTCTATCAGCTCTTTCAGCTCCTTATTAAGCCTCATCACGGCTGACAGGTCCAGGCCAGGTCTGTGAGTCTAACCACAACGCCCTTCCTGGTTCAGGTGGGGACACAGCCTCTGTGCCTTCCTTTGCATGGCCAAGAACAATTAAAGTCCCAGTCATTTCTCTCTAAAAAATACTTGTCTCCCATCCTTAGTCTCATGCGCATGGTTATTTAATGAGTTAAAGTGGTTAAGAACCTAAACCATTTAAAGGACAAGAAAATAAATGTCAGTGGTGAGTATAAAGGGTTGAGGCCTTAAAAACCCAGAATTCTAAAAATAACATCATTCATTGAACATATTTTTACCGGTGGGGATTACAGTTACTGATTACCCTAATCTCATTTCTCATTTCTAGAATGTGAGTCTAGATGGTGGCCTGAAAGTAAAAATTCATACTAAAATGCGGAAAGAGCAAGCTCAAAAGACAAAAAGAGCAGGATCAAAATGCAGAAAGAACGGGATCAGAAATGCATATTAGAAGGGAAGCTAATGAGGATTACTAGAGGCTGCTGCTAATGAAATGCCTACATAAGCCAAATTTCTCTCTCATCTTGTGAACCTAAAACACATGGTCTACAGTGTAACTGTTCATTCTCTTGGCAGCCCCTGTGCTAAAGATAAGAATAAAGCATTTATTAAATCAGTCAATTAAACACAAAAATTGAACCCTATAAATTCCAGGCAAAAAGTTTAGATCATCCCCCATCATGATGCCTAAACCCAAATCCAACAGAATTGACAGGGGACATTTTTTACAAGGAATTCAATTGTCAAAGAGAAGATTTGCGGAGGGTTCCAGGGCTGGACCAAGCTCTCATCAGATAATGATCTCAATAGTATCCAGTGGGTGAAGAATGTATTAAATGTGCTCAATGTTTTTCTCCTTAACTTGTTCACTAGGTTGAAAACCCTGATGGACTAATTTATTCTGTCATGGTTTAGCTCACACTGCTACAGATCTAAGAATTAACGTGGAATTTGTGGCCAAGTATATGCATCATTTTAGGGATGGATGCAGGAGGAGAATGTGTCAAGCAGAAATTCTAATTGATATTTTTATTGAAATATGCTTCAGTTCTCTTTAAGGGTCTAATGAGAAACCTGTGTAATTCTTAATCACCAAAAACAAAGATCTGCCACCTTTTTCCTTTAATTACTGAAATATACTTCTTTTCAAAATGATTTCACTTATTCTGACTTCATTTTCTCCACCTGGGTGCTCAATTAAGCTTTTAAAGCTTCTAGAAACGTACAGAACTGATCATTACGTAAACCTATTACTGACAGTATCCATGGGGCAGCATACAAAATCTAAAATGATGTAAAAAAACAGAAGTTAGATCCCTCTGATAGGAAAAGGTGTAAAAATAGATGTTTTGCCAATGAATATGCCTAAAATGCCATCAGCATATTGAATTATCCCCAGATGGTAACCCAGGAACCACAATGTTGAGTGTTAAATGTGCGTGCAGGTAAGAACAACTTAAATCCCAGCAAAAATGTTCTGAGCACGGGGGAAGGGGGTTGGAGGAAAGAAAAAACAGGCCACCAGACTGAAATTTGTAATCTGCTCACAATTTGTTACTGGTTCCCAGGCATCAATTGCAAACCCTCTGAGCCACCTAAATGATCATTTTAAACAATTTAAATCCAGAGAAAGAGACTGACCCTGTTAACCTTGGTAAAATGAGCAGGGGACATCACTGGCCTAGAGAATGAAGATTCCACACCAAAGAATAGTAATTTCCGTCCCACCCATCCCAGGCTTTGAGATGTCCCTGCAGAACATTCCCCATCAATTGCTCACAGCTTTCCCCTTTAAAATGCCAAATCTAGATCTTATCGCAACAACTGACTGCAAGCAAGAGGAAGGGAGGGAGGTCTACTTGAGTTTCTGCTTCCTATAACCAAGTCTCAGCAGTATTTCTGATAAAGGGCTAAAGAGAATTGCTTTATCCACACAAGCAAGAACGTTGATAAGAAGCCTTGCTGGCTTCCCCAGCGCGCTAGGATTTCTAGCTGAGCCTGAAACCTTCACACAGTGATTTTGTTTTCCTTCAGAACCATGCAATACCACACATGTATATATGTATATGTCTATTCATATATATTTATTTAACAAAACAATGGGCAGGGGAACGATGAATGCCTTCCTTTTTCATAAACTTTTATTTCCAAACTGATTTCTTTTTTTGCATTAAAAACATGTTACAGTGCATATTATTTTAACTCCACAGCATCTGTCAGAGAGATGTTCTCATCTCTCTGATTTACAGACGGAGAAATGCAGAGGCTGAAAAGTTTAAATAACTTGCCCAAGGTCAGTCAGGGACAAGATAAGCGCTGGCTGAACGCACATCTCCCAACTCCAAGCCTCACCCCGCTAGAGGAGGACTTAACACCCGCGTCCCTTCCCCTGAGTGGTCGGAAGCGAGGGGAATGTTTCTAGAGTCCCGAAGCTCCCAGATCCTCCCAAATTTTGAAGCGTTTTTCCCGCAGACACCCGGTTCCCGGGTTACCCGCGGCCCGAAACCCCGCGGAACATCGGCCCCTCAGGAGCGGCGCGCACGGCCGCCGTCTCCCTCCCTTCCAGACCCCTCCGCAGAGGCGAACCCCGAAGTTTCCCCGGGTGTTTCGACGGCTCCCTGGGCCCCTCCCTTCCGCCCCGCCGCCCCAGGAACCCGCGACGGCCCCAGTTACCGTATGCGGTGAGGGAGGCCATCCTGGCCCGCGTCCTGCCCAGACTGGCCAGGGCGTCGGCTAGAGCGGCCCCCTGCGCGCTGCGCCCCTGGACGGCCCGGCCCGGCGAGTGCATGCGCTTGGCTCTAGCGGCGCCCGGGCGCTCCGCGGCTGAGCACGCCCAGTCAGCGCGCCGCGCTCGCCCCTAGAGCTGCCGGCGCGCGGGGGCCCCCGGCCGGGCTGCGCCGCGAGAGCGGCAGGAGAGAGGGCGTAGACCGGCAGCCGCGCTCCGGGTCCCCGCGGGGATTGAACCAGCCGCGGAGGACGCGCGGCCGGGAGAGGGGAGGGGCGAAGCTGGAGGTGGGAGGTGCCCGGCAGAGGCGCGCCGCGGATTTGGCCCAGCGCAGCCGGCGTCGGGCGGGATCCCCGGTGGGTTCACGCCAAAAGGGGTGGCAGGGATGTCGTGGCAAGGGTCGGGGAGTCCCAGGCGCGCCACAGCCTCTCGGGACGGTCTCCTTTCCTAGGGAAGCTCCACTGGAGAGCGCGCCGGGGAACACATGGGGTGGGTCTGGCCGCCCGTGACTCTGGGCGCGATTCCCAGCCCAGGGGACAGTCTGGAGAAGGCTTTGCCTGTGAGACCAAAGCACAGGGGAGAGTAGCAACCTTCTCCTGCGCACTTCTATTAGTGAAGTCGGTGACTACTAAGTACCGAACTCTGACCCCAACAGTTCAGACCTGTCCCAGTACATCATCTTATCATCTCTGTTTGTGTTTCTGTCTTACCACGAGGCGCTCACCGGTGTCCTATTCCTGCCCAGCATCTGATGAGGGCGCGAGCTCACACAAGGTTGAGTGATGGAATGTCCGAGCTGGTCTCAGCCCGCCTTCCCTATTGTGCTGGGTCTCCGTCTAGAATCAGCTGGCTGAGGAGAGGGAAAGGAGTGGGAGAGCGAGAACGAGACCCAATAAGTCGGTGGCACCCATTGCGGGATGAAGCAGGGGAAAGAGGAAGGCCGCCCAACGCCTCCTCGGGTCAGGTGCAACCCCGACCCCGTCCCTTGCCGCGAGGCTTTGCCATTCCCAAGTGTAAAGTTGAGACCACACCAAAAGGAAGGCCCAGAGGCCTCCTGGCTCGGGGTCGAAGGTCGTGATCACCAGGCCTTGTAAAACGCCCGCGCGGGAGGAATTGGGGGGCGATGGTGTCAAGGCATTAGCTGCATTTGGGGTTGCGCCTACTCGGGTGGAGGCACCGAGGGCAAATAAATCTGGCGGAGACAAAACTCGGCGTTTGTCTGGGAAGCTTCCCGCGCTCTCCAGCTCTCCAGCCGTCAGAGTTGGGCGCTTCCAACCTCCGCTTCCGCCTGCCTCCCCACTCTTCGGTGAGGGCAGCCAGGCGGCGGCGGGTGACCGGTGGACGAGGCTCTAGGATGTAGTGTCGGGGCCCACACTTACCCATGTGAGCGCAAGGCTGAGACTGCGGCCGACAGGAGGAGCCAGCCCCTAAGGAGGGCCAGGTCTGCCCAGGATAGTGGGAGCGTGGGATCTGGTCCTTTATTGGCCCTCGGTCAGCCAGCCAGCAGCCGGGTGACCCTTGGTTAAGACACCGTCTCTAAGGTTCCATTTCCCCATCTGTAAAATGGAGCTAAGCATTGCAGCTGTGCTCACCTCGCAGGGCGGTTGCAGGGATCTGGTGGGACAGGGACACTATCAGAACTGAGGCTCTGTCTTGGTGGCTGCTCCCTGCCTTGACCTTGCCCCTTGAGGGCCCCACTGGCCTCTCCCGCAGGTTTTTTTCAGCCTCACACTCTACCCAACCCCAGGCTGAAATTGCAACCGCCCACCCTTGAGCCTAAAGTGACTGGGAAACCTGCTCTCAGCTCCTGCTCTCAGCTCCTGCTCTCACCTAGCCTGGGGGCCGATGCAGGCCAGGCTTGCCTTCCCCAAGCGCTCCAAGCCTCCCCCAGACCTGGGCAGCGCCTTTGTTCTCCCTTCACCATCCCCACACCTCAGCAGCCCTGTCTGGGCACTCGTCTTAAAGTCTGTTCCACCTCTTGTGCCCCTTCCTAAGCCTGGAGATGCTTCCCCAGTCTCCTCTATGCCCGCGCTGGGCCCCAAGGCCGTTTGTAACTTATCTTCTGACATCCAGCGCTTTCTCCTCCATTTACCATCGCTGCCGCTCAGATGGAGTCATGAGGAAAGGCCATCACAATGAGTTACGAATTGCACTTTAATTCTTCTTGGCAGTTCTTTCTAATTAGCAGGAACCAAAAAGTAGCATTTAATTAATTAACCTCTCTTAAGGCTACCTGAACTTGTCCCCACATAACACCATTACAAGTCCTTGAGATATTCAGTGCCACAGTAGAATTAAGACTGAGGGGACCTGCCTGTAGTCCCAGCTACTCGGGAGGCTGAGGCAGGAGAATGGCATCAACCCGGGAGGCGGAGCTTGCAGTGAGCCAAGATCGCCCCACTGCACTCCAGCCTGGGCAACAGAGCGAGACTCCGTCTCAAAAAAAATAAATAAATAAAAGACCGAGGGGACCTGGCCTCTTTGGGAGGAATTGACAGACAAATAAACCTCCTGCCTTCATGGGTTTAAGAGCCTTCCAGTTGTTCTCAGCATCTGTGTTGTCAGGTGGTAATGAGATCTTTAAGCCGCTACCTGTGTCCTGGTCTGCAGTGGGAAGGGGTGGTCTCCACCTACCTCACATTCTTGAGGGGGACAAAGGTTAAGGAAGAATTATGACACCAGTGATGAAATACAGGGTGTTACAGAAACTCCAGGAGGAACAAGTGGTTCTGTCTTAGCAGGATTCACACACGACTTAACTAAGGCAGTGACATTTGAAAGATGAGGTCCAGGATTTGTGATTTTGCCAATAAAATTTCATAAAGACAAGCTTGTCATTCAAATTTCCTTATGTTTTATTCATTCTCCATGTTTTCAGGAGTAAAATATGAACTGCCACAACTTTGATGAAAGCTGTGTTCTAAATCTTCCCAAGAAAACACTTTTTTTCAGATGATAGATTGAGAGAAACTAGTTCTTCTTCCCTTTTCAGCATGTTCTGAACTTAAACTGACTTTTATTAACTGCCTTAAACATTGCATTGTATTGATGGTAGAAGAGGCTGACTCTCTGCAGTTAACATTTTTAATAATTCATTTCAATTTTGTGGCTTAGTAACTATTCTGCAAATACTCATTTTTAAATATATCTGAAAAGTATTTTAGTTTCCAATTGCCCACAATCAACTTGATGTAGAATTTGATCCATTATTGAAAGTTTACTTAAACATTTTAAAATATTGCTGCTGTTGGACTCTATATTCCCATAAGTTTTAATATCTTTATTATAACACTTATCACGTCATACTGTAATTTATTTATTTATCCATTTATTTCCCCCTCCCCTGGAAAGCAGGAACCATGTCTTATATTTCAGGCTATCCCAACACCTAGCACAGTACTTAGCCCACCTTGGGTACTCTATAAAATACTAATTGCATGAAGCAATGTATGGGAGGAAAAAAATATTTGATTATAGGCGTTAGGAAGGGATCATTGCTTAGGAAGCCTGAATTGGGGTGAGTTTTATTCTGTAGAATAAAAGCATCTTCCTCACTAAGGGAAGACTATTGCATGGAAATCATTTTACAAAACACTTTGGCTGGGGCCAGAGACTATGTCAGAATTGCAATGTCTACTCTGACAAAACATCAAAAAAGGGGTTCTTATCCTGAAAACTCTTACCCTGATCCATGAAACTCTCCCTGAACTAGAGGGTTGGGGAGAGGGCCCATGAATGGGCTTCCTGAGGTTCGTAAGTCACCTGAAAATTACATTTGAAATAGGTATATATATGCAGATATATATACATCTATCAAAACATCTATATATACACACCTATTTTGGTTTTCTCAAGTGCATCAGGGCCAGCCAGTTGGAACAAACTGCAGAAGAAGTAAACATGAACAGCAAGTTCTTACCTCAAGGAAGAGAACGGATTATTCTGGCTTCCTGGTCTCCATTTCTCAAGTTTTGTGAAAATCTCTCTTCAATTTACAACTGAAAACACTTTTACCTGTAAGATGGGTTTGGAGACTGATTCATGAATTCTGTCCTTGTACGAAAAGCCTTTTGTAATGATAATTATACTCATGACAATTTAACCCAATTTAAAATTGAATATATATATATAATTTTTTTTCTGAGAAGAGGATTCATAGTGTGATGACTAGTTTCTGTGACACAGACCATGGGATTCCCAGATATCTGATTAAACATTATTTCTGAGTGCATCTTTAAGGGTGTTTCCAGAAGAGATGAGCATTTGAATTGGCAGACTGAGTAAAGTAGGTGGCCTTCTCCAATGTGGGTAGGCATCATCCCATCTGTTCAGGGCCTCATACAACAAAAAGACAGAGGAAGATTGAATTCTCCCCTCCCTCTCTCTCTCCGACTGTTGAGCTGGGACATGGATCTTTTCCTGAAGCCCTCAATGCTCCTCGTGCTCAGGACTTCAGACTTTTACTGGAATCTGTAACATTGGCCCAGTGGCTCTCAGGACCTCGAACTACACTGGCCTTCCTGGGTCTTCAGCTTGCAGATGGCAGATCATGGAACTTCTTGGCCTCCATAATCACATGACCCAATATATTATAATAAATCTCTTTGTGTGAGATTTTGTGTGTGTGCATGTATATGTATCCAGCATCCATTAGCTATATACATACATATATGTATATAGCTATATATACATATATACATGCACACACACAAAATATATATGCATATATACATATACATGCACACACGAAATCTCACACAGAGATTTATTATATATATGTGCACACACAAAATCTCACACAAAGAGATTTATTATATATGTGTATATATACACATGCATATCCCACTGGCTCTGTTATATATATATGAATATTCTATTAGTGCTGTTTCTCTGGAAAACTTAGACTAATATACATAGCTTTCAGCAGATTTTTAGTAGTAAACCTGACCCAATAGAGATAAAAAATATAATGAGCTAGCAAGTATTTTGCATCTGAAATGCACCGGTAAGGAAAACTAATTATAATGATGGAGTATTATAGCTAAATATTATATCCTTTTGTTATAACAATAATAGCCCCCTTGGATCCATGCTATAATTTGCTATATCTGAAGAAAAAGATAAAATAAAATTACAACCTTTGCTTTTTAAAATCCCAAAGTTAAATGCATTTAAATTATATGAAGCAGTTAGCCCCTCTCAGTTAGAGTTCTCAAAATGGAAATGTCCTAAAATCCTCAATTAAACTATTGCTCTATTTAAAAAAAATAAGATGTCAAAGAAGCAGATACAAGTTTATATTTTGAGACTTTATGTGTTTTTGTAACATATTCTCATCAAATTTCCCAGATTTATAGCAATGAAAGTAGCTACAGTTTATTGTGTACAATATAAAACTTAGAAGTCATATATATATATGCTTTCATTACACACCTATTTCATAAACACACACACTAATGAAATTAACACTATTGTTACCACTATTGGCAGACATGAAAACTGAGGGATAGCATGGTTAATTAACCACTAGTAATGGATAGATCCAGGATTTGTAACTGGACTCCATGGCCCACGTTTCCTAGTCTTGTTGAGTATATGTAAACCATCCGATTGTTTTGCCTTCTAAATCTTCCTTTTATTTAAAATATCAGTTTAGACAATTTTCTTTAAAAATGAAGAGGTAGGCCAGGCCTATTGCCTCACACTTGTAATCACAGCACTTTGGGAGGCCGAGGTGGGCGGATCACCTGAGGTCAGGAGTTCAAGACCAGCCTGACCAACATAATGAAACCCCGTCTCTACTAAAAATACAAAAATTAGCTGGGCATGGTGGCAGGCACCTGTAATCCCAGCTACTCAGGAGGTTGAGGCAGGAGAATTGCTTGAACCCAGGAGGCGGAGGTTGCAGTGAGCCAATACCACGCCACTGCACTCCAGTCTGGGTGACAGAGCGAGACTCTCAGAAAAAAAAAAAAAAAAAAAAAAAAAGAGATAAATTGTACTGAAAGGAAGTAAGGTGCACTGGTAAAGAAAAGGCTAAATGGCCAGGCACGGTGGCTCATGCTTGTAATCCCAGCACTTTGGGAGGCCAAGGCGGGTGGATCATGAGGTCAGGAGATTGAGACCATCCTGGCTAACACGGTGAAACCACGTCTCTACTAAAAAAAAATACAAAAAATTAGCCGGGCATGGTGGTGGGCTCCTGTAATACCAGCTACTCAGGAGGCTGAGGCAGGAGAATGGCGTGAACCCGGGAGGCAGAGCTTGCAGTGAGCCAAGACCATGCCACTGCACTCCAGACTGGATGACAGAGCAAGACTCCATCTCAAAAAAGAAAGAAAGAAAGAAAAGGCTAAATAAGATATTCCCAAGTACCTCAGGGTCAACCAGTTGGAACAAACTGCAGAAGAAGTAAACATGAACAGCAAGTTCTTACCTCAAGGAAGAGAACAGATTATTCTGGCTTCTTGGTCTCCATTTCTCAAGTGTCATGAAAATCTCTCTTCAATTTACAACAAAAAACACTTTTACCTGTGAGATAGATTTGGAGACTAATTCATGAATTCTGTCCTTGTATGAAAAGCCTTTTGTAACACTGATTGTACTCATGACAATTTAACCAAATTTAAAATGGAATTTTTTTTCCTTCAACTTTTATCTTAAGTTCAGGAGTACATGCACAGGATGTGCAGGTTTGTAACATAGGTAAACATGTGCCATGGTGGTTTGCTGCACAGATCAACCCATCACCTAGGTGTTAAGCCCAGCATCCATTAGCATTATTCCTGATGCTCTCCCTCCCCCTCCCCCACCAACAGGCCCCAGTGTGTGTTGTTCCCCACCATATGTCCATGTGTTCTCATCATTCAGCTCCCATGCAGTGTTTGGTTTTCTGTCCCTGTGTTAGTTTGCTGATGATAATGGCTTCCAACTCCATCCATGTCCCTGCAAAGGACATGATCTCATTCCTTTTTATGGCTGCACGGTATTCCATGGTGTATATGTACCACATTTTCTCCATCCAGTCTATCATGAAGAGGCATTTAAGTTGATTCCACATCTTTGCTATTGTGAATAGTGTTACAATGAACACACGAGTGCATGTATCTTTATAATAGAAAGATGTATATTCCTTTGGGTATATAACCAGTAATGGGATTGCTGGGTTAAATGGTATTTCAACAGATGCTGGTGAGGTTGCGGAGAAAAAGGAACGCTTTTACACAGTTGGCAGGAGTGTAAATTAGTTCAACCATTGTGGAAGACAGTGCGGCAATTCCTCAAAGACCTAAAATGGAATTTAAAATAGATAAAGTAGAATTTGCTTTTGAGGAACATGCCCTGCATTGAGTCTCATGCATTAATATGGAGAAAATTTGTTATAAGATCCAATCTTATTTACCATATTAAATGTGCTTTATTGTATTATGTTTTATAAACAATGTATGTTTTTTTCCTGAAAACAGACACTTATATCTCATCCTCAAATTCTGGGTGTTGCAATGGCAAATGTCATCTTGAATTCCCATGTGTTGTGGGAGAAACCCAGTGGGAGGTAATTGAATCATGGGGGGGAAGTCTTTCCCTGCTGTTCTTGTGATAGTGAATTAATCTCACAAGATCTGATGTTTTTATAAAGAGGAGTTCCCCTGCACAAGTTCTCTCCCTTTTTGCTGGATGCCATCCATGTGAGACGTGACTTGCTCCTCCTTGCCTTCTGCCATGATTATGAGGCCTCCCCAGCCATGTGGAACTGTAAGTTCATTAAACCTCTTTCTTTTGTAAATTGCCCAGTCTTCGGTATGTCTTTATCAGCAGTGTGAAAATGGACTAATACAATACCTCTAAATAGCTATTGAGTCATGGAACAAATACAAAAAAATAGAAAATATTTTGAACACAATAAAAATTTTAAAAACATCATTATCAAAATGTGTACGGTGTAGCTAAATCAGCACTTGGAGGGAAATTTACAGGTTCCATTACTTATATTAGAAAATAAGAAAGATCTCAAATCAATGCTCTAAGTTTCCACCCTAAGATACCACAAAAATAAGAATAAATTAAACCCATAGCAAGTAAAAGACAGGAAACAATAAAGATAACAGTAGAAACCAAAGAAATAGAAACTACAAAAGCAAAAAAGACAATCAATAAAACCAAAACCGATTTCTTGGAAAAGATTAATACAGCTGAAAATATGTAGCTAAACTGATCAAGAAGAAATGGAAGAAGACAATTACCAATATTAGGAATGAAAGAGGAACATTATTATACACCTTACAGACATTAAAAGGATAATTTAGGGAACATTATGATAAGTTCATACCAATAAATTTGACAACATAAATGAAATGGACAAATTCCTTCAGAGACACAAATTATTAAAACTGAACAAAAATTAATTCTATTTTTATATATCAACAATAATTTTTTAAAGTTCCATTTGTAATAACATAAATACTTAAAAATGCATTTAATGAAAGTTGTGTCAAGTATGTATTCTTAAAACTAGAAAACATTGCTGAAAGAAACTAAAGAAGGCTTAAATGGAAGGATAGACTATGGATAGACTCAGTATTGTTGAGATGTCACTTATCCCCAAATTGAATTGTAGATTTATGTAATCCACCATTACATATGAAAATCCAGCAGGCCTTTTTGTAGAAATTAACATGCTAATCCTAAAATGT
Source organism: Homo sapiens (assembly GCF_000001405.40). Taxonomy (NCBI): domain Eukaryota; kingdom Metazoa; phylum Chordata; class Mammalia; order Primates; family Hominidae; genus Homo; species Homo sapiens. Next base: position 100,708,802 of record NC_000012.12, on the reverse strand, counting down.
ATATAGAAATGCAGAGGACCCAGAATAACCAAAACAACTTTACAAGACAAAAACCCATCTTGGAAGATTTACACTACCTGAATGAAGATGCTAAAACTACAGAATCAAGAGTGTGGTATTGGAATAAGCTTAGATCAATGGGACATAATAGAATATCGAGAAATAGGCCCACACTTATACATTCAATTGATTTTCAGCAAAGATGGCAAGGCAATTCAACTGGGAAGGGATTGTCTTGTCAATAAGTGTTGCTGGAACAGTTGGACACCCGTATGAAGAAAGAAAGAATGAAAGAACAGAAGGAAAGAAAGTAAGGAGGGAAGAAGGGAGGAAGAGAGGAAGGGAGGAAGGAAGGAAGGAAGGGAGGAAGGGAGGAGGGAGGGAAGGCAGGCAGGCCTTACCTTTATACATACCATATACAAAATTTAATTTGAAATGAATCACAGCCTTAAATGTAAGACCAAAAACCATAACATCTCTGGTAAACAGCATAGGAGAAAATCTTTCTGATCTTGGGGTTCGTAAAAATTTCTAAAATTAAACATAAAAATTATGAATCATATAAGATATCGATAAATTAGACTTTATCAAAATTATAAAATTTGCTATTCAAAAGACACTATTTAGGAAATGAAAAACCAAACCCCAGACTGCAAGAAAGTAAATATTCGTAACACTTATATCTACTGAGGACTTGTATATATAAAGAATTGTCACAACTCAATAACAAGGCAAATAACTCCCTACTCGTCACCAAATGGGCAAAATATTTGAACAGACTTTTTCCAAAAGAAAATTGCAAATGGTCAATAAGTACATGAAAAGATGCTCAGCTTCTTCCTAGCTCTTCCCTGATGCCTACAATATTCAGCATTGGACTCAATTCTGGGGTCTAAAGACAGTGTCTTTCAAGTCTCCCTATTCATTTTAAGCATTTGAGAAATACTCCTTGAGTACCTACTTACAGGCGCATTAAACTATCACAAAATTAGTATGTTTTAAAGAGAGCTAGAGAAAGTGTAAAAGGAGAACTACCAGAGCATGGTTGTAACTGGTAGCACTCTCTTGCTGGCAAGTGTATCAGTTAGCTTTTGCTGTATAACAGCCTCAAATCTTACTGATTTAAAACAGCAATCATTTATTTGTCTCATGATACTGCTGGGATGTATTCCTGGTGTGAACAAGGTTTGGCTGATCTCTACTGGGCTTTTTCATGTATCTGTGGTCAATTAGTGAATTGGCTGGAGCTGACTAATCCAGGATGGGCCATCTGGAACAATTCTCCTTTGCTCCATTTTATCTCACATTATCCAGCAAGGTGACCTGGGCTTCTTTACATGGCAGCAGTGATGAGGGGTCCAAAGAGTGTCAAGAGAGAGCAAGCCCCACTGTGCACATACTTTTCAAGACCCTTCTGTGTCATGTTGTGGGCACCTCTTTGTCCAAAACAAATCATATAAATAGGTCCAGAATCTGAGTGGAAAGACCCTCAAAATTATACAGCAAGAGGATATGAATACATGGAGGGGAAAACCTAGTGGCTATTTTTGAAATCTACCACTACAGGTAACACATCCCAGATCAAACCAGGTTAAGTAAAAGGAGAAATTATGGTTCGGGTTATTGAAAATTCCAGGGATCCACCAGTGGCTAAATCCAGGGTCTCAAATACTATCAGCAGAACTCATCTCATTCTCACCACTGCTGGGCTCTCCTTCTGCACTGGCAGCATTCCTGGAAGGCGCTCACTTTGGTCATATGCTGACCTTCAGCAGATGTGGATTTTTCATCTTATTCTCTCAGCAACCTTAACAGAGAAAAAGAAGTGGGTTTTCCCCCCTTTCCAGTGCAAGTCCTAAGACTGAGTCTTCCTGGACCAACTTAAGTAATGTACCCATCCCTGAACCTACCTCTGTGACTGGTAAAATAGAATAAATTGATTGTTAAGGCCTTCGTTATACGCCTGTCCTTAGTGGTTGAAGGATGGGAGAAATCCCCTATAAATCATACGGACTGAGATAAGAAGAGGTGAATTCCCCAAGAAGGAGCACTGGATCGTGAACTATCAAAACAATGGATGTCCTGGGCTATAAAAATGTCCTGGTAAAGAAGATATTGTTGATGTGATAAGACGATTGGTAAGATGCTACTGTCACTGCTGTTGTTAACCTCTTATCACTCACTGCTAGTCATCATGAATTTGCTTTTGGCCAGGCAGTAAGCACTTTATGAACCTTGTGTCATATGACTCTGGACCAAGAAAAGCCAAATTTGGATCTGAAGTATGCTTCATCGTGGACTCTGAGTGTGAAGTGGTGGTGAGATGGAGTTATTGGATTGTCTCCTTGGGGAAGGCAAAAATGGATTCTGTCTGCAGGAAAGAGAGCACATTGAAAAGTGATGAGGAAAGCAGACGGGAGTAGGTATTAGTGCCGTTTACCAGCATGTCCATTATGGACACACAGGGGCATTGCATTGTTCCAGCTTGTTGAAGTTAGGCATTTCCATGGAGCTGTTTATTCATTTAAGAAAAATGTAAGCACTTCTGAGTCACATGATATGTGTCACTACTTAGTTGCCATGGTGATCACACAAGAACATGTTAATACGCAGGTGCCATGAAATTAAATGCTGAGCCCTGGGGAGTCACCCAGACTCACAGCTGACTTTCCAAGAGTGACACATGGACTTGTATTACAGAGACCACTGAAATTTTTTTTACTGCAGTGTATTTGCTACTGCAGTGTAATCAAGCCTAACTGACCATTATGCCCTAAATCATACTATAAGGCAAATGTATTTACTTCAGTTTTATAGGTGAAGAAACTGCAGCATAGAAAATGTAAACAAGCTGAATAGAGTCCCATATCTAGCAAGGGGCAGACCCAGGATTCAAATCAGTGTCTGTCTAATTCTGAAGTCCATGCATTGAAACTGTTTCCCTCCCACCCTCAGAAAAGAAAGAGGGAAGGAGGGAAGGAAGAGAGGAAGGGAGGGAGGAAGGGAAGAAGTTAGGATATAAAAAAAGAAAATAAAAGTTATAAATAAGGGCAATATTTTAAAATAGCTCATCTCCTCAACCTATCCTCAAGCAAATATACACAAAATATAAAAATACAAAATATAAAAAGGAGGCTTTTTAGATGAATGTATTTGTAGTTCACTTATATGATCTGGACATCCATTTTTAGCGGGAGAACTCCTTAGGGTAAGGATAAGAAAGCTCAACTTCGAGTTCTGATTATGTGACCATCTCTGTGTTCTTAGTTGTATCACTTCACTCTTCTGGTTATAATATGTATTTACATATATTTTAAAGCTAAAGGCATACCAGGTCTATTCATAATAGATAAATGATCAAAATGCCTCTCATAGCTGCCTCTTCTGGCTTTTTCTTCTACTTTTCTGCCCTCCCTGACCTCATTCCCATTTTCAAACTGGCCTATAAATTGACTGCTCTCACCAAATGCATCAGCTGTGACTGGAACATAGTTGTATTTGTCCCAAGATTTAGGAAGGTGCTAGTATGTTCCAGGCACATTCATCAATGTATATCTGTGCATAGATCCATCTTGAATGGTCATTAGGGTTGAGACAAATAAACACTTATAAATGTATCTTAAATAGTATGAAGTTTTCTTTTTCACTTTTCTGTAGTTTCAAATTTTCCATAAAGAACATAACCTGAAATTTTCACTAAATTTTTAAAAGGAAAGGATAAAGCCTAAACAATTTAAAGATTTGAAGTAAAGGTATGAGGGAAGGGGGAAATTATATAATATAAATGTATGATACTAGACAAATAGTTCTATTCATTTTAACCATGATAAGCACATAATTAATTTTTAGTAGTATTTTAAAAATATAAATGAAATGAAAGCTACAGATTTAAATTGTAATTTCTGACAAAGGTAGTTAAATACCATACATGTGAGAAAAAGCTCAGACAGATACTCACTCAACTTCCACAATCTTATCTTGTTCTGAAGATGGATTTTTTTTTGCAGAATCAGGGTCCAAAAGTTCACGTTGCAGGCATCTTCATAAGAAACTCCTGAGGCAATGGCCTATTTTATATTGCACACCTCAGGACTATAAGATCTATTTATATTTTGAGTAAGCTCCTGATATAGTTTGAATCTTTTTTAAAACTTTGTGAATTTGAGGACAATAAATTTCAGTGAATTACAACTGCCTTTCAAACAGATTCCAGCATGTACTTTCCCCTAAATATAACCCATTGTGTCAGAGAAATCAGAGAATTTAATAAGAATCTCTGTTATATTCTGTAATTCTATAATTGCAGGTAAATCATATTGCCAGGACATTGTTATACCAAAAATTTCTTCATGACTAAAAATATGATTTCTAAGTTTTACCACAAATATTTCTCAGTATAGTGGAAACTTAGAGCATTGTGGACATCTCTTGTAAGTTTGTTGTGATGCATTATAATTGCCAATATATTTACTACAGCATTCCTTACTCCTGTCATTCTTCCCATAATGAAAAAGAAAGTGGATCCAAGTCATAAACATGAGTTACATTCCTAGGCTTGCCTCTGAGAACAGACAGTGTTGGTTGCCTTCCCAATATATTTTCTCTACTTTTCTTTACTAACAGAATACTGTCTGTGTCCAGGAGAGGAAGATGCCCAGCTAAACACATAATTTCTCAGCTTCCTTTGCAGCTAGGTGGGGGCCACATGGCACAGTTCAATCCAGTGCTCGGGATCTGCTAGTTCTGCCTTTCCCTTTCTCCTTTCTCCTCCTTCTCAACTTGACTTTGGATATGATCATTGGAATTCCTGTAGCCATTCTGGGACAGTGAAAGAAAGGCCAAAACAATCTCTGGGACATAAAGGACACCATTAAGCTGATAAACCAACATAAGCAACCGTCTGTTTGCTGACTTCATTTTATATGAGAGAAATAAGCTCCTGTGTTAGCCACTGAAGGCATGGGACTTTATTGCCTTCAGCTAACAATGGTCCTAACGGTTACCCTTCCTCAGTCCCACCTTTTTGTGCAATCAGGTAGATAGTGTAGCTTTTCCTTAATCCATAATAGAAATCAAGAATAGGGATTCCTGACACATTAATTAAAACAGCTGCCCTTGCACCTGTCCCACTAATGAGGCACCCCATAAGACTTGCTGTCAACTGTAAAATCAGTGCTCCAATAAATAATTTCTATGATTCCAAAAACTGCTCTACCCCAAAACCTCAAACCCCTAAATCTGCCTGAAATAGTCATCTATTTGAGATGGGGTTGTGTAAATAATAGATTTCTTCTATTCTTCGTGTTGCTAATATGACCCTAGTCTGAGAATTAAGGACAAATTGGTTGTGAAAGGATATTACACAGGGGAGACACACTAGGGACAAGATTATTCTCGACAAATAAATGAAAGCTCAGTTGGTTACAAAGGTCTAAGCTCAAAGAAGCAGGCATATATTAAACATAGGATGCAATTTTTATAGAAAGACAAACCATAAAATTTAGAAAAAGGAGAAATACTATCTCCCTTCCTGATAATGTAAGAGTCAAGGACATGAAATACACTATAAACAATCTTTTGGTTAGAACCAAAGATGAATACACAAGATGAAAGTAAGAATGACTTAATGTACTTAAAGTAATGATAGCTGGCACGGTGGCTCATGCCTGTAATCCCAGCACTTTGGGGGACTAAGGCAGGCAGATCATCTGAGGGCAGGAGTTTGAGACCAGCCTGACCAACATACCAAAACCCTGTCTCTACTAAAAATACAAAAATTAGCTGAGTGTGGTGGCATGCGCCTGTAATACCAGCTACTCTGGAGGCTAAGGCAGGAGAATTGCTTGAGCCCAGGAGGCAGAGGTTGCAGTGAGCCGAGATAGCACCACTGCACTCCAGGCTGGGTGACAGAGTAAGACCCCATCTCAAAAAAAAAAAAAAAAAAAAGAGTAATGATAATAATTCCAATGAACTTCCGTTTAGCACTTGCTCTGAGCCAGGCTAAGTACTTTACATTCATTTTTCTCATTTAACCTTCACGATTACCCTATAAAGAAGTCATTATGGACTGGGCACGGTGGCTCACGCCTGTAATCCCAGCACTTCAGGAGGCCGAGGCGGGTGGATCACAAGGTCAGGAGTTCGAGACCAGCCTGACCAACATGGTGAAACCCCGTGTCTACTAAAAATACAAAAATTAGCCGGGCATGGTGGTGCCTGTCTGTAATCCCAGCGACTCCGGAGACTGAGGCAAGAGAATCACTTGAACCCAGGAGGAGGAGGTTGCAGTGAGCCAAGATCGTGCCACTACACTCCAGCCTGGGCAACAAAGCGAGACTTCAACTCAAAAAAAAAAAAAGAAAAAAAAGAAGTCTATGGCCAGGCACAGTTGCTCATGCCTGTAATCCCAGCACTTTGGGAGGCCGAGGTGGGCGGATCACCTGAGGTCAGGAGTTCAAGACCAGCCTGACCAAAAGGGAGAAACCCCGTCTCTACTAAATATACAAAATTAGCCGGACGTGGTGGCGCATGCCTGTAATCCCAGCTACTCGGGAGGCTGAGGCAGGAAAATCGCTTGAACCCAGGAGGCGGAGGTTGTGGAGAGCCGAGATCACATTGTACGCCGAAATCACATTGCACTCCAGCCTGGGCAACAAGAGCAAAACTCTGTCTCAAAAAAAGAAAAAAAAAAGTCATTATTAGTGTCTCCACTTTTTAGATGATGAAACAAAGGCTTGAAGAGGTTATGTTATGTTCAGTGTGGCTGAGCATGTGCAGCAAGAAGTAGGTAAGGACTCAAACCCACATCCATCTGATGGCAGAGCCCAAGCTCTGAGCACTATTCTGTAACTACTGATCTGTACTGCCTCTACTGTGGATCAAAGGATGCCAGACCTAAGAGACCCTGAGTAAGCATCTACCCCAGTGGCTCCCAATATTTTCAAGCATGAAGACTCTTAGCAACCATTCTTATAAAATTCACCAGTTGAACACATACATAATAATACAAGTAGCTATAAATTCAACAAGGATCTGAAATGACTGCGCTATATTTATAAACCATGTTCATTGGGAAAGTAGCAGTTCATATAAATGTGAGACCTAGGATTCATAGAAAGCTAGAATAAAGAGTGTCTTTTGGACACTGCTTGTTGAACATGGGAAATTTCTGAACCCTTGGAAATATTTTCTCAACCTCCCTGAGATGGACTTGGAGTCAGTTCTGGTTCTCTAATCAGCAGAAGCCAAGCCAATCATAGGATTAGAAGCTCAAGAGATTTATTGAGAGACATTTCTGTGCAGGATAAATTAGGTGGGGACAGGAGTAGGCTGGGAGAGCTTTCAGATCACAACATATGTCCAATACCAGGGAAAGAGAGAGGGAAGGCAGGATTGGGTAGCAAGAGCCTCAGCCTGGAGCACAGTTCTGAGAAGGCCTTGGCTGTTGATGAGGAGTCCTCCAGCCAAAACTGCTCATTAGAGGAATTGCACTGAGTCAACACCAGGACCCCTGCCATGCCCAGTCACTGGCTAGGAGCAGCCTGGTGTAAGTGTGGCCTCAGGTTGACAGGGCCAATAGCTGGGAGCTGTCAGTCAACCATGCTCCCTACAGGAGGTTAGGAGATGGAGTGGCACGTTTCCAAGGCAGCCATAGATTAGGAATCGCGGATATAGTCCAATACCCCCATCTTACAGATGAAGAAAATAAGGCCCAATTATGTTAAGTCACATAATCAAGATGAGAATTTACCTGCTCCAATTCTCATGTTAGCAAGTACTTAAAGACTTTAGGGTTAAATTCACCTGCAAAATGCGAGACCTTGGGCAAGTTATTTCATTTCTCTTAGCCTCATTGTGCTCCTAATATTAGAATGATAATAGCATCTAACTCATAATACTGTTATGAGTTTTAAAAGAGAAAATACATGTAAAAATGATTAGCACAGTACCTGGAACATACTTATTACTCAACAACTGGTAGCGATTATTATTTCCAATGCAATATTTTTTCTAGTTTTTCCTGCTAGATATAGATTAACTAAAGATGAAGAGAGCATCTTATCATGTCCTTCTACTTCCTACCCAATGTGTCCTCTGCATTTTTTTATTGAAAAGCAATCCAATTCCATGGGAATTATTCCTAAATTACTCCCCATGTTTGCAAAAATCTTTAATGTTTCAGAAAAGTATCAATATTCCAATTATTATAACTCAAATGTCCTCTGTGCTCAGAAGAGACAAATGTATTGCAAATAAACAATTTCATTTTAGGAATACTTATTCAACAAGTACAGACTGTCCCCAACTTAAATGATATTCCACTTATGACTATTTTCCATTTAGGATGGGTCTATCAGGATGTAATCTCATCATAAGTTGAGAAGCATCATATTTAGAGTTGAATCATTTTGTGCTTTCAATATTAATTCAGTTGTTTTATGAGAATAAAAACAAGCCTCTGGTGTTTAAAATCCACCTCAATGCCTTAAAATATTTACTAAAGTGAAAGAGAACAAATCAATGCTGCACCATCAAGGTCAAGGAGGAACGTCCATATTCTTGGAGAGTCACTGCTGCTCCCAAGAGCTCATCTCTGGCCTTTCACTGAGCTTCCTGAAAGGCAAAGGGAAGCCAGCAGAGCTTAAGCTAGGCTGTCTCTGGGGGTACTGTGTGATAATGAGAAAGGAGAGTTTTATTAAAGACTATGAGCTCTTGGTTCCAGGGAGGGCATGATTTTTCTCTTTGGCTTGAAGACCTCCTTTACTCTCAACCTTAAAAAATAATAATAATGATAATGGAGAAGTGTATGTTAGGGGTGCCGGAGGGATAAGGGACATCTGTACTTTCTGCTTAATTTTTCTGCAAACCTAAAACTCAAAACTGCTCTAAAAAGTAAAATTCATTAATTAAAAGATAAATCTAAGTGAAATAAGTCAGACACAAAGGGCCACATGTATAATTCCATTTATATGAAATGCCCAGAATAGGTAAATCTATTGAGACAGAAAGTGGAGAGTGTTGGCGGGGAATGACTGCTAATATGGAGTGTCTTCAGGGGTGATGGAAATGTTCTGGAATTAGATAATGGTGATGTTTGCACAATTTTCTGATTGTACTAAAAATCACTGAATTGTACACTTTGAATGTGTGGATTTTGTATTCTGCAAATTATATTTCAATAATAAAAAAACAGTGCACTAGGTATAATGAAGATGATATCTTTTTTACATTTAATCAGGAGACAACAGAATCTAGAAGAATGGAGTAGAGAGGGAAGGAAACCAGCAAAGGTATTTTTCCCTCCTGCCTCAGGGCTTTGTCCACCACCCTCTGAAGAGCTGCCCTGATGCCAGCTGCTGAACCAGCTCTCAACTCTCTTCCCCTTTCCTAGTTTCTGTGGTTGTGTGTTGAAAGGGGCTGTGGTCTGCCGATGTAAATAGCTTTTTCTGTGTGCTCTCATTTCTCCTGCTCTCAATTTATCTGCTAACTACATTTGCCCATTATTTCTTGACTTCCCTTTGCCTGACTTTGTGAACTTTCATTCTAAGCATGAGCATCTTAGTATGCAGCAAAGACTTTACCTCTAGTTTTCTTTTTTGTTGTTGCTGTTTGTTTTGTTTTGTTTTGTGAGAGGGTCTCACTCTGTAGCCCAGGCTGGAGTGCAATAGTGCTATCTCGGCTCACTGTCACCTCTGCCTCCTGGGTTCAAGCAATTCTCCTGCCTCAGCCTCCTGAGTAGCTTGGATTACAGGCGCTCGCCACCACGCCTGGCTAATTTTTGTGTATTTTTAGTAGAGATGGGGTTTCACGATGTTGGCCAGGCTGGTCTCAAATTTCTGACCTCAAGTTATCTGCCTGCCTCGGCCTCCCAAAGTGCTAGGATTACAGGTGTGAGCCACCTTGTCCCACCTACTTGTAATTTTCCACACTATTCTATAGAAATGCTGATACCCTGAATGCTTGATTACCTGTAGTCAGTGCTTACCTTTTGGTATCCATGTTTAGTCTTTTCTGACCTCTACTTTAGTCAAGGGAGTGCCCCAGAGGGTAGCTCTTTTGCATTCATCATGAGAAATCCTGAGTCATCCATTCCCCTCCATTTCCAGCCCTGTGTGCATTTTTAACATGATTTCTAAGGATAGCTCTAAGCCTAATAGAGACTCGATACTCTTTGTTCCTGCCAATGAGTGACAGTGGTTTGTGGAGTAGAGATGCGTGCACTCTGTCACCTTACTTCTTTGAGAAGGTGATTTTCAGATCAATAGGGAAGCTGGTAAGCTATTTTTCTCTGTTTGCTTGGCTAACTTCATTTGTGGACAAAGCACATTCATCTTTTACTTTTTACTTCAGAAAATCATGCTGACAGAGGGCCAATCTGATTCCTTGCAGAGCAGTTCATCCCATCTGAAGAAAATGGTCTTGATTTCCCAAATAAAGACCCCTCTTGCATTTGGTGGTTTGGTTTACTAAATGGAAGGTTCTTAGCAGGGAACTGCTTAAGGAAAATTGCTGGGCTTAGCAACCATTACAGAAACTGGGGAGAGTTCAAGTTACATTCTGGATAAAAAGAAAAAGAAAAGCAAAGATTAAAAAGCAAACAAATATAGAACTAGCTAAGTGAACAGACCCATCAGACTATAATGTTTCCACGTGTCATTCCTACTCTGCCAGCCCCCATCTTCATCCCAATATTCCTTCTAGGCAAAGTGTAGACAGAAAGGAGTTCAAGCTTTATGTGACAACTTTGGACTTCTTAGAATGTTTATTAAATGCTTCTAAAGATGGTACAAGCTCCTCTCAGCCAGTATGGATAATGTTCTACCTGAAACATTCTGTTCAAGGTTTCTAACAGCATCTGACAAGACACTTCATGTGTATAATTGCAGGTACTCCCATATTTTCCAGATTAATACAACTGTCTTTCAAACTGTTCCATTTCAATAGTAATGTCCTTATTCTTCCTGAGCCTTTCAAGATCTGTTAGGATCAAATAAGATGACTTGTGAAAGTCTTTCGTAAATGCCAAAGTTATAAAGAGAATTTGGTGATTTTTGGTATATGCATTAAAAATCTACCCGATGTAAAAGATAAGAGCAGGCAGGTCACACAAAAAGATACACAAATGGCCTTTAAATATGTAAATAATGCTCTGTTTTGCTCATAATAAAAGAAATGCAAATTAAAATAACATTGAGATGCCATCTCTCAATTATCCAGTTGGCCAAAAAAGTCAAAAGTTTGACAATGCACTCTGTGGCAAGGCTATGGAAAAAAAAATATTCTCACATGTTACTGGTGGGAGAGCAAAGGAATACAACCATATGGACAGGAATTTGGCATTTTCTAGCAAAACTACATATACATTAAGCCTTTGACCCTACAATCTCACTGCTAGAAATTTACCCTAAAAATATACCTTCACAAATACAAAAAAAAAGTATAAGTTATTCACTACATTATTTGTAACAAAAAAATTTTAGCAACAACCCAAATGCTCATCCACAGGGTGTGAACAAATTATGGTTCCTCTATACAATGGAGCACTATACAGCTATGAAAAAGAATAAGGGAAATCTCCATGAATGATAGGGAGTAGCAGGCAGCCAAGTGAGAAAAAGCAAAGTGCAAAAGAGTGTTCAGAATATGTTATTTTGGGTAAGAAAGATAGGGAAATAAATACAAATTTGTAAATATTTCCTTATTTTTGCATAAAGAAGGTCAGGGAGGATAAATTAAAAACTAGGTCAGGCACAGTGGCTCATTCCTGTAATCCCAGCACTTTGGGAGGCTGAGGTGGGAGGATCTCTTGAGTCCAGGAGTTTGAGATCAGCCTAGGCAATGGTGAGGCCTTGTCTCTGTATATTCACCATGCCCGGCGAATATATATAAATATTTTTTCATTATTTAAATATTATATATAAATATATTATCATATATTTAAATATTACACATATATATATTCGCCAAGCATGGTGGTGTGCACCTGTAGTCCCAGCAACTTGGGAGGCTGAGGTAGGAGGATCACTTGAGCCCAGCAAGTTGAGGCTGCAATAAGCTGTGATTGCACCACTGCACTCCAGCCTGGGTGACAGAATGAGACCCTGTTTCAAAAAAATTATAAAAATAAAAGTAAACTAATGAATATAGCTGTCAACAGGAGGTTGGTGGATGGGATATAGGGAAAAGAGATACAAGTAAGGCTTCCCTGATTAGAACTAATTTATGGTTTTAACTTTTAAGCCATATAAAATTTTATATATTCAAAATATAAAATTAAATAAAAATAAAGATAAAAGAAAATCTTGACATTAAAGAAAGTACTCTTACTTTGTACCTGATAGATAACACAGTCACACAGTAAAATGAGTTAATTCAAATAACTTGTAAATACCATTTAGTATGATATATATAACGTATATCCTTAATAGAATATATCTTCTTCTGTTTTTTTTTTTTTTTCTTTTTTTTTGGAGACACAATCTCGCTCTGTCGCCCAGGTGGGAGTGCAATGGCACAATCTTGGCTCACCGCAACCTCCGCCTCCCAGATTCAAGAGATTCTTCTGCCTCAGCCTCCCAAGTAGCTGGAACTACAGGTGCACACTGCAATGCCCGGCTAATTTTTTGTATTTTAGTAGAGACGGGGTTTCACCATGTTGCCCTGGCTGGTCTCAAACTCCTGAGCTCAGGCAATCTGCCCGCCTCGGCCTCCCAAAGTGATAGAATTACAGGCATGAGCCACCGCTCCCAGCCTAGAATATATCTTAAAACCGGAAGAATTGCAAAGAAATCTTGAACTTTACTTAATAGGTTTATTGATAGCAGTATTATTGGTTATTGTATTCTGAAACTATTCTGTGTTTATTGTAAGATAGTATAAACAAGTAAATATATTAATGTTGGAGTGTTTTCACTGTGGAGTAAGGAAAATGCATATGTATATGAAATAGCGGAATTGAGGTTTTAAATTGTTTTCTTATTTTTATTTATATTTATTTATTTATTTTTATTTATTTATTTATTTATTTATTTATTTATTTATTTTTGAGATGGAGTCTCGCTCTGTCACCCAGGCTGGAGTGCAGTGGCGCGATCTCAGCTCACTGCAAGCTCTGCCTCCCAGGCTCACGCCATTCTCCTGCCTCAGCCTCCCAAGTAGCTGGGACTACAAGCACCTGCCACCAAGCCCGGCTAATTTTTTGAATTTTTAGTAGAGACGGGGTTTCGCCGTGTTAGCCAGGATGGTCTCAATCTCATGACCTCATGATCTGCCTGCCTCGGCCACCCAAAGTGCTGGGATTACAGGCGTGAGCCACCGCGCCCGGCCTTAAATTGTTTTTTATTTGAATTTATGAATCATTAGGAATTCATCATTTAATTGTTTCTGTAACTCTGTCTATAAAATGTCCCAGAAGCAATCATACTTCAGTAGCAAGTAGTACACCTTGCACTCAGTTCTTTGGTTCTATATTCCATTTCCCACTCAAAGAAACCAGGGTTTCTTAGATTATTAGTTTCTTGGCCGGTTCTAGGTCTGGGACAGGGAAAGTAAAAGGTGATATTGAGATATCTTGTGTCAAACATCAAGGAAGTGTTCATAGATTAATGGAGCTATGTCAAAAGGACAAAGAAACATTGACTTTGAAAAAAAAAAAGGTGAGTCCATAGTGATACTCCAAAAAGAAGAGAGAGAGGAAGTTCTTTTTTATGAAGAATGCCAGCAAATAAAGCAAAGAAAGAAGGCAAGGAAGAAATATAAGAGAGAGAGAAAGGAAGGAAGAGAGTAAGCAATGAAGAGAGGAAGGAAGGGAAGAAGGAAGGAAGGAGAAAATGATAGAGAAAGAAAGAATGAAGGAAGAAAGGAAAAGAAAAGGAGAGAAAAGGAAAAGAAAGAAAGAAAGAGGAAGAAAGAGGAGAGGAGAGGGGAGGGGAGAGGAGGGGAAGGGAAGGTAAGGGAAGGGAGGGGAGGGGAGGGGAAGGGAGGGGAGGGCAGGAAAAGAAAATAAAAGAAAAAGGGCAAGCAGGCCAGGCCCAGTGGCTCATGCCTGTAATCCCAGCACTTTGGGAGGCTAAGGCTGGAGTATCATTTGAACCCAGGAGTTTGAGACCAGCCTGGGAAACATGGTGAGATCCTGTCTCTACAAAATATTAAAAAATTAGCTGGACACAGTGGCTCATGCCTATAATCCCAGCACTTTAATAGGTGAGGTGGGTGGATCACTTGAGCCCAGAAGTTCATGACCCACCTGGGGAAGATGATGAAACTCCAACTCTACCAAAAAAAAAAAAAAAAAATTAGTTGGGTGTGGTGGCATGTGCCTGTAGTGCCTGTAGTCCCAGCTACTTGAGGGGCTGAGGCAGGAGAATTGCTTGAGCCCAGGAGATTGACGTTGCAGTGAGCCAGGTTCACAGCATTGCACTCCAGCCTGGGCAACAAAGACCCTGTCTCAAAACAAAAACAAAAGAAAGAAAAGAAAGAAAGAGCGGAAGAGGGAAGGAAGGGAAACAGAGATAAATTTAAAAAAATAAGAAATTATTATTTGTCCACCTTTAATATAGTCATCAATTAAGGCAAGTATCCTCCATAGATGTTAAAACCATTGGAAGAAAGATGTTAAGAAACAAGATATCTGCAAATTCTCAAAGTATCATCCCACAGATTACTTATTACAAAGGGAAAGTAATCTTAACAATGAAGAGATCTGTGGTCATCATGTTAACAAACTGCATCAGCAGTAGTGCAACAACCTGACATCACATGCCTCCTGATGTGATGCAATAAAACATCACTTATGGTGTATTCCAGACAAAATTCTGGAGGCAGAATCTAATTATGAGAAACAACAAGACAAATCCAGAATGTGGGACATTCTACAAGACAACTGGCCCAGACTCTTTCAAAATGTCAATGTAATGAGGGAAAAAGTAGAAGTTTTTTTCTGATGTGAAACAGACCAAAGAGACATAATAAGGAAATGCAATGTGTAAACGTTGATTGGATCCTGGGTTAAAAGTAAAAAATTTTCAAAAAAAGGGCCGGGAGCGGTGGCTCACGCCCTGTAATCCCAGCGCTTTGGGAGGCTGAGGCGGGCGAATCACAAGGTCAGGAGTTCGAGACCAGCCTGACCAACATGGTGAAACCCTGTCTCTACTAAAAATACAAAAAATTAGCCAGGCGTGGTGGCACACGCCTGTAATCCCAGCTACTTGGGAGGCTGAGGCAGGAGAATCCCTTGAATCCGGGAGGTGGAGGTTGCAGTGAGCTGAAATCACACCTGTGTACTCCAGCCTGGGTGACAGAGCGAGACTCCATCTCAAAAAAAAAAAAAAAAAAAAGAAAAAGAAAGAAAGAAAAAGAAATGAATGCATGAATAACAGATATTCTTAGGGAAAAATGGGGAAATTTAAATACAGATTACATATTGGAATATATTTGAGAATTGTTCATTTTCATTCCTGTGACAGTAGTACTGCAAATGTAGGAGAATGTCCTTTTTCTTAGGAAATGCATGTTCAGTTGAGTGAAATGTCATAACATCTACAACTTATTTTCATATGATTTAGAAAATATCTATCTATCTGCCAAGAACATAAATTGGGGAAAGGACAGTCTCTTCAATAAATGGTGCTGGGAAAACTGGATATCCATATGCAAGAGAATGAAACTAGACTCCTATCTCTCACCATATACAAAAATCAAATCAAAAATGGATTAAAGACTTAAATCTAAGACCGCAAACTATGAAACTACTACAAGAAAACATTGTAGAAATTCTCCAGGACGCTGGACTAGGCAAAAATTTATTGAATAATACCCCACAAGCACAGGCAACTGTATTAGGCCATTCTTGCATTTCTGTGAAGAAATACCTGAGACAGGGTAGTTTACAAAAAAAGAGGTTTAATTGGCTCATGGTTCTGCAGGCTGTACAGGAAGCATAGGACCGGCATCTGCTTCTAGGGAGGCCTCAGGAAGCTTCCAACCATGGCAGAAAGCAAAGTGGGAGCAGGCACTTCACATGGAAAAAATGAGCAAGAAAGAGAAGGGGTGGATGGGGAGGTGCCACACACTTGTAAATGACCAGATCTGGCAAGAACTTGCTATCACCAAGGACAGCACCAAGCCATGAGGAATCTGCCTCCATGATCCAAACATCTCCCACCAGGCCTCAGCTCCAGCACTGGGGATTACAATTCAACATGAGATTTGGGTGGTGTTTTAGTTTGTTCTCACATTGCTATAAAGAACTACCTGAGACTGGGTAATTTATTTAAAAAAGAGGTTTAACTGATTCATAATTCCACAGGCTATACAGGAAGCACAGCTGGGAAGGAGGCCTCAACAAACTTACAATTATGGCAGAAGGTGAAGTGGAAGCAGGTAAGTCTTACATGGCCAGCAGGAGGAAGAGAGAGAGAGAAGTGGGGGGGGGTGCTACACACTTTCATACATCCAGACCTTGTGAGAACTCTATCTTGAGAACAGCATGGGGGAAGTCTGCCCAGATGATTCAGTCACCTCCCACCAAGCCCCTCCTCCAACACTGGCAATGCAATTTGGATGGGAACACAGAGACAAACCATATCAGGTGTGGAAAAATTTCCAAACTATATCAGTAACCAAAAAAAAACAATGGACAAATGGAATCAAATCAAGTTAAAAAGTTTCTGCACAGCAAAGGAAACAACCAACAAAGTGAAGAGACAACCCAAAGGATGTGAGAAAATATTTTCAAAGTACCTATCTGACAAGAGATTCATAACTAGAATGTGTAAGGAGCTCAAATAATTCTATAGAAAAAAAATCTAAGAATTTGATTAAAAATGGGAAAAAGACCTGAATAGACATATCTCAAAAGAAGGCATACAAATGGCAAATGGGTGTACGAAAAGGTGATCAACATAATTGATCATCAGAGAAATGCAAATCAAAACTACAATGAGGTATTATCTTATCCCAGTTAAAATGGCTTTTATCCAAAAGACAGGTAATAACAAATGCTGGTGAGGATGTGAAGAGGGAACCCTCATACACCATTGGTGGGAATGTAAGTTAGTATAACCACTGTGGAGAACAGTTTGGAGGTTCCTTAAAAAACTAAAAATTGAGCTACCATTTGATCCAACAATCCCACTGCTGGGTATATACCAAAAGAAAGCAAATTAGTACCTCAAAAAGATATCTGCACTTCTATGTCTATTGCAGCACTATTTACAATAGCCAAGATTTGGAAGCAACCTAAGTGTCCATCAGCAGATGAATAGATAAAGAAAATGTGGGTCATATACACAATGGAGTAATATTCAGCCATAAAAAGAATGAGATCCAGTCATTTGCAACAACGTGGATGGAACTGACGATCATTATGTTAAATGAAATAAGCCAGGCACAGAAAACAAACTTCACATGTTCTCACTTATTTGTGGGAGCTAAAAATCAAACCAATTGAACTCATGGAGATAGAGAGTGGAAGGATGGTTACCAGAGGCCGGGAAAGGTAGTAGGAAGGTGCGGGGTGGGGGAAGTGGTAACGATTAATGGGTACAAAAACTAGAAAGAACGAATAAGGCCTAGTACTTGCTAGCAAAACAGGGGGACTATAGTCAATAATAATGTAATCATACACTTAAAAATAGAGTATAAATGGATCATTTGTAACACAAGGTAAATGCTTGAAGGGATGGACACCAATTTTCCATCATGTGATTATTTGAATATATACACTTACTATGTACCCACAAAAATTAGAAATAAAAAATTTTAATAATTAATTCTACATTTTTAATAACTAAGAGTATAAATGGATTGTTTGTAACACAAATGATAAATACTTGACATGATGAATACCCCATTTACCCTGATATGATTATTACACATCATATTACACATCGATATTTTGCCTATATCAAAATATCTCATGTAAACCATAAATGTATACACCTATTATGTACCCACAAAAATTTTTTTAAAAAGAAAATACCCATCAATCTGTTTAGAGAAATGGCACAAATGTGGCAAAATGCTGACAATTGGTGAATTTAATGTTTACTACTTATTTTCATGTGATTTAGAAAATATCTGTATAGAGTAAGAGTGCAAGTGTGCCAGTATGCTAATTGGTGAATTTAGATAAAGGATATGTGGGTGCTCAACTTTTCTGTAGTTTGAAGTATTTCAAAATAAAATGTTAGCAAGTTAAAAAATCCTGCCTGCTACAGAATCCATACCCTCACAGTCTAAGTTCACAAAAGGAAAGCGGATCCTCTTTAAATGCAGAAATACTTCTCATCTAAGGCGGTGGTTAAATGCTTGAGCTTTGGAGTCGAATCCAGGCTGGAGATCTATGTAAATTACTCATATTCCCTAAGCTTCCATTTCCTCAACTATAAAATGAGGTTAATAATAGTACCTACCTCAAAGGATTGTCATGTGGATTAGTGAGATTATCCACATCAGGTGTGTAACCTGATTTCCAGCATATAGTCACCACTCACATATCCTGGCTCTGATTTTCAGAGTGTGATGTTTTGGCATGGTCTTGCATTTGCATGGGGGAAATAGATGACAGCAGTGCTTCTCAAACTTGGGTTACATACGAATCACCTGGAATTCATCTTGCTAAAATGCAGATTCTGATTCCACAGGTCTGGGGTGGGGCCCAAGACTCTGCATTTCCAACATGTTCCCAGATGATGTCTAAGATGCTGATCCATGGACACACTTTCAGTGGCCAGGAATTAGAGGAGTTTCTTGCTCCATTGCTGTTCTCTAATTTATCCTTAAGCACATTATATGCCTTCTCTGCTAAAAATGACTCTCTCCTATCTACATATTGATTTTTTGGATTCACTGATTTCATATATTTTTACTAATAAAAGTCGTTTTGGTAGTTTCTCATTAACACTTAAATATTTTTCCATGAAATGCCTTAGACCCAGATTAGAAATATTAGTTTCAGCTGGGCACGGTGGCTCACACCTGTAATCCCAGCACTTTGGGAGGCCGAGGTGGGTGGATCACGAGGTCAGGAGTTCAAGACCATCCTGGCTAACACGGTGAAACTACATCTCTACTAAAAATACAAAAAATTTAGCCGGGAGTGGTGGCGGCACCTGTGGTCCCAGCTAATTGGGAGGCTGAGGCAGGAGAATGGCGTGAACCTGGGAGGTGGAGTTTCCAGTGAGTCGAGATTGCACTACTGCCCTCCAGCCTGGGTGACAGAGCAAGACTCCGTCTCAAAAAAAAAAAGAAAGAAATATTAGTTTCAACACTACCCATTTATCCATTTACCTATTTTCCAAAGTTTTCTCTCAACAGTACAGAATTTAAAAAATAATAATAATGATAAATGATAAGAAGATCATGTTGAGAGAATATGGAAGAAAAGATGTCACGTCCACATTTCCAAGTGTAAGTTGCCAGTGGGGGCAGGATGACAAAAAAAGGGCATAGTTTGAAGTCAAATGCTTAAAATTTCCAAAAGATAGGGACAATTTCAGCAGATCTTAATATTCAGGTGGTGATGGGGGGTGGGGGTGTCACAGAGTCCATTTAGAATCTAATAGGCCCACTACCCAGAAAACTGAACACAGTGACATGATCCACTCAAGCTAGGAGTTTATGAACCCTTAGAAGCTTGTCCGTGAACTAAGAGGTGAATATTACACCTTCATCCCCCAATACTTGCATGTAAGACATCTACAGCTCTGCCCTTGGAGCAGCACAGTGCTACTACAAGGAAAAAACAAAAGAATCTCCACAGAGTGTGTGTTTTGCAAACAAATTCAAAGAAAAGTGAGCTGGATCAAAAACACTAGGACCTTGGAACTGATTCTCTTAGGGAGCAGAGACATGTGAAGGAGAGCAGAAAGCAAGGTAAAAATGTCCTGCTTACATAATGCAGACAGACAGGATTAGGCCTCAGGTGAGATCAAATTCTGGGCTGGGGCTGATGGTCCTATATTGCTAACATGGAGAACCTTGACTCTCAGCCTCTCACAGGGTCCTCTAGATTGAGTATCTGTATTCAACAAATCTGAAGAGCTTCTTTAGCTCAAGAATGTTTGTAGTCAACAAGATGACTCATTGAGAGAAACTGAACCTAATATGTCAGGAGAACTATTTATAGTTCTGGCACACACCCACCATCCGCACTTTACAAAGGATGCACAGTGGGTTCCATTAAGAGTTTCTACCCTTCTTCCTAAGGATGTGGTAAGAGAGCTTTCTCAAGGCAGGTTTTGTCCATATCCTCATCTGTGCATCCCACATTGCCCTCGTCACCACAGACCCCTTTTTAAATGTCTTAATTGTTCCTCCAGCACTTGCTCAAATTACAGCTCTCATTGAATTGGGTCTTTATCCATTGATTCCCGTAGGAAGCACTGAGTTCCTTAAACGTGCCTGTAAAGTGTTGACCGTGGATTTGTGACAACAGCACTTTCTCTTTATGCTCCAGCCCTAATTCTCTTGGCAAAATGGTATTTCCTCAGCTCCAGTGATGGCATTCTCTGCATTTTGTCAGCAGGAGGAGCATTTTAAACTCTCTTTGGCCAGAAGAGTTATTTGCTACTTGTGGTCTCTCCAAAAATGGATCGCCCATTAAAAAGGAACAGGAAAGTGATGGCACTTCCTATGTAGCTCCATTAAGTTTCCTCAGAAGCCATTGGTCAAGCTGTTACTCTTTAATCACTTCATGACCAACATCATGTGGGTGCACTAGGTGTTCTGCTAGCTCTGACATGGTGTCATCCTAGGTGGAGCCAAACCCATAAAATCTGAGTGATAGGAAAGACAGTCCGAGACATCCTGAAGCTTGCCTGGAATGTCTCTTAGGCTCAGCCAAGTATATTTCACAGGTGTCCTGGAGCTAGCTCATATAATCTCACAAGAAGAGATTGCTAAATTTTCAGGAGTTTTGCAAGCCTATTGCTGAATTGTTGGTTGCTTAAAATCAGCCTGGTGGAAATATTTACATTGAGGAAATCAGCAAACACTAAAATTCAGAGCTTTTCCTCCCAACCCCTGCCAGCTAAATATTCACCAGCATACTATTATTAGTAATGGGATCTTAGTGCACTATAGCATGGTGATTACACACATGATTTTACAGGTTGATTTGAACTAAAGTCCTAGCTGTACGCTTATTATATTACTCAATTTTAGTTTCCAAAAGTAAAAGTGATATTTAAAAAAATAAATTTTACCAGTCATATTAAATTAGAGAAAAAATTCCTATTACTGGATAACTGATTTCCCATTCCTCATGTTTCCATTTGTGGAACTTCCATTAGGGTAGAACTCAGGGATTTTCTGTGATTCCCAAAGAAGAAGGAGTGACTTACATGATTGATGAATTTAGAAGAGCTCAGCATGGGCAACTGCCATCCCAGCACATGGCATCACACCTCATGGCCCAAGATAATTGCTTGAGCATCCCTGTCATGTATACAGGACAACCAGCAGGAAGGAGGAAGGCACAAAGAAGTGCATGCCACTTTTCTTTAAGTACACTTCCCAAACATTACACATGACACTTGTGTTTCTAACCCACTGGCCAGAACTTAAGCATATGGCCACTCAAACTGAAAGGGAAGCTGGAAATGTTTTTATTCTAGCAAGCCACATGCCCAACTAAAAACCGGAATTTCTTTTAATATCAAAGAAATGCATTGAATAATGGAAAATGGGGGAAATTAATAATCTCTGCCACATCATGTAAATATTAGACACAGAGCTTTGCTCATAGTAAGCTTTCAGTGACTATCACCCATAGTTATTTTCTTATCAAAAGCATCCAAGTTACTCTGTACCTATATGCCTATAATTATATGGAATGTTCAAAGCCAAAATCTTCCTTTGACTAAAGATTTTTGTTACTATTTTCTAGAGCCTGGTGTTTAAAATTCAAACACCCCTTAGAAGGGCCAGTACACTGAAAGAGAGAAGTGTTTAATGTATTAGCATTTCATATGGTTTGGCTATGTCCCCACTCAAATCTCATCTTGAATTATAGTTCCCATAACCCCCATGTGTCATGGGAGGGACCTGGTGAGAGGTAATTGAATCATGGGGTGATTACCCCTTTGCTGTTCTTGTGATAGTGAGTGAGTTCTCATGAGATCTGATCGTTTTATAAGGGGTTTTCTCCCTTTTCGTGGCACTTCTCTCTCCTGCCGCCATGTGAAGAAGGACATATTTGCTTCCCCTTCCACCAGGATTGTAAGTTTCCTGAGGCCTCCCCAGACATGCAGAACTGTGAATCAATGAAACCTCTTTCCTTTATAAATTACCCAGTCTCAGGCAATTCTTGATATCAGCATGGGAACAGACTAGTACAGTAAACTGATACTGCAGAGAGTGTGGTGCTGCTATGAGGATACCTGAAAATGTGGAAGCAGCTTTGGAACTGGGTAACAGACAGAGGTTGGAACAGTTTGGAGGGCTCAGAAGAAGACAGAAAAAATGTGAAAAATTTTGGAACTTCCTAGAGACTTGGAGGGCTCAGAAGACAGAAAGATGTGGGAAAGTTTGGAACTTCCTAGAGACTTGTTGAATGGCTTTGATCAAATTGCTGATAGTGATATGGACAATGAAGTCCAGGCTGATGTGGTCTCAGATGGAGATGAGGAACTTGCAGGGAATGGGAATAAAGGTCATTCTTGCTTTAGCAAAGAGACTGGCAGCATTTTGCCCCTGCCCTAGAGATCTGTGGAACTTTGAACTTGAGATAATTTAAGGTATCTAGTGGAAGAAATTTCTAAGCGGAAAAGTGTTGAAGAGGAAGCAGAGCATAAAGGTTTGGGAAATTCACAGCCTGACAATGCAATAAAAAAGAAACCCATTTTCTGGGAAGAAATTCAAGCCTGCTGCAGAAATTTGCATAAGTAACAAGGAGTCAAATGTTAATAACCAAGACAATGGGGAAAATGTCCCCAGGGCATGTCAGAGACCTTGGCAGAAGCCCCTCCCATCACAGGCCAGGAGGCCTAGAAGGGAAAAATGGGTTTTGTGGGCCAGCCTGAGGGCCCCCCTGTTCTGTGCAGCCTCGGGACATGGTGCCCTGCATCTAAGCTGCTTTGGATTCAGCCATAGCTAAAAGGGGCCAAGGTACAGCTCAGGGTGTAAACCCCAAATCCCTGGTAGCTCCCATGTGGTGTTGAGCCTGCAGGTAGACAGAAGTCAAGAACTGAGGTTTGGGAACCTCCGCCCAGATTTCAGAGGATGTATGGAAATGCCTGGATGTCCAGGCAGAAGTGTGCCACAGGGGTGGAGCCCTCATGGAGAACCTCTGCTAGGGCAGTGAGGAAGGGAAATGTGGGGTTTGAGCCCAAACACAGAGTCCTCACTGGGACACTGCCTAATGGAGCTGTGAGAAGAGAGCCACCATCCTCCAGACCCCACAATGGTAGACTTACGGACAGTTTGCACTTGGAAAAGTCACAAACACTCAATGTCGGCCTGTGAAAGCAACCAGGAGGAGAGCTGTGCCCTGCAAAGCCATAGGGGTGGAGATGCCCAAGGCTGTGGGAGCCCATCTCTTGCATCAGCTTGAGCTGGATGTGAGACATGGAGTCAAAGGGGATCATTTTGGAACTTTAAGGTTTAATGACTGCCCTATTGGATTTCAGACTTGCAAAACTTTGTTTCGGCCAATTTCTCCCACTTGGAATGTGTGCATTTACCCAATGTCTGTACCCCCGTTGTATCTAGAAAGTAACTAAACTTGCTTTTGATGTTACAGGTTCATAGACAGAAGGGACTCAACGGCAAAGTCTCAGCTGAGGCAGAGGACTTGGACTTTTGGGTTAATGCTGGAATGAGTTAAGACTTTGGGGAACTCGTTGAAAGGCATGATTGTATTTTGAAATTTGAGGACATGAGAATTGGGAGGGGCTGGGGTGGAATGATATGGTTTGGCTATGTCCCCACCCAAATCTCATCTTGAATTGTAGTTTCCATAATCCCCACATGTCATGGGAGGAACCCAGTGGGAGATAATTGAATCATGGGGGTGGTTACCCCCATGCTGTTCTCATGATAGTGAATGAGTTCTCATGTGATCTGATGGTTTTATAAGGGGCTTTTCCCCCTTTGCTTGCCACTTCTTTCTCCTGCTGCCATGTGAAGAAGGATGTGTTTGCTTCCCCTTCCACCATGATTGTAAGTTTCCTGAGGCCTCCTCAACCATGCTGAACTGTGAGTAAATTAAACCTCTTTCCTTTATAAATTATTCAGTCTCAGGCAGTTCTTTATAGCAGTGTGGGAACAAACTAATTACCCTTGTGTGTAAAAGTCTCCATAGGAAGCAGGGAAGGAATTTAGGCATTTTAATCAAGTGGGAGATTAGAGTTGTGGACTTGGGGTAGACATTGTCCAAAGCATGCATTCATAGAGGGTAAAGGGGAGGGATGAGAGTACCTGGGAAGGCAAAGACGACAGAGGCTGGATATTGAAAGGGGCGAGTACATGCTAATTAAAAACTCCTTCTAATTTCTTAGTTTGCATAAAGCTGGCCCTGAACTTTTAAATAAAACAGAATCTGGACCTTTGCTTTCTATTCTATAAAATGAGGTTTTCCCTTATTTTCTTCTCCTTTTATTTAGCTAAGACACGATTTAAAAGCCTTTCTTGACTTAGCCTCCACCATCCTAGACTGTATCTTTTACTGAAGGGAAGGCTTGCCATGTGCTACCTGTGTGAACTTGAGCAAATGGTAAAACTCTCTGTGCCTCTTTTCCTGGATGAAAATGGAGGTAACAATAGTATCTAGCTCATAAAGTTGTTGTGAGGATTAAATGAGTGAATACATGCAAAGCACTTGAAACAGAGCCTGGCACATAGTAAGTGCACATGGATTTTGTTGTTATTAGGATTAATTCTGGCCCATATCACATGGTACCATACTTTTCTAAAGGTAGAGATTTTTATCTCTTATAAACAGAATGGTGTCAAAATGATAGGTGTAATCATCCTAATATTTTCTCCTAGGAGGTTATGAAGGTTAATCCCATAAATTCCATCATCATCAATATGACATAAATGCATTAAGTATGGCTTGGAACGTTCCTGGGATTAGCTAAGTTCATTTCAGGTTCTATAGCATTCTACTACATCCTTATGTAGAGAAAGGAATGACTCATCCTTTTGCTAATTCAACAAGCACTTTGCTAGGTACTAAAGAGATATTGAAGAACAGGACATGTTCCTTCCTTAAGAACCTCACAATTTTGTGGGAGAGAAGACATCCAGTATAGTGAAAATAGTGCTGATTATTGTTTATAACATCTATCTCTCTATATCTATCTCTATGTATCTATCATACATCTATCTCACAGTGAGGAAGGGTATATTTAACAGAATGCTCCCTATTGCAAATGATTGAAATCCAACTTAGACTCGTTTAAAGGAAATGGAGAATTTATTGGCTCATTCATTGATTCAAAAAGAAACAGCTGATCTATCTCCAGGTAAACTTTTCAAGAATTTCAAAGCGGGATCCACATCTTTAGAAACCTGCCTCTCTTTCTCTCTCCCTCTTTGCTCTGCTTTCTTCTGTGATGGTTTTTTCTGATACGTTCTCTGCATGTGGACTAAAGGTGACCACTAGATTGGTCTGCTGGTCTACCAACCTCATCTGAAATGGGGAGATCCTTTCTCAACAGCTGTAGTAAATGTCCTGGAGCTGGTCTTCATTGGTCTGGATGAGTCTTGGGTCCATCCCTGAGCCACGCACTGGGACTCTGAACTGGGACTTTAAAATCAAGCACCCACCTTGTGAAGCTGGAGGCAGGATCAGTCTCACCCAAAACTTATGAACTAAAAGTGGGATAAGTGATTTCATTGATGAAAAGTAGAGCACTGTTACCAAAAGAAGGGCAATTAGACACTGGAAAGGCAAAAACAAAAAAAGTCCACAACTGTAGATCAGCTCATCAGTCCTAGGGGATGAAGGGATGAAGTGGGGAATGGGGTTTCAAGGAAGACCCCATGGAGGAGTTGATATTTGGAATAAGTTTTGAAGGGCATTTGGAATTCAGCTGACAGATCAGAGAATTCAAGCAAAGGGAATAATCTGAATAAAGACCACAAGCTGTAAGAACATGTGGCTTATTTAGGGAAATGTGTAGGGTTAGGATATGATTTGTGGAGAAAACAGGCAATGATACAGGGAAGATGAGCAAGTATGAAGCCAGCATCAACCAAGTATGAAGACCTTTTTGTGCCCAGATGAAGATAATGAGGGCACACGTCTTCAAACCTGATGGAGATTTTTCCATATTATTTCATTCATATTTCAATAAAAGAAATTAACACAAAAAAGTTGAAGACATGAATTGTGATTTATTTATCTTTGCATATTCATTGCCTAGCACAAGGGCCTGATAAATGTTTATGGATTTGAAGTTGAAATGTAAGTTTGTGTAAATGTATGTAAATTTGTGTTGAACATACCCACATGGCATAGTGCCTGGTCCATTTTAAGTGCTCGAGAAATGTTAGCTATTATATCTTAGTGGTCATTAAGTCAATTTTTGATAATGCATATTTATCTTTTATTATGCCTCAAACTTCAGCTAATTCATGTTACTTAATCTCAGAAAATTAGAGCAAGACTTTGTAATGTATTTAATTCAAAAACATTATTTTGCAACTTGTACCCAAATCAGCAGACCCAAAAAAAAAAGCTTAATACTACTGCCTGGTGACTTGCAAAATAAAATATATAAATTAAACTGTATTTTGAAACTCTAAGAGAAAAATGGCTTATAAAAATCACACAGGAAGTGGATCTTTAAGCTTGGTGAGGATTATTTTTCATTTGAGTAAGACCGAGGTCCGTTCATTCTTCCATGAGTTTCTCAGTTAATTAATTTTATGCTCTTGCTGGCCTACCCTTTTCACTTTCCTAGAACCCCTAGGACTATATGAAATAACAGATAATCATGCTAACCACTCCTCTTGGATTATTATTCTATATTATTTTATATAAATATTGTTATTATCATAAGCACAAGATTATGAAACTAAACTTTAACTTACAGAAAACACAGAGCCAGGAAATGGCATGTAGAAACTGGAACGCCATTCCTAGTGGGAATCCCCATCTGCCTGTGGCTTGAAACCTCATGTCCAAAGCCTTAATATAATAGAAAAAAGAGGGGAGAAACCACGTATTGTTTATTCAACAAATGTTTATCAAGCACCTCCTGTGTGTCAGGAATGATTCTCAAAACTGCAGTTACAGAATCTCTGCCTGGAGACAAGGCACAGAAGCGGGTAGGAAGTGGAGGGACTGGGCCGTCAGGAAAGGGATCTCTTGGGAAGGTGAAATTGAAGAAAGACCAGAAGGAGATAAGGGAGTAGTTTTGCTGACATCAGAGGGGAGACTACTCCAGAAATGGGAACAGCAAGTGCAAAAGTCCTGAGGCCCTTATGTACCTGGTAGGATAGGGGATGACAAGGAAACCAGTGAGTCTGGGGCAGGATGGACAAAAGGGATTAAGTAGGGGATTAAGCCAGAAGGTGGCAGACTGCATGGTCCCTGAAGGCAGCTGGGAAGATCCATCATTCTTTTTCTTTGCAGAATGCCCTGTCTCCTCTGTGTGCTGCTGTTTTCTCCTTCCCTTGCCTTTTCCTTACTCAGCAGCCATTTTTCTTTCTCTTTCTCAATACCATTTATTACTTTTAACTGCCCAGAATCCCATCTGCTGTAGAAGCAGCCAGGTGATTTGGTTTTGGGAAAAGTATCTCCTCTGTTGTTTGTGTCCATCTAAGTTCTCCTCCTTCCTGCATTGCAGCTCAGCCAATCAGATTATCTCTGTCCCTGGAATGAGACTCACCAGGATGGAGAAGGATCGAAGCTGAATCAACATGACTATAGAACCCTGAAAAGATTGCGTGTTTGTTTCTGGTCCCTGGTTCTGCAAAGCTGCTGTGGTTTCTGTTCTTTCTGGGACTTGCCTGTCCAACTTTTCTCTCAATTTCATAATCTGACAAAGGCCTTCCAGTAAATTCATTTTTAACTTAACAGAGAGCCCCTAACATTGTAAATCCACCTGGGGCCCTCTTCCTGTCATGACTTATATCATATGATGTCCCCATTAATCCTAGTCCATAGACTTGTGGGAACATGTCCTTGCACAACTATAATAAATTTTTCATTATAAACTTAATTTTCAATCTGAAGAAATTGCTAAAGTTACGTATTGGGTTGTCAGGATAGTTTTTGTTTTAAATTTTAAAGCAAAGTAACTATTTTTTTCTATGATTTGACACATTAGGAAAAAGTTGATCACTACTACAAGGGACGGAATAAAGAAAAAAATAAATTACTAAACAGAAGGAAAGAAGTAGTACGTCATGATGAAGTACACAGGTTCTGGAATCAGGCAGTTTGCATCTGCAGCTCAGCTCTGCCACCTGGTAGCTATACAGTCTTAGGCAAAGACTTATCTTAGTTTGGTCAGCATCTAGAAGCAGGTGCTGACATGAGGATTCTACTGCAATAGAAGGTTCATTATCAAGAACCTTGTTATGTGGACCACTGAAGCGTAATCCTACTAGGAACCTCCAGAAGCCAGTGTGGAAAATGGATCTCAGTACTCTCTCACCCAAGTAGCAAGGGAGCTGGGGTATTTATACACCAACTCCCGTTAGTCATTGGCTAAAGTCTGCTGAGGTATGTGCCAGGGTGGGAAGTGGGCATTAATTTCCCAGCACTTCTAGCCTGCTCTGGTGGCCAGGGAAGGCCTTTAGGCAGAGAGACACAGATCCTGGCAGCAGGAAGTCAGTCAGTGTCCCGTTGAAATGGGGAGGCCCTGAGGGACTTGGGAGAGGCACTGACAGTATCCACTACACTACTTAGCTCTGAAAGCATCAGTTTCCCCATTTTGTAAAATGGGAATAATAATAGCACCACACAGGGTAGTTATGAAGATTAAATGAGACATATGCACTGCGTAGCACAAAGTTCAGTAAATATGAGCATTATGAAAGACACAAAAAGAGAAGCATGTAGAAAGCCCTGGAGGGGTGAGTAGGGAGAAGTGGGAGGTGGTGAGTTGGAAAAAAAAAATAACTTTCTTTTGAGACAGGGTCTCACTCTGTCCCCCAGGCTGGACTGCAGTGGTGCAATCACAGCTCACAGCAGCCTCAACCTCCTGGACTCAAGTGATCCTCTCACCTCAGCCTCCGAGTAGCTGGGACTACAGGTGCGCTACCATGCCCAGCTAATTTTGTTTTTTTGTCGTTGTTGTCTTTTTTTATGTTCTTTTAAGAGACAGGGTCTTGCTATGTTGCCCAGGCTGGTCTTGAACTCCGGGCCTCAAGTGATCCTCCTGCCTCCGCCTTCCAAACTGCTGGGATTACAGACATGAGTCACCACACCCGGCCAGAAAAAAAAAATAACTTTTATGAGTTAAAAATACAAAACAGTCCTCGAGAAAGGAGAAATGCCCTTCATCACATTCCAGCAGCAAACAGCCTGCCTATAAACAACTTAAGCAAAGCAATTTTTTTTTTTTTGAGACAGAGTCTCTGTCACCTAGGCTGGAGTGCAGTGGCGCAATCTCGGCTTGCTGCCAGCTCCGCCTCCCGGGTTCACACCATTCTCCTGCCTCAGCCTCCCGAGTAGTTGGGACTACAGGTGCCCCGCCACCACGCCCAGCTAAGCAACTATTTTTTTTACTATGGAGTCAGGAAGAAGGTTTGAGCAGCAAAATTCTCCATGCCCTGAAGGTTGGTAAATACAGTGGGAGGAAAGGGGAGAGAAGAGAAAGGACTGCTTTCCTGAACTGTTTGTTGCTCTTCCTTGCTGTCTCTACTAATGAGGAGGATAATCAGCTCTTTCCATACAGCAACCTCACAGGCTTCTGATGTTTCTAAAGATGAGGGAAGGGAATTTGGGTCATAAGGCATTAGTTCTATTTTAAATAAAAGAAATGAAATGAAAGCTCTTTTATTAATTTTAAATTAATTTATTTTGTTAATTTACTTTTGATGAGCCTGAGCTCTGATTTCTTTTGTTTCCAACAAACTCTGCAGCTCATACCTCCTTAGTTGGTCTTACATCTGCTCCCTCCTTAGTTCAGATCCTCCTCGCTCCTGGCATAGACGCTTCATTCAATGTTTATCCACTTCACTAATATTTATTGCAGACCTCCATTGTACCATCTGCTGTTCTCGGCACTGAGGGTCATCCCCAACAAAGTCCCTGCTCTGATGGAGTTTACACCCAAGAACGTTGTGGGTGTGGGTGTGGGTGGGAGTGGGAGAGAGGGCTGGATGGGGAGAGGAGAAGATAGATGATAGACAATTCACTATGCGTGACTCAGGAGGTGTCAAGCGCTAGAGAGCAAACCGGGGGCGCTCAGCAGTGTGAAGGTGGGTCTCACCTTTGAGAAAGAAGGTTCTCTGATAGGAAGACATTTGAGACCTGAAGGAAGTGAGGGAGGCAATCGTGCAGGTACCTGGAGAAGAGTATTACAGGCAGAGGGAAATGGCAAGCACAAAAGCCCGGGGCAGGAAAGCGACTGGTGTATTTGAAGCTCAAGAGGAAAGCCTGCGCAGCTGGAGCAGAGAGAGCAAGCGGGAGCCTGGAGGCAGCTGAAGATGACCACGGAGAGGCCGAGGTGAACGTCTGGGGCAGAGAGGGAAGGGCAGAGGGCAGACCAGGAGCAACTTGTAAAGATGTGGCGCTTTTACTGCACATGAGATAGGAAGTCAGGAGCATGATAACCAGCAGAAGAGTGACGTGATCTGACTTTTACACTTAGCAGGATCCCCCTGGCTGTTTTGAGAACAGACTGACAGGAAGCAAAGGTGGAAGCAGGAAGCCCAGGTAGGGATGCTCTTACTATAATTCAGGCGAGTGATGATGTGGTTTGCACCAGGGTGGAAATGGTGGAGGTGGTAGGAACCAGATGTGTTCTGGATCTATTTTGAACATACATCCAACAGAATTTGCTGATGAATTGTCTCTGGGGTGTATGAGAATTGACAGGAATCAAGAATGACTTAATGTGGCCAGGTGCGGTGGCTCATGCCTGTAATCCCAGCACTTTGGGAGGCCGAGGTGGGCAGATCACAAGGTCAGGAGATTGAGACCATCCTGGCTAACACGGTGAAACTCCATCTCTACTAAAAATACAAAAAATTAGCCAGGTGTGGTGGTGGGTGCCTGTAGTCCCAGCTACTCAGGAGGCCGAGGCAGAAGAATGGTGTGAACCCGGGAGGCAGAGCTTACAGTGAGCCGAGATCTCACCACTGTACTCCAGCCTGGGCAACAGAGGAAGACTGCATCTCAAAAAAAAAAAAGAATGACTTAATGTATTCAATAAAATGATGTGTACCAAATGCCAGGCACTGTCCCAGACGCAGTGAATGAAACAAACAAAAATCCTGCCCTCACGAACTTTCTCTCTAGTGGGGAAAAGAGAACACACAGAAATAACAAATTTTAAGTATGCTGGGTGGTGGTAAGCGCTAAGAAAAAAACCAAAGCAAGGATAAGATTAGGAAGCATCACGGGTAGGGGTTGTGATTATAAAGAGGGTTTCAAAAAAGCCCTCACCAAGGAGGTAGGATTGAAGTAAAGACATGAAGGAGGTGAAGGGGTGTACCACGTAGCTATCCTGGGGAACACCATTTCCAGCAGAGAGAACAGAATGTGCAAAGGTCCTGAGGTTTTAAACACATTGACTTTGAGATATCAATTAGACATCATAATGGAGCTGTCATGTGGGTAATTGTTGACATACAGTCTGGAGTTCAGGGGAGATCACTGAGACAATCTCCAAAGTAGTCCTCTTGGCATTGGGCCCACCCTACTCCAGGCAGTTGTGAGCAATTATCAAAGTTTCCCTGGGACTGATGGGTTTGCCAGGATACAGAACTTTCAGGGCTAAAACCAAGACAGTCCTGGGTAAGCTAGAGAGTTGGTCACACTAATTGCAGGTAGTCCTCCATCCTGCTGCCAGAGAGGTGCTTCTCAAATGTAATCCTAAAAAACAATGGCTCCTGAAAATCTTTGAGTTGTTCCTTCTAGCATGCAGGATAGAAGTCAACATTCTGAAGAGCTCAGTGCAAATATCCCTTCCTATTCTGGCTCCAGCATCTCTCCTGCCCCTCCCTCACTGCACCATCCCTTTCCCGCTGCCCCTGCCAGCCAGCATACCTTTCTCAACAACCATCCAGCTCTCTGGCATTCGCGCTTCCTGAATGCATGGTATATTAGTTTGTTCCCTGCTAATAAAGACATACCTGAGACTGGGTAATTTATAAAGGAAAGAAGTTTAGTTGACTCACCGTTCCACAGGGCTGGGGAGGCCTCAGGAAACTTACAATCATGGTGGAAGGGAAGCAAACAAGTCCTTCTTCACACGGCAGCCACAAGGAGAAGTGCCAAGCAAAAGGGGGGAAAGCCCTTTATGAAACCATCATATCTCGTGAGAACTCACTCACCATCATGAAAACAGCATGAGGGTAAGCACCCCCATGATTCCATTGCCTCCCACTGGGTCCCTCCCATAAAGTGGGGATTGTGAGAACTACAATTCAAGATGAGATTTGGGTGGGGACACAGCCAACCCATATCACATGGGGATGTTTTAAACCACCCCAACCCCGGTCTTCTCATAGCCTAATTTCTTTGCCCACCTTTCCCCTGGCCTTCCGCTTCTGTGTGTAGTAAAAATTCTTCTCTTGCTTAAATCTCATTTTGAACACACCTCCTGGAAGCCTTCTAGCTCCACGACCAGGGTACTCTCTCTGTCCTGCTGAGGGCTGAATCCTGGCTTGGTGGATCCAGAAGCTTGTACAATTTGGGGGCAGCTTTAAGAAAAATAATAAGTTACAAATTTAGGTATAAAATGAGTACTTATTTAGAAGGGACACATGTAAATGAGGAGTCCTGAGGCGGAAGAATGACAGTAAATTGGCCTCTGATCCTACCTTTTCCATTCCATGCAGTAATTGTAGGTTTCTGGGGATTAAAAGACGTGAGGTGACCCACTTGTGTGAAATGGCCAGGTAGGCCTCCTGGCCAGAGTAAGTGCTTAATAAATATTTCTTTCTCCTCTTTTCCCACCGTGGGGTTCTGCCTGCCTTTCATCAGTCACATCCTCCAAAGGCTGGGCAACAAGCCAGGAAATGATGCTGTTTTCTGTGAATACAGGAACTGATTTAGCTCAGCTGTCTTACATTTCAGAATCAAGATCCATGTTTTAGCTGAAATATTTTCCCTGCCACGGATGAGTTAAGATGACTTAATTGATCCTTTGACCCTTATATTTTGTCAGCAGGTCAGAATGTATGTCTCTAATGTGACACTGTGTATTCGAACTGACTCCAGAGTCTGTAAATAAGGATGGAAGAGTGCTGTTTTCTGCTATTTAAGCAAATCAATGTTATTGTTTTAAAGGGACCAACTTCCTTCCTTGTAAATCTAAGTATATAATAAATTAATAATTCATCTTCCCTGAAATAGTTATTATAGGCATTCTGCTGTCTGAGAAAAACAAGTTGTCTAAGAATTGGATGCTTGTGGGTAACACCACCACCATCAATCACAGCGACTCCGTCTGTTGCTTTCAGTCATTTGTCCAATGCCCACAACAACCTTGGGAGGTGGTAGAGTGTCTCCATTTTAAATGTGAAGAAACACAGAAGATATCAAATAACTTATGCAAGGTTACAGAGCCAGTAAGTTCTAGAGGCAGTATTTTTTTTTTTTTTTTTGAGATGGAGTCTCACTCTGTCACCCAGGCTGGAGTGCAGTGGGCAAGATCTCGGCTCACTGCCACCTCCACCTCCTGGGTTCAAGCAATTCTCCTGCCTCAGCCTCCCAAGTAGCTGGGATTACAGGTGTATACCACCACGCCTGGCTAATTTTTTTATTTTTATTTTTAGTAGAGATGGGGTTTCACTATATTGGCCAGGCTGGTCTCGAACTCCTGACCTCAAATGATCCACCTGCCTCAGCCTCCCAAAGTGCTGGAATTACAGACGTAAGCCACTGCGCCCAACCTAGAGACAGCATTCTAACTTGTCTCTTGTGGGCATGCCACCACTCTCTCTGTAGGGGAAACATTACAGTCCGCAGTGTCGGCTCTTACCAAGGACAGCAACCCCTTGAACTTCCTTCTAGATGAACCATTCTGCTTCTTTGTATTGCCTGGATAAAGCCCAATTCTCTGTGCCACTTCAGAAGCCAACAATCCCAACCAGTCCCTGGTCTCACAGGCTGAGGCATGTGTTTGGACCAATAAAGATCTTCAGATGATGCCCCTGTGCCCTCAGCTTTTGAGTTTACCTAGCTCACCTTGGTGTTTGTTAAATGTTGTTCAAGTGGCTGTAACATTCAGTCACTGCTTTTTTTTGGATAGAAATCGCCTGCTGATGATGATGGATGATGGTTAAATCTACATGGACTTACTTACATGCCAAGAATGTGCTAAGAGCTTTACAAATTTTCGTTTAATTCTTGCAACAACCCTATGAGTTAAATATTAATGTCCTCATTTTTATTTAACTGAAATACCTAAGGACTAAAAAGGTACAGGAAGAAAACTAGTTTTAGATCACCTAGGTAACTACTAACCAGAAGAGCTAGGATACACACCAGGATCTAACCAATCCACAGTACAATGCTGCCCTTAGCCACTGTGCTATTTCTAGTGGGAGAAGGGTCAGTATTATTCATTAACTAGCATAAACTCTAGCCAGATTTAGGAGATACATTTATTTCTAGGCAAAGAGTATTTATCTATCAATCTATCTATCTATCTGTCTATCTATCTATCTATCTATCTATCATCTATTCACTCATTGACACAGACTGTTCCTTTTTCCTGGAATATTATACTGCTCTCTCTTTATTTATGGAGCTAACCTCCTTATCATCCATCAAGTCTCATTTTTAAGTTTCACATCCTAGCCTGACCTAGTGTCTTATCTCTGCACCCTCATGGTACACTGCCTATCCTAGCCAGGGGTGGCTCTATGTTTTGTGGGCCTGACGCATGAAGTACAGTCATTGAGAATGACTTAAAGGGTAAGCAAAGGTAGAAACTCAGGGTAACTAGAACTTAACGCGCATTTCCTCTTCAGGTTTTGGTTTTTCTGAAATGCTCGATAAAGCATCATCACAGCCCTATATTGCTTTGTGCTTAATCCAAGTATTTGGGTTTTATTTCTCCAGGATATGATATCATCTCACCTTGGTAGATAGATCAAAGTTCAAACAATTTAAAACTCTAATTGCTGTAATTCAGATTTGAGTTGCTGAGCTTTATATTCAGCACCCCTAAAAGTTGTATCCCCAATAGAAAAGTGGGAGCAAACAGTGCTGACCCAACCTGAGGCTCTAATTGCCAGCACCTGCCATTATAGTTTCAGTGGTCAGCTTAATTTGCAATGTGTAATTATTCGAGCTATTTTTGCTTATACAGACTTTGTTGAAATCAGGTCATGACAAATATTGTACTGTATTAACCGATACTAAAACTTAGGGATGCTTTTTTCTTGCACACAGTAACAGGAACTCAGCAAGATGTTATTAGCCACATCTTACCTGTAAGAGAACTGAAGCTGAGAGGTATGATCTCCTAAAGCCACACAAGCTAGTGAAAAGCAGAACAAACCAGGTTGATTACAAAGTGAGTGTCTTTTGTAGTGTGCCACCCCAGAATCAAATCAGAAAAAAACCCCAAATCTTATGGCTTCAGCAATCACATTAGAGATTTACATTTCTGTGTACAAATTAGTCTTACTAGAGTAGAATACATTTAACACGGACAATAAGTATAATCAATATTTCTGCACGTGGTATTTCTAAAAAGCCTGCATTGGAGCTACCTGGGTATTATTGCTTCCTATTTACTTCACTTTGTTGCCAATCATGGAATTGACCTGCTATTGATACAAGTGAGCAGATGAATACCTTGAAACATTTTGTGAATTTAGGTGTGGTCATTCCTCTTGTTAATATTTCAGCTCAAACCAGAATCTTTGCTTACAAATCCCAAGACATTTCTAAAGTTAACTCTAGATTCTTGGTCCTCAGTGGGAATTGAAGTATAGCTAAGAGTTGACCTTCAAAGTCCCTTTATGATTCCTGGATGCTGGTTGAGGGCACCATGGCGTTAAACCAGGCTTCCTCCAAATTCTCCTTCTCTGTCAATTAAGTGAAACAGCCCTGTGTCATTTCTCATTTCCCCTCTTCTGTGGCACAAGCCATTTATCATCTGAATAAGTGGACTTGAAATTACAGATGGCACCTATGCCCCCTTTCTCCCTCTACCCCAGGGCACACTTCTTGGGAGTAAAACAGAGACAATGGGCTTACATTGACAGTAGGAAGACATATTTCCTTTACATCTCTCCCACCATCCCTTCATTACTATATGGTCATGAGTCCATCTTAACATTTCTCCCAATTATTTCTGGAAAATCAGGGTTGGGGAGCTCATGGGCTCACCAGTTCAAGCTCCTATGCTATCATCTGATAGCCACCATGGAGGTCTTTGGGGAGGTCTCAGGCTCACCAAGCTGCACCAGCACAGTACTCCCGCTGGTGTCCACCAGAGGGCACTGGCTCCCATGGAGGCTATGGGTCCCACCAGAGCTGCACCCAGGGCCCTCCCTGTGGCCCACCACTGCGGCCACCTCCCTACTGCACCCTCTAGAGTCCCACCCTGCAGCTGCTCTGTTAGGAGGGAGGAAAGTTTCTTTCTGTGCCTTTTAGCCCCCGCCCCACACCAAGTGTAGCCCAAAGGAAAGCTGACTTGTGTTCAGATACTCACAGATGTGAGATGTGTGAGAGCAGCTGTTAGTTTTTACTCGTAGCGCCTCCTCTAGGCTTCGGATGAGAGTGCCTGGGAGCTGGGCTGCACTATACGCAAACCACTCCTCCTGCCTGGACATTGTTGTTGGACTGAATTGTGTGCCTTGATCTCTGTCCTTAGGATGAACTCTTCCAGGAGAATCTAATAGCTCTTTAAGCAAAGAGACTGCTGCTAGGCCCACCCACCAGTCCCTGCCCTATGCAAGTGAATCCTAGCAGGGGAAGAGATTACTCTGCAACTAAGACCCTTGGAATTGCAGTACAGTGAAATCACCTGCTTCCAGCCCTCAACTCCAAAACATCTAGGATGATTGACCTCCACAAAGCAAGCCCAGCACTTTCTCCCGACTTGAGGCAGATTTTTCAGGCATGAAAGGTCACAGCTGCACCCTCACTCCCATTCCAACCCCACCAAGGAGTTGGCAGAAAGTCCAGGCCAGCTGAAAACCCAGCCGTGGGATAGCCTGCTCCAGCCAGCAACTGTGTGTCACCTCCACTGATCTCCTGGGCCTGAGCAAGTCAGGATATATGTCAGCTCCCACCTGGGGTGGCTACTTCTTAATGTTGCTGAGGTCCTTAGAGCAGGAGCCAAGAAAAATGCAGCAATTGTGAGACTCTGCAATTCTGGAATCTCTGTTAAATGCTTGAGTTGTGAAGGTGCAAACATAAACCTCATTATCTCTTTTCTGGGAATTTTGCTTTTCCAAAAGAGTATTTGCCACTAGCCCCTTTGACAGCGGCAAACATAAGGATATTGTGGGTTCTGACAGAACAAATTTCCTTCTGGAAATAGTTGCAGAAAGAGGACAAAGGAGGCCAAAATGAGTGCAAGTGGGTAGCAAAAACTCAACATACCAACCCCAGTGTTGTTCCCTGCCACCTCCTCCCCCTGCTTGCACTTCAGCTTGAGTTGGG
Source organism: Homo sapiens (assembly GCF_000001405.40). Lineage (NCBI taxonomy): Eukaryota > Metazoa > Chordata > Mammalia > Primates > Hominidae > Homo > Homo sapiens. The sequence continues at coordinate 100,671,043 of NC_000012.12, read as the reverse complement.
AATGCCTGCTGCCAAAAGTGCCAGTGCAGTTAAATGCTGCTTAGCCTCACCAGTGGCTTCTCTCTCACTTGGAGAAATAATAACTAGTCAAATGCTGAAGATCCTCCAGGCATATTAATGATCTGTTCATGTTGTTTATAGGACAAATGGAATGACTATAACCAAGATGCTGACAGTGAGTGATGATTACTATCTGACAAAGCACTATTCTCAGTAAAGTCTGGTTTTCATCTGGGGAGACTGAGGGAAAATTCAAAGGCGCAAAGCAAATGGCAGAAGCCTGGCAGATTTTTGTACCGGTTTCTAACATTCATGGATTCCCTAGCATGCTCCAGGCACTGTGAAGTGGTTACTTAGTTATCTCCTTAATCTACACAACAGGTACCTCTGAAGTGAGTACTGTGATCCTTACCTATAGCCAAAGAACCCTGGTAACTTATCTAGGCTTCCACAGTGGCAAAGAAAAATATCCCTAAGGGATTCTGACCAAGTCCTTAAATCATTAGCACCATTGGTCAAGACTCAGTTGCAAGAGACAGAAACCCAGCTCAACGTATGCACCATCTAACTAACTTCAGGCATGGCTAGATCCATGGATCTAACCATGTCACATGCACTAACTCCATCTCTCCTCATTGATCTTTTTATCTCAGTTTGCCACAGCTTCATTCTGTGTGTGTCGTAAACTTTATTCTCTTCTGCAGCAGAGCTTCCCCTTATACAATCGGGAAGCTGAACACAAATAGTTCCAGCCAACATTATCATTTATCTCATGATCCCAGAGGAAGAGAGAGCCTTTCTTTTTCAGAATCCATGTGTAATCTCTCAGGGGAGATGCTGGCTCCATTCAGGTCACATTGCATCTATCCTTAAACCAGTCACCACAGTGGGGAGTTGAGTCCCGTGACTGACAGCCCACTGAGATCACATGAAGAGCGAAGCAGTGTCTCTGTGAAAGGAAGGTTACTGGACAAAACCCAGATGCCTATTAGAAGCAATTTAATAGAACTAATTGGGACTTAACTTAGATGGAGTCCCTTATGAACTTGGGTCTGCCAGTTTTCATGGGATTAATTTCTTTTTGTTTTACAATCTCTCGTGTGTGGGATATACTTGTTAAAATGGGATCAGAAGAACACACCAGGAAGCCCCAACCAGGTTTGTGTGTGTGTTAGAATTAATTTTAAAGTGAGTGGCTAGCAGTTTTCTTTCTAGAATAAAACTGGCCTGGACACTCCAAAAATGGTCATTTCATAAAAGGAAAAAAAGAAAATAACGCTGAGGAACCACACCAGATTAAGGAGACTCAAGAATCATGACAACTAAATACAGTCTGTGATCTTTTTTATTAGATCCTGGATTTAAAACTGTATATTAAAATGGCATTATTGTGACAATTTTTCAATCTTAGTATCTCTAGGTTAGATAATGATATTTCATTAATGTCACATTTCCTGAGTGAGACTGTGGTTATATGGAAGAATGTCCTTGTTATTAAGGGGCACATGCTGCAGTATTGGCGGATGAAGAGTCGATTATGCAACTAATTTTCAAATGGCTCAGAAAAAGATATATACACACAGATATAAGGAGAGAAAAAATAGAAACTATAGCAAAATATTAAGAATTGATGAATCCAGGTGAAAGGTATATGGGTGTTCATTATAACACTGTACTATTCTTGTAACACTTCTCTAGATTTCAAATTTTTCTAAATACAACATTGACGAGAAAAGAAAAAATTAAGGTACAGCCTCATAACAATCTAAAATTTAACTCCCCCACCCATAACGCAGAAAGTAAAGTCCAAAAAATTCAATCGTGTAAATGTGAGGTCATTTAGTGCCAGGCTAGTTACGTGACTGAGGATTTAACAGCCAGGGTTGCAGGAGTCCAAACTGTCCAGGTCCACTGCTGCTGGCGCCACCTGGTGGCAGTTATCCGCTGAAGGCTGGGGATTTGTTCTGGGTCCTATTGGTAGTGATGCCAGGAATCTGCAGGTGGTAGCACCCCTTTCCTCAATCAGATCCAGGAGCTTGCCCAGGAGTATTCCGACAACAAGGAGACCCACCCTCTTGTTTCCTGCTTTCCAAGAAGGGTTGCAGGTCGTGGGCAGGGGTCGAGGTGAAACACTCTGGGTCTAGTCCACGTGGGAAGCACTGGCATCCAGCACCTGCTGCGATAGCAGGCGGCGGGCTCTGCCACTCTGCCTGCAACAAAGTCCCTGGCTATGGAAACCTAATGACCACTAGTTCAATGAGGAAGTGCTTGGAAGAGTTTGATGCAGTTGCCTGTATCAAATCATGGCTGAGAGGGGAACATCACTTTGTCAGTGCAGCAAGGTCAGAAGAAAGATCACACTACTAATTTTTAAAAGTCAACAAACAGTTGAGAGACTATTAAAATTATTGGATACATTATTTGCACTCCAACTTACATCATTTAAAGCAGTTTTATTACAGAATAAAAGGGAATGTATTTTAAATTTTTATTTATACTTTTTTATAGAATTTTTTCTTTTTCTGTTTTTTTGTTTTTTTGTTTGTTTGAGATGGAGTCTCACTCTGTCGCCCAGGCTGGAGTGCAGCAGCATGATCTCGACTAACTGCAACCTCCACCTCCTGGGTTCAAGCAATTCTCCTGCTTCAGCCTCCTGAGTAGCGAGTAGCTGGGACTACAGGCGCACACCACCACACCTGGCTAATTTTTGTATTTTTTTCTAGTAGAGATGGGGTTTCACCATGTTGGCCAGAGTGGTATTGAACTCCTGACCTCAGGTGATCTGCTCTGCCCTCAGCCTCCCAAAATGGTGGCCATAGATTAATTTTAATTTCAATACATCACACCCGACTCATAGATTAATTTCAATTACCATATTGTTTTAAAATATTTTAATATCACCTGTGCATGAAGGTATGTTTTATTTTTGTTTTTGTTTGAGATGCAGTCTTGCTCTGTCACCCAGGCTGGAGTGCAATGGCATGATCTCACTGCAACATCCGCCTCCCAGGTTCAAAGGATTCTCGTGCCTCAGCCTCCTGAGTACCTGGGACTACAGGCGTGCACCACCATGCCTGGCTAATTTTTTGTATCTTTAGTAGAGACGGGGTTTCATCATGTTGGCCAGGCTGGTCTAAAACTCCTGACCTCAAGTGATCTGCCGGCCCTGGCCTCCCAAAGTGCTGGGATTACAGGCATGAGCCACTAAGCCCAGCCAAATGTGTTTTGAATACCAACCTGTACACACACCACTATATATACATACATACATATATACACATATATACATACGTGTATAAACACCAAAAGTTATTCTAGCCTGTTTTCTGAATGGAAAATTGGTCATACGGTACCACTTGTAGGTGTCCTTTCCCTACTGTTTTATTCTTTTTTAAATCTTGTTAATCCAGATAGTGTTTATGGTATGATTTATTTAACAGTACCATCTGCGTATGGTATGACTTACGACTTATATCTTGCCTATTTTAAGAAAAGATTTGAGGTGGTTTATGATACTCAATCATATATAAATCAAGGCAATAGGGCCGGGCGTGGTGGCTCACGCCTGTAATCCAGCACTTTGGGAGGCCAAGGTGGGTGGATCACAAGGTCAAGAGTTCGAGACCAGCCTGGCCAATATGGTGAAGCCCTGTCTCTACTAAAAACACAAAAATTAGCCGGGCGTGGTGGCGCTCGTGTTTAGTCCCAGCTACTCGGGAGGCTGAGGCAGAAGAATTGCTTGAACCCGGGAGGCAGAGGTTAATCGCCTGAACCGGGGAGGTGGAGGTTGCAGTGAGCCGAGATCTTGCCACTGCACTCCAGCCTGGGTGAGACTCTGTCTCAAATAAATAAATAAATAAATAAATAAAACAAGGCAATGAAAAAAGATTAAGATGAAAAACCATAAAAGAGGGGTGAACATGAGGTAAGCTAAATAGTCACAATTTTAGCTTTAAATTTCAGGGGGAAACAAAATGAAACAAAATGAGCTCTTGCTTCTAGACCCTCACCTCCAAAGGACAGCCAGAGTTTATTCTGGCTAGAAGGACACCCAGGAGAGCAGGACAATTGGAGCCAAGGAGTCTCTCAGTAGCAGCATCTGGTGACACCAGAACCAGAGAGTGGCTTCATGAAGACCAAGAGACCAAGAGGCCAAAACTCCATAGGCCATGAATGGCTCTCAGAATGGGTTGGCCAAGCCCAGGGCCAAAGGCAGGAACTGCACCACTAAGGACACAAGCAAGGAGCAGCAGTTGGGGTCAGGAAAGAGCATTCCTGAGTGACAGCTGTGGGCAGCAGCTGGAACTGCAGGGCCGGCCTTGAGGTGGAAAGGAAAACAGGGCTTCAAGGACCAGGGATACAGAGGACACTGATATAACTCTGCATCATTAAAGAAATCTGTGTTTATCTTTCATTGAAGGGCATAGTAACATGGCAACGATGAATTTTGTAAATGATACAGAAACATTCTTCTCATGAATGCTTCTCCTTGACAAAAGATAGGACACGTAGTAAAAAAAATAAAAATTTAAATTAAAAGGCTGAATAAGAGCTAAATGCATTTTGTGCAAATCAGTAGCATTTCTACATACCACTGAGAAGCAATTAGGAAATATAATGAGAAGGAGATTCCAGCTGCAGCAGCAAGAAAAAGATAAAGTAGCAAAGTACCTGGGAGTAATTTTTTACAAGAAATGTGCGTGACCTCTATAAAGAAAACCCAAAACTTTACTGAGAGAGTTAAAATTGAGTTCCATTAATCAATCTTTGATTAATGGGAGGGTATGCCAGACTGGAAAACTTAAGAAACGTCTTAAGATGTCAGTTCTTCACAAACTCACTTATGGATTAATGGCTCCCAAATGAAATTCCAATGGGGGAAAAAAGAAAAGGAAAATGTTTTAAAGTTTACATGAACAAAGATGAATAGTAATTAACTTTAAAAAGTCAGTATATGTGTTCTTGGTAGGGTGGACAAATGATGGTGAAGAGTTCCACATTGTAGAAAATTCCAAAGCAATAACTGAAATAGTCTTCCAAGAACAGAGATCACAGTAGGGTCTATAAGAGATATAGACTGGATTATATATAATAATTTCATGTCTATTTTTTCAAAAAGGCACCACGAAATAATGTGGAAGAGAAGAATAATTCAATCAATGGTGTTAGAATACTTGGTTAGATATTTGGCAGAAAAGTCATTATGTCACACATTCATCCCAATGCATTTCAAGTGGATGAAGACTTTATATTTAAAAATCAAACCCTAAAAGAACAAGAGAAAATAAAATAAATATTTGTCAAATTTCTAGGGGCAGTGTAACTTTTCAAACTTGGGAGTAACTGAAGAAGTCGTAAGAGTTAAGAGATTTCACTGCACACAATTTAAAACACCTTCATATAAAAATACATAACCAAACAAAAGATAGGTCAGGCATGGTGGCTCACGCCTGTAATCCCAGCACTTTCGGAGGCCGAGGTGGAAGGGTCGCTTGAGCTCAGGAGTTCAAGACTAGCCTGGACAACATGGAGAAACCCCGTCTCTACAAAAAATACAAAAGTCAGTGGGACATGATGCCCTGTACTCCCAGTTAGTTAGTCAGGAGGCTGAGGTAGGAGGATCACATAAACCCAGGAGGTTGAGGCTGCAATGAGCTGTGATGGCACTACAGTTGAGCCTAGGTGACAGAGCGAGACTCTGTCTCAAAATAAACAAACAAAACACACACACACACACACATACACACACAAGATAGACTGGGAAATATATACTCAACAAGGGCAAAGGCAAGGATTAATATATTTTACCCTTATGTAATAACGAGTATGCCAATTAGCAAAAGGACCACTAAGACGGGTAGGAATAAAAATGAGCAAAGGACATGAATAGAACTTGTCAGCCACAGTAGTCGTCAAGGAAATGAGAATAAAAAGAACAACAAAATAGCATGTTTTATTTCTTAGTTAAATATGTATATTTTACTACACAGAGACTACCCAGAGTTGAAGAAGGGGAGAGGTACTAGGAAAGACAAGTTCTTAACCCTACCAGTGGCATTGGAAATCAAGAAAAGACATTCAAGGCTGGGCATGGAGGCTCACTCTTATAATCCCAGCACTTTGGGAGGCTGAGGCAGGCAGATCACTTGAGGCCAGGAGTTCGAGACCCACCTGGCCAACATGGTGAAATCCTGTCTCTACTGAAAAAAATATATATATACAAAAATTAGCTGGGCAGCTGGGCGCGGTGGCTCACGCCTGTAATCCCAGCACTTTGGGAGGCTGAGGCGGGCAGATAACCTGAGGTCAGGAGTTCAAGACCAGCCTGGCCAACATGGTGAAAAATACAAAAATACTAAAAATACAAAAATTAGCCAGATGCGGTGGTGTGCGCCTGTAATCCCAGCTACTCGGGAGGCTGAGGCAGGAGAATCGCTTGAACCTGGGAGGTGGAGGTTGCAGTGACCCAAGATCGCAACACTGCACTCCAGCCTGGGTGAGGAAACGAGACTCCATCTCAAAAAAATAATAATAATAATAAGCTGGGCATGGTGGCACATGCCTATAATCCTAGCTACTCTGGAGGCTGAGGCACTGAGGTTGCAATCAGCCAAGATCACACCACTACACTCCAGCCTGGGCAAGAGTGAGACCCTGTCTCAAAAAAAAAAAAACAAACAAACAAACAAAGAAAGAGAGAGAGAGACAGAGAGAGATAGAGAGAGACAGAGAGAGCAAGAGACAGAGAAAAGAAAAAGTAAGAAGAAAGAAAGAAAGAAGGAAGGAAGGAAGGAAAGAGAAAAGACGTTTAATAGCAGTTAGTGATATTTACCAAGAACTATAAAACCATTCTTTAACATTGACCAGTAATCCTAATAAAATTAAGGTATTTCTGACAAATAGAAATATTTTTAGATTAGTTGCACTAAAGGATTCTTTTGTTTGCAGCCAAAAGGACATGATTTAAAGTTGACCTGCAAACTTTTAACATCCCTGTTGCTGAAAGTATTTTTCCCTCCAGGACACCATCTTTCTTCTGCCTATGAATGCATTTGTGGATGATTATAAGCCTGATGATAAAGTAGACTAACTGGTAAATCTCAGGGTGGCTTAGAGTTCTTTCTTCTCTTAATAATGTGACCAGTCTTTCATCTAATAAGTATTTTTTGAGCACAATCTGTATGCATACCACTGGAAGAGGTACATAGATTTGTAAGATACAACTCCTGCCTCTGGGAAGCTTAGACCCTGGTAGAAGAGTTTATACGTCATGTTTAGGAGCATCCAAGCAAAAATCCAAAGTAGAAAACAAAAGTCACTCTTTGAAGTACCAGATGCATTGTGACATTTCTATTTTGAAATAGGTACTGTATGTACATCACACCATCTTCCATGCAAGTTTCTAGAATGAGATATATTGCTAGTCTCAAGTTACTTCATTAGTAGATGAAAAAAGTGACAGAAACTCAGTAGAGATTCTTTGCAAATAAGCATCCCCAAGGTGAACATCCTTGTCAGAGGCTCAGACACAGTAAGCAAGGGATAAACCATTAACCACACACATCGACAGTTCTAGGGGAGAAGCAGGAGAGCTGGAAAGATCCAGAAAGATAGCAAGCTGCTTCTCTACCTCGGGGATTCATTATATGGTAGCTATTCTGACCTGAACAAGAGTGAGTCTGGCATACTAACATTTGAACCAACCATCCCCAAGATCTAGGATCTGCAGATACACCTTCCTGGGCTCTCTAGCCCTGGTGCAAAACGAAGGGTCTGACTACAAGATCTTTATTCTCAGTTGAGAAATTTGTTCAACTTTTTTCTTCCATGAGGAACCACATTCTCTTTTCACGTGTGTGTTTGCGTAGGTTTTTATGTATAAAGTCTGGCATAAAGTAAGCACACACAAAAAAAATTTGGATAAAGTTAATCCAGGCAGCTGCATCTTAAGATGCTTTTTTTTTTTTTTTTTTTTTTTGAGACAGAGTCTCGCTCTGTCGCCCAGGCTGGAGTGCCGTGGCATGATCTCGGCTCACTGCAAGCTATGCCTCCTGGGTTCATGCCATTCTTCCACCTCAGCCTCCTGAGTAGCTGGGACTACAGGCGCCCGGCTCATTTTGTTTTTGTATTTTTAGTAGAGACAGGGTTTCATCGTGTTAGCCAGGATGGTCTCGATCTCCTGATCTCATGACCTTGTCCTCCCAAAGTGCTGGGATTATAGGCGTGAGCCACCGTGCCCGGTCAAGATGCTTTTTTAAGGAAAGAAGCTCATGTCTAAGATTATTCCATAGAAACTGGTTTTTCCCCAAAACTTATGCTTCATCTTAGCTTTCATTTATGATCCTATTTCTTTTTTTTTTTCTTTTCTTTTTTTTTTTTTTTTTTTTGAGACAGTCTTGCTCTGTCACCCAGGCTGTAGTGCAGTGGTGCGATCTCGGCTCACTGCAACCTCTGCCTCCTGGGTTCAAGCAATTCTCCTGCTTCAGCCTCCCAAGTAGCTGGGATTACAGGTGTGTGCCACCACGCCTGGCTAATTTTTTTGTATTTTTAGTAGAGACAGGTTTCACCATGTTGATGAGGCTGGTCGCGAACTCCTGACCTCGTGATTCGCCTGCCTCGGCCTCCCAAAGTGCTGAGATTACAGGCGTGAGCCACCGCATCCGGCCTTATGATGCTGTTTCTTACAACTACTGCATACTTGGTTTATATGGATTTTATTTTTCTCCTAGAGACCTAAGCAGTGAATAGAGGTTAATTTGTTATCTAGTCCATTGATTTTTCTCCTAAGAAAATGGGTTTCTTTTTCAGCATTTTCATCTATTAATTGCTACTTATACCATAAGTCGCTTCTCCAAGCTAACTTATGTTAATGTCTGTGGACCCAGAAAATCTGAGACAGGTCTCAGTTAATTTAGAAAGTTTATTTTGCCAAGGTTGAGGACATGCACCCGCCACACAGCCTCCAGAAGTCCTGACGACATGTGCCTAAGGGGTTTGGGGCACAGCTTGGTTTTATACATTTTACGGAGACCTGAGATATCAATCAGTATATGTAAGAAGTACATTGGTTCGGTCTGGAAAGGTGGGACAACTCAAAGCAAAGGCAGGAAACGTGGAGGAAGCTAGGAGGCGGCTTCCAGGTCACAGGTAGGTGAGAGACAAACCGTTGCATTCTTTTGAGTTTCTGATTAGCCTTTCCAAAGGAGGCAATCAGACGTGCATTTATCTCAGTGAGCAGAGGGAAAACTTTGAATAGAATGGGAGGCAGGTGCCCTAAGCAGTTCCCAGCTTGAATTCTCTCTTTAGCTTAGTGATATGGGCCCAAGATATTTTCCTTTCCCATGTCTAACATATTTTCTGAGTCATGTAACACTTCCTGTGGTTACTGTCATATCTGGCCATGATTGTTTGAACTCATACTTCATTCTTATTTCTAAACTCTCTAGAGTATTGCAGATATGTAGGAGGTCTCCAAGGGAACCCCCAATGAATAGGACCCTTCTCTGTCCAGGTTCTGAGCAATTTGGGAAATAAACTAATGACTAAAGATAGAAACCAAAATAACAACGTTATTCATTACAGAAGCTAGGTGGAAGGGCAAAGTTTAGGGTAGTAACTGAATGAGCCTGCTGACAAGATTAGGAGATTTAAGCACCAAATTCCAGGAAGAAATGAATCCAAAAAGCTGTCCTATCCCCTTACCTTTTAGAACTGAAGAGCAGAGTAGAATTTCTCTCTGGTCCGACAGTCTCCTTCCATAAGAGAAAAAAGTGTGAAATTCTTCTCAAATTTACCAATCAAGGAAGTTACTACCTCCCTGGGGTGGGCTGAGAAAAGGGAAAGGAGCCAGGAGTTAAACTGACTGAGAGTTCTTCATAGGAAAGAGACATCATGAGATGGGAAGAAGGGTTCCCCACGAATAAGATGCACATCAAGAAGCAATAACAAGAAAGGGAAAGAGAAAGGAACTGGAAATCAAAATATTTGTCACTCGTCCTGATTCTGACATATTTTCTGGCTATGAGGACTTGAGCAAATAATATCTCCCTGAGCCTCAGTTTTCTCATCTGTAAAATGGAGATAATAATATCTCTTCTTGACCATCAAGAATAATAATACAAGATAATAATTTTTGTTTTATGATTAATTCATTAATTCTTGTATTAATAATAATACAAGAATAATACAAGGCTGTATTATTTCACTACAGGGTGACATGAAATAATATGGCCTAAAAAACTGTTGAACATGAGGACATGATATTAGCAAATGGAAACTTACACAAATCCTCAATGAAAATCATAAGATAACGAGTTTGATCCTTTAGTGGATGGTTTCTTCCTCTCAGCTTCCAAACAGAGCATAGCTATTTTTAGTCTTGCTTCCTAAAATGCTCCTATTTTTTTTCAGCCGCCTTCAGTACAGTTCTCATTACAGCTGTAAGGTGACCAGAGATTCCCGAGGACTTCCTGGACATTTCCGTCTTAGGCCCTACATTTTGCTCCCTGGATTGTGTATTCTGCTTGCCCACAGCCATGGTACAGATGAAAGCTCTGAACTGGTTTGTCTAAGGAAGGAGATGCCTAGCTCCTTGGAGGCTTGTTCCAGCTGACCCTAACAATAGCTTGATTCTTCCTAATTGATAGGGAGGAGCTCGGAGGCAAACCTGTTCCTCCTCTGAGGTCCCTGTCTCCATGAGTAGCAGCAGCAGCCACCTCTCAGTTGCTAAGCTAGAAACCTGGGCTTCATCACTGGCTCCTCCAGCACCCTCCACATCCCACATAGTTATTTATTGAAACTTTCTGTGAGTTAGGTGATTTTAAAAATGCTATACAGATCTTGTCTTTCTTAATCATTAATACAACCCCATGAAGTAGGTCCTATTTTTATTTCCAGTTTACAGTTGAGGAAGCAAATGCCCAGAGAGGTTAAGTAACTTGCCCAAGTCCGACAGCTGTGGTTTTATTGGCATTCGAACTTCCACATTCTATCACTGTCAAGTACTGTATATTTTATCTCCCAACTGTTTTGAAGTCTTCTCCCAACTCTTCACTCCTACAATCTTTGTTGACTTGCATCCCTCATCGTCTCTCCACCAAACTGTTGCAGCATCTAACTGAAATGCCCCTCCCTCTTTTCTTGGACTCTGCCTACCCTCTTCGAACACATTTTCCCTGCTTCTGCTCACCCCACATCTTCCACATACCCTGAGTATTTTCAATTCCCGCAATACAATACAATTTCAACTCCCAGAATGCAATACAAGTGTCAAGTGTCCATGTCTTTGAATGTGGTTTTCCACTTTCCCTAAACTTTCCATTTAGCAAACTCCTACTCAATCTTCAGGACCCAGTTCAAGTGTCTTCTACTATACAAAGACTTCCCAGCCATCACAAGCACGGTTGATCACTCCCTTCTTTGTGTCTTAAAAGTGTTCGTGTGTGTCTTAAAAGTGTTTGTGTGTTTGAATATCTGTTTACCTGTTTGTGTTCAAAACTCACACGATCTCCATGATGACAAAGAGAATAACTATTGCGTTTATTAGATGCCTACAATATGCCAGGAAGTCTGCTAGGCAATTTATAGTCTTCATTTCTGCTCTTTACAACCACCTTGCATGGACTATCCTAATACTTCCATTTTACAGATGAAAACACTAGGGCCTGCTGGTCTTTGTATAACTATACTTAATACAGTTCTGTGCAGAGGCATTGAATAAATGTTTGTTGAATTTAAAAAAAAACAAGTGAGTGATTTCATAATTCACAATTATCTTGTGAAACAATGTGAAACAATGCATTTAAATACACCTCATCCAACCAAAGAAACTCAAGTTTAGATAAAAATGTCCTAGAGCTATAATCTATATGTGAATTTTTTTCATTGTGTCCTATTTAACTTTATCCAAACATATTTGATATATTTTTTCTGCTTTATTTTTTTCTTTCAGACTTTTATTTTTTTAATCAAATAAGCTAATTTCCAGTCACAGTGAAGAAGTAAGAGCACATGGAACTTTTTTTCCAACCCAGATACATCAAAATAATAGCTTATATACTTTTGCATTTAAAAATCTATAATCATGATTTTAAAAAGAGTCCTCCAAGTAATAAAAGAGGACTGAGGCCACAAGCTTACCAATTCATGAGTTAATCCAAATCCATGAAAGGGATCCAACAAACCCAACAAATAGGACATTTTATAGCCAAAGAAATAGAAATACAGCAATCCCCAAAGGACTTTGAACTATGTTTAAAATCTTGAAAGAGATAAAAGAGAGAATATCCAACAATGGTGGTTATAATGGAGAACAATGAGTTATGAAAAGGTACCAATAAAAAAAATCCTGGAAAGTCTGAATGCAGTTGACTGGATTCAGTTAAAGAAAGCATTAATGATTGAAAGTCGGGGCATCACCGAAAACAGCCAGGGACATAAAGTGGCAGAAAATATGAAAGTGAAGTTTAGAGACATGAAAGACAGATTGTTATAATCTGACCTGAGTCTTCAGGGTAAAAAGGTATATCAAGTGCCATGCAGGACAACTTTTTAAAAAATTTCCATTCTAAGCACCTTGTAGAAGCACAATAACCAGAACATTAAGAAGAATGAGAAAATCCTTAAAAGCCACCAGAGAGAAACTACAGTGAGTGACAATCAGAATGATGGAAAATTTCTAATCAGTAAAAGTGGATGCCAGAACAAATAGAGTGATATCGATGCCTCAGGAAAGCAATATTCAATCTAGAATTCTATATCCAACTGAGACAACATTTAGCTTACTTGAGTTTTGTATCATGTGATGAGATTTCCTATTCACAAAGGTAAGCATAATTTTTTTAAAGTAAGGATGAAATGGACATCTTCATGCAAAGACTTACTTAGTTTATTATCCAAAGATCTTCTCCCACAGAATTACTAAAGGAGGAGAAATAAATCCTTGAAAAAGGGGAAGGATACAATTACTGACTAAAAAATAGAAATAATTATGGGCTGCAAAAAAATAGGAATAATTATTTTTCCTTATTTAAAGACAAGAGGGACCTGACATTCTAGATAATAATAATATGAAAAGATGGTGGTGGGTGGGGTTGAAAGAGAAGACAAGCATGCTAAGTTCCTTGTTTCATTTAAGAGTTGCATTTTGTATGTGTACTAACATTTTTAATGTAACCATCGAAATGATAGAAATGGAAAGTTTGCAAACTGTTGAAAAGAAAAAGGAGAAAGAAGAAAACAGAAGGCAAGAAAAGAGAAAAAAGAAGCAAAAGACAAAATAGAAACAGAGCAATTGGCAGATAGTTCAAATACATCAGTAATCACAATAAATGTAGATGGGTTAAATTCACATAATAAAAAAGACTTATAGATGGGGTTAAACAAGCAAAATAGATAGTTGTATGACACACCCAAGTGGAATCATTCCATTTCCTCTGAGCTGAATGAGCATGTGCATGTGTGTGTGTTGTGGGGGAGGAGGGGCACTAATCTGGTTCACATGCTCCTTTGTAAAAGATTTTGGTGATGCTTAAAAGTTTTGTGGACTTAGTAGCACAATTTTAACCTTTGCATTTGTTCTTTTACAAGTTGTAATTCAATTAATTTTTTTCATTGAAAGTTCTTCATCTGAGAAGTGCAGAATGTTGAATATGAAGCAGATCATGGTGACTATTCAAGAGGATGATATCTATGAGAGCGATTGACAGACAGTCCCAAAATATCAGCTGGTTTATACACTGCATGAGTAATAGGTCAGCATTACCAGTTTATTCTAGATGCAGCCAATAAAATCCCAAGGAAGGAAAATTTCACATATCATTAATTATTCATTTGACAATTTTAGTCAGGAGATCTTCATTCTTTCCTGGGGCCTGTATAAATCAATTGTAACAAACTGTGCAATTATCATTCTTGCAACTGATTGCTTGTGGCAGATTTAAATTCCATTTTGCAAGAGAGCCAGAAAAACTCTTCTTTGCTTCCTAAGCTCAAAAGCCAGAAAGCAGCTGAAAGATGGTCACTGCTTTGTTCTTGAATGGAGCTAATTACAGAGTTGTCTGCTGCAGGATGGGCACTCTGCAGTCAGTGTGTAAATAGGGACAATTAGAGCTCATTTTAAGCAGACATGGCTTCCAAAAAAAGAAACAGAGCTTCAGACTTTAATTAGTCTCATAGGAATAGTTACATTAAACAGAACCTGACCATTTTTTTTCACAATTCAGTTCAACGAACATGACAATTCTCTGTCATAAAAATGTTCTAATTTTAATATTTCTACAGATGGTTGGGTAAGAATGTGAAGCTCATTCCTCCTGTCTTTCCTTACTAGATTTATTTTAATCCTATATCACAGTTTAAAATAATTTGCATGGTATTGAAATATGTATGCAATATATTTTGTTCCTATACTTTAGAATTAGTTTTTAATTTTAAAAAATTTTACCTATCAACCATATTAGGCTCAGCATATTTCCCAAGCATCACACTCAATGTTTTAGAAGCATTTTCTTACTTGGTCCTCATATCTGCCTTATAAGGAGTGCTATCCTCATGTTATAGTTGAGGACATTGAGGTGTGGTTATTTTCCCAAGATCGCAGAGTTAGTGAGTGGTAAAATCATGATGTAAAGTACTTTCAGGGCCCTGGCTCTGGAGCACTCCCCTTCCTGCCAGCAGAATGTGAAGGTAGTGTCAAGCAGACCCTGCCCTCAGGGAACTCGGCTAAGAGAGACAAGAGACATTTACAAGTAGTTCAGGAAACTACTGTATGAATGTTGGCTCTGAGTGCCTAGTGCGTGTGTGTGTCTGTGTGTATGTGTGTGTATTTCCAGAAGCTCTGCAATCGTTGTACAGGTGAAAGGACTGGGAGGGGATGGTGGTGAGAGTGGAGGGAGAAATACTCAAAGAAACATCTCAGATGAGGTGGCTCTTGCTCTTGGCAGTTTTAAGGTTATGGTCAAAGATGAAATGATCGCCCTTTCTCCATAACCTGTTAAGTTCATGGATAAATAACTGCTTTGAGATACACTTTTTTTTCTAATTTATTTTTACTCTATCGGATCTGTGCTCCCAATCGGAATGCATTGAATTGTCTCACTCACATACTCATAATCCAGCTTAAGAAATAGAACATTACAAATTCAGCTGAATTATACCCAGTATAACCTTGTCCAATCCCATTTCCTTCACTTCCTCAAGAAGTAACCACCATTCTAGGCTTAGTGTTTATCTTTTTCAGGTAAGGTGACCAACTGTCCTGGTTTGTCTGGGACTGAGGAGTTTCCCGAGATACAGGACTTTCTGAGCTAAAACAGGGAAAGTCCTAGGCAAACCGGGATGGTTAGTCACCCTATCAGGCATATTTTTTACTTTTATTACATATATATCAAGCCACAAATAACATATTGTATTATTTTCTATGTTTACACTTTGCAGAAATAGGATCTTGCTGAATTATCATTCTACAACTTGTTTTTCATTCAATATATTTATGAGATTGAGTTATGTGAATAATTATAGCTCGAGTTTATTTATTTTCACTTTCAGAAGATTCCATTTCTGGATACAATCATAATTTACTTATCCCTTTTGCTATTGATGGGACATTTCGGTTGTTTTCTAGCTGTTCATTTTAAACAGTGCTGTAATTAGCATGATTGTACATGTCTCCATGTGCACACATCTGAGAGTTTCTCTATGTAGGACTGAAATTGCTGGATTGTCTTATACACACATCTTCACCTTTACTAAATAACTGAGAAAGCACTCCAAAATTAGAAAGCATCTAATTTTCCTTCCCACTAGCCATGTTTGAAGGTTGCTGTTGCTACCCATCTTCATCAAGTTTTGGTATTATCAGACTTTTAAAATGTTGAAATCTAAAGGACATAAAATTCTTGTTTTCTTTTTAACAAAAATGTACTGGTTATATTGTTCCCTACTGATTTTTAATGTGTGTGAAAATGTAAATATTCACCAGAATTTGATTCTGTAGGACAATGATTTTGTTCTCACTGTGAACTTTTTGAGGATGAACTCCAAATCTAATTATTTTTTTGAATACCCGGAAGCTATCACAATGCTTGTCACATAGCATTCACTCAGTACATGCTTGTTGACTCAATGCATGATCAGATTTACTAAGTGTTTTATTCTTGATAGTGTTTTCTTTGTTAAATTTTTATAAAGGACTTCATAGTCATTCATTCATTCATTCATTCATTTATTCAACAAATGTTTGTCAAATACCTACTTATCTTCCAAGCACTATTCTTAGTGTGTGAATATAGTAGAGGACAAAATAGACAAAAATTCTTTGCCTGGAGAAGCTTATTATAGTCTAGTATTATGCACTTAGCTCCAAGCTACAATAGATGAGGGTACAGTGGAGCAGGTAGGCATGAAGTGGTCAGAAGGCCGCATGAAGGCGATGAGGTTTAAACTAGTCTTGGAGGTTGGTGCACTTAGGATACCTAGCAAGAAGATAGCAAGGGCACTGAGATGAAAGAGGACAGAATGTTTGTTTAACAGTGAGAACAGGAGTGTTCAGATGAGTAGGGGATTTTAAAACTCAATGAAGATCTTTCAAAGGAAGTTCAAAAATTCACATTTGTGGTGTAAGAAACACTCAAAATTGGCCAGGTGCAATGGCTCACGCCTGTAATCCCAGCACTTTGAGAGGCTGAGGAGGGTGGATCACGAGGACAGGAGATCAAGACCATCCTGGGTAACACGGTGAAACCCTGTCTCTACTAAAAATACAAAAATTAGCTGGGTGTGGTGGCGGGCACCTGTAGTCCCAGCTACTCAGGAGGCTGAGGCAGGAGAATAGCTTGAACCAGGGATGGGGAGGTTGCAGTAAGCCGAGATGGTGCCATTGCACTCCAGCCTGGATGACAGAGCGAGACTCCATCTCGGAAAAAACAAAAAAACCAAAAAAAACACTCAAAATTTTGGAGTGAAGATGCTACATGGCAAAAGATATGTTCAAAGAAGATAGACCTGGTTGTGGCCTGCATAACGTGTTTAGTATGAAAAGTCTGGAGTCTGGAGGTCAAATAGAGGCTGCTGCAAACAGACAGAAGTGTGAGAGCCTCCTAGACTCCTCTCTCATACACACACCCCCACCCACCCCCACCCAGAGAATGGCCAACTTACGTTGATCGTAGTTCCTGGAGTTTTAGTGCTTGTAGATGGTTTCTTAAAGGGCACACCCATTCATGTCATTCCTCTGTTTCACATTCATCAACCACCTCCATATGCCTCCCACTAAACCCAAACTCCATCACGTGGCCCACAAGGCTACACATGACTTGGTTTGACCACTGTTCCCACACCTTCAAAGCCCCACATTCTAAACTGTGAATGCTGTTTCCCATTTCCATGTCTCAGCATCCTGTCACTCCTTCAACTTAAAATGTATTTCTTCAAATGTCCAGAAGCTCCTTCTCTTCTTTTGAGGTCCAGCTATTGCATTCGCTTCTTGGAAAAGCCTTGCCTGGGCACTCAGAGAGATCACCGCTCATTCCCAAAGCACACTTTCATGCACTCATCACATTGTGTTTGCAGCTGTGCTGACTATAAGTCTGTCGTCCCTGCTAAAGAATGAGGTTTTTCACAGCACAATCTGCACCAAACCACAGGTGTAGATGCCACTTCCATTAGAGTGTAAGCTCCATGAGGGGTCAACCCATTTTTATTTTGTTCACCATTAGACATAGCTGAACACATATAGGCAATTAATAAATCTTTGTTGAATTTATGGAAGATAGCAGGTGCTAAACAAATGTTTAATAAATAAATAAATAAATTGGTTACATAAGTTTTAGGTTATGGGGGAGGTTGGACTAAATTTTTCAACTACCTAGGGATACATGTATGTGAACTCGCTGCTTGTTGATTCAAAATGATGAAGTTAGCCATCTGCAGATGTCCAGTTTATATAATATATAGTGTTCCTTTTTGATATGCCTACTGTATGATTCCAAATCAGGCATTCTACATCTGTATTGTAGAAGATGTGAATGATATACTTGTGATTACATGGCAAGTATTATCAGTTTGTGATTTTAAAAATAGAAGCATCAAGGGGCTTAATAACTAGTCAGTCTTACCCCAAGAAACATGCAAAAATCTCCCAGTTTACTGCCCTCACCCAGAGACATTTTCTGTCTTTGTGGTCACTTCTTTTTTTGTGCACATTCCATCAATATTATTTGCAAGTCAGGCCATTTAACTTCAGACAAAGCCAACCAGAGCATATAACCTTGAGATTTAAAACCACACAAAGAGTACAAAGTGAACAACCTTTCAACGTACTTTCTGTACGCCTCAGATCTCTTTTCAGACAAAAGGTCATGACATGGGGCGCTCACCTGCACTTCAAAAGACAAGAGAAATATTAGAAAAGCCCAACAAATGGTTCATGTTGCCATCCTCTAAAACTCCAGCACAGTCCCCAGCTCATAGTAGGTTTTCACTTGAAGGAATAAAGGAATGTTCATTCCTGATTTCTGTTATCAGTATCCAGGATGGCAACCATACAAAAATTAGGAAACAAATCAACTCTTTATGGTATTGTAATTTTTGCTCTTTAGAATTATTTCATTTTGTATCTTGATTTTATTTGAGGTGAGTCCAAGTTTTTTTTTTCCTGTTTCTGACATTTTTATAGCTATAACTTACCTTAACTTTTCCTTTTCTTTTGGTAACTTTCCTTTTGCATCCTGAACAAAAACCAAACTCCAGCCCAGTCCTCTAGGCTTTATGCAACATGTACTCCTATTTGCCACTGTTCTTCTGTAAGCACCTTAACACTGCGGCCCAAATAAATTCTCTGCTACTTCCATACACCTTCCAGACTTTCCCAGCTGGCCTTGGCTCACTCAGATGCCTCAGACTGAAATGCACTTTTATGCCTCCTTGCTGCGTGGAGGGGCAGGATTCAAAGCCCCAGCTATGGGTTCAAGGCCAGGCTCCACCACTTACTGTTGTGGGACTTTGAGAAAGGTATTTATGCTGGTGGTTGCTTGTTTGCCCTCATACCCACTCCTTTCGTTCCCCTGATCTGCTCTGCTCTGAGCCGTGCAGCTGCATGTCCCAGACTGCAGGGTCAGCCAGTGGAAGGCACCAGTGAGCCGCTGGAGGAGAGGAAAAGGGAAAAGTGACAGCGTGTTCCTTCTGCTCTCATTACTGTGGCATCCTTGGCTCCAGCTGCCCCAGACAGGCCTTTTGTGGTTTCAGCTTCCTCAAATGGAAAGAAAGGGAGAGAATCCTGAGGATCTGGGGTAAGTCCACATCCAGCCATGCCTCAAGCAGTAGGATGTACTCTCTGCAAGGCTCATTGATGTGAGCCAATGCATTATCTTTTTAAACGTAAGCCATTCGTCTTGGGTTTTCCTATCATTTGCAACAAATGAATCTTTATTAATTTAACACCTCAAGTAAGTAAATTTTCACACATCGAGGAGGTAAGAGTATTCTTAAATCAGTAAAATGCAGGATAGAAAGTGCTACTTGGTATAGGAGAGATGTGGAATTTCAGAAGAGGGAGGGTGACTTCCATCGTAACCTGTAGGGGACAGAGCCAAGGCATGTGGCCTTCATTCAGGTTGGAATGGGGAACCAAGGAAGTTTTTGAGCAGTGGAGTGTCAGGATTCAACTTGAGCTATGTAAGGTCAGTTGGGTGGGGTCTGCAGAGCTACTCCACTGCACAACTCCAGGGGGCGCCATTCCCCTAGAATACATTGTGAATGGTGCTTCCTAGAGTTGTACAGTGTGCAGCCTTGAACCATTTAGAAAAGTTGAAAGTGTGGTCAGAGGGCTATTAGGAAGCTATTGTCTTCCAGGAGAGAGGTGAGGCCATGAACGTGGTCAGTAACAGAGAAGGGGATGGATTTGAGACACATTCTAAAATAGTTTGAGTTTCAATGTTGGGAGAGGAGAGGAGTTAACAGAAATAGGAGAGCCAGGAGGAAATGTAAATTTGGTAGAGATGGAAATTCCTTTTTAGATAGATTTGAAGACTGATGGCTGTTGACAATGGAATTGGGGCTCAGGGAAATAGAGCTGAAAATAAAGATCTGGAAATTATTCACACAGAAATGGTACTGGAAACCACAGTTTGGAAGAAATGCCAAGAGAGGATATCTATTAGGAGAGAAGAGGGCTAAGAGATAGTTCTTAGGAAACAGATACATGGAAAGGGCAGAGGAGGAAGAAAAGTCAGAAAACAGGAGTGAGGGATCACAGAATCATAGAAGAATCGGAAAAACTATGGCGGGAGGAGCAAGAAAGGAGTTTCAAAGAGAAGGGGTTGACTGTTCCCATTCCCCCTTCTCCCTGCCATGGTAATCAATTGCCAAAGCATTTGTCAGGACAAAGATTCCATCAGCCTGGGTCTCTGAGCAACTACGATGAGCAGAGCCCCAGGTGACCCTGATGGACACCTAGCATGAGCCAGACATAACCTTTATTGCCCAAGGCACAAAGATGGTTTATTGTTTCTGCAACAAAGCCTAGTCCAGCCTGACCAATACATGGCAGTAACTTGGGCGTGAGGGAGCAGGGAGAAAAAGAAGAAAGAAAGCAATTGAAGTCTTCAGCATGTTTTTAGTACTAAGGAAAAGCTGGGAAAAGAGACAAATTGAAGACGTGAGAGAGGGTATATTTGGTTGGTCTTGCTCTGGGAGAGGCAAAGTGCTGTGTGTATCCCTGTGTACATGGGCATGCCACAAACCAGGCACCCTGGGGACATGGCCAACACACCTGAGTCATTTGTGACCAGCATCACCAGCATATTTTTCTGCCCAGTGGCATCACTTCTAGAGAAAGCTAAATAGCTCATTATCAAGTATTTGTTTGAGATGACTTATTAGAGTCAGACCTTCCTCAAAAAGCAGAGGAATGGAAAAAGTTTCTCAATGTCTCAGTTTCCTCATCCATAAAATGGGGATTATGACAATAGAATCTTATAGAATGGTAAAAATTAAATCAGTTACTATATGCAAAGCACTCAGCACAGTGTCTGGCACAAAGTAGGTTCTAATTAAGTGCAATCTCAGAACCCCTTCAGGGTTTAGAAAGAAGTTCTAAATATGGGGGTAAAATCTGCGAATGGCTTCTTTTTGCAATTATTTAAACAAGGAAGAATTGCAAGGAAAAGCAAAGTCCTGCTGTACTAGGAAGCAAATGGGCATGGTAAGTGGTGAATATATTTAACATCTCTACCAGCTTCAAAGCTTGGGGGTTAAATAAAAATCATCTTTAGGGTTAAATAAAAATCATCTTTAACTTATACAGTTGTGCCCTATCATCTAACAGAAATTTCTTAGGAGGGAAAAACAGAGTCAAGACAGGTAAAATCCGTTTCAAGGAGTCATTGGAAGTCATGTTGAGACAGAATTTCATGGATAGGAATAATTGTGTCTCATAAAATAAACCATGAGCACCTCAGACCATGTCTAAAAAATACTAAAACCACCAACAGAAAAAGTTAACCAATCCATTGTTTTATTTACATGATTCCCAAGCACTGGTTTGACTGCTAGTATTAAGGAACTGATTACATTGTTGTAGCTTGTTTTGACAATGTAGTGTAAGGGTTGAGATAGCACCTCTTGAAATTGAGAAGTGAACTTCTAGAACATTTTATCTCTCATTCAGAAAAGGGCTTTGGAAAGTCCCATTGTGAGTCCATTTAGGGAGGTGATTCTCAAGAATCCAGGGAAAAAACACAATTTTGCTGATTAGGACATTATAGATGCTCATCCTCAGAAAAATTCATATATTTAAACATTTCTGGCCACCAAAATACAGGTTTGAACTTGTGAGGGTCCAGGGAACACATCTCCATCACAGTGGTCTCAATGACCTAAAAGGTCAATGCTGGAAATTGATGGTTCCTTAATACAAATGACCTCCCTAGGTAGCTCAGACAAAATTCAACTAAATTCTAGACTTGTTTTCCAAGAGCACTGCACAAATCAATCATGCCCAGATTTTTAGGGAAAACTGCCCAGGCTGCAGCTTCTGCTAAGACAAGTAAGCCAAGCTATTCTCACCCTCGTGCTAAGGTAGCCATGCGCTAGACCATATGACCCATTCACACACTAATTGGTCAAAGTCTGTGATCTAAAGGTAGCCAGTTCATTGGTTGACTGGTGACCTAGGCAGTGGCTAGAGCAAAATGCTCTCCCCAAAAGACACAATGGTGATTAAGACAATCAGATTCTCTCTTAAGACCTTAGACTGGCAAATGGTATTGGTAGGGTTTTTTTTGTTTTGTTTTGTTTTTGTGAAGATACAAGAAAACACAGAAAGCAGAGCAGAAACTTTGACATTGGCAAGAGTCTATTCATGGCAGAGCACCAGAGCAAAGAGTTGGGAACTCAGGCTACACGAAGGGAGATGAGATCAAGGGAGGAGACCACCCCTCATATTGTCTTATGCCCAATTTCTGCCTCCAAAGAAAGAAGTAAAAACTAAAAGGCAGAAATGAAATCCACAAGCCGACAGCCTGGTGCCACACCCTGGGCCTGGTAGTTAAAGATCGACCCCTGACCTAATCAGTTATTTGCATAAGAAAAGCACTGTGAAGATCCCTGTCCTGTTCTGTTCCGTTCTAATTACCGGTGCATGCAGCCCCCAGTCACATACCTCCTGCTTGCTCAATCGATCAAGACCCTCTCATGTGGACCCCCTTAGAGTTGTGAGCCCTTAAAAGGGACAGGAATTGCTCACTCAGGGAGCTCAGTTGTTGGAGACGTGAGTCTTGCTGAAGCTCCCGGCTGAATAAAGACCTTCCTTCTTTAACTTGGTGTCTGAGGGGTTTTGTCTGTGGCTTGTCCTGCTACATTTCTTGGTTTCCTGACTGGGAAGTGAAGCAATTAATGGACGGTTGAGGCAGCCCCTTAGGCGGCTTAGGCCTTCCCTGTGGAGCATCCCTGCAGGGGACTCCAGCCAGCTTGAGCGACACGGATCCTGAGAGCGCTCCCTGGTAGGCAATTGCCCTGGTGGAATGCCTTGCCGGAGTAGTGCATGGCAGGCCCCCGTGGAGGATCAATGCAGTGGCTGAACACTGGGAAGGAACCGGCACTTGGAGACCAGACATCTGAAACTTGGTAAGACTAGTCTTTGGAACTTGCCTACTCCATTTGAGTGGAAGCGTGGCCTGACCACCCACTGCATGCCCATACCGGCACTTTGGTTTTTTTTTTTTTGACTTGACTTGCATTGCTTGATACTTTGGTTTTGGTTTTGACCTGGCTTGAATTTCTTGATACTCTGATTTTGGTTCTGATTCTGGTTTGGTATAAACTAAAAAAGTGTGTGTGTGCCCTTTTTACCCGTTCTTTGTTTTGTGGTGTGCGTGCGGTGTGAGCGTGGTGTTTTGTCTCGAGAACATGGGTCAGGCACAAAATAAGCCCACCCCACTAGGAACTATGTTGAAAAATTTCAAAAAGGGATTTAAGGGAGACTATGGAGTTACTATGACACCAGGAAAACTTAGAACTTTGTGCGAGATAGACTGGCCAGCATTAGAGGTGGGTTGGCTATCAGAAGGAAGCCTGGACAGGTCCCTTGTCTCAAAGGTATGGCACAGGGTAACCTGTAAGCCAGGGCACCCAGATCAGTTCCTGTATATAGATTCTTGGTTACAGCTAGTTTTGGACCACTCCCCTGCCCCCACAGTGGTTAAGAGGACAGGCAGCAGCAGTACTAGTAGCAAAGGGACAGTTAGTTAAGAAAGGTTCTCTCTCCAACCACCAAGGGAAGTCGGCACCAAAAGTCCTGTCAGACCCAACACCAGAAGAATCGTGGCAGGAATTGGTACCAGCAGTACCCCACCCCTTATCGACAGGAAGGGCTCCCCACTCCTGAGACCACAGCACCTACACCTCCACCAGATAGCCACACTCCTAGACCACCCAGAGTAGACAAAAGAGGAAGTGAAGCCGTGGGAGAAACTCCTCCCTTGGCAGCTCGCTTATGGCCCAAGACTGGAATACAAGTGCCCCTGAGAGAGCAGCAATGTACTGGGGTAGATGAATAAGGACACATGGAAAGGCGTGCCTTTGTGTATCAACCTTCCGCCTCTGCTGACCTCCTCAATTGGAAAAATAATACTCCATCTTACACCGAAAAGCCTCAAGCTTTAATTGACTTGCTCCAAATTATTATACAGACCCATAATCCTACTTGGGCTGATTGCCACCAGCTGCTCATGTACCTCTTTAATACAGATGAAAGGCGAAGGGTGCTCTGGGTGGCAACTAAGTGGCTAGAGGAGCATGTCCCAGCTGATTTCCAAAACCCCCAAGAATATATATGAATTCAGCTGCCAGGAACAGACCCCCAATGGGACTCGAACGAGGGACCAGACATGGAGAGGCTAAGATGGCACCGTGAGGCATTAATAGAAGGTCTAAAGAAAGGGGCTCAAAAGGCTACAAATGTAAATAAGGTTTCTGAGGTCATCCAAGGAAAAGAGAAGAGTCCTGCACAATTCTATGAAAGACTATGTGAGGTTTACCGTATGTACACTCCTTTTGATCCAGATAGCCCTGAAAATCAGCGCATGATTAACATGGCCTTAGTCAGTCAAAGCACGGAAGATATCAGGAGAAAATTGCAGAAACAGGCTGGGTTTGCAGGTATGAATACCTCACAGTTACTGGAAATAGCCAATCAAGGGTTTGTGAATGGAGATGCAACAAGCCACAGAGAAAGCCATAAGGAAGGCCAATGCCAGGCTAGGCAAAATGCCGACTTACTGGCTGCGGCCATTAGGGGAATTCCCCTGAAAGGACAGGGAAAGGGGGGTTCCGGGAAGAATACCCAGTCTAATCGTCCATGCTTGCAATGTAACCAATGCACCTACTGTAAGGAAATAGGACATTGGAAAGATAAGTGTCCCCAGCTGAAGGAAAAGCAAGCTGATTTGGAACAAAAGACCTCAGATAAAGGTGAGGGAGCTTCGTTCAATCTGGCTGAAGGGCTACTGGACTGAAAGGCACCGGTCTCAAGCACCCCCAAGGAGCCCACGGTCAGGATTACAACTGGGGGCAAGGACATTAAGTTTTTGGTCGATACTGGTGCTGAACATTCAGTAGTGACCCCCCAGGTCACCCCCTTATCCAAGAAAACCATTGATATAATCTGAGCAACAGGAGTTTCCACTAAGCAGGCTTTCTGTCTACCACAGACCTGCTCGGTGGGGGGATATGAAATAGTTCACTAGTTCTTGTATATGCCTGACTGTCCCTTGCCCCTGCTGGGAAGAGACTTGCTTAGCAAGCTAAGAGCCACCATCTCCTTTACAAAACAGGGCTCTTTACAGCTAAAGTTACCGGGAACAGGAGTTATCATGGCCCTTACGGTCCCCTGGGAAGAAGAATGGAGACTTTTTCTAACTGAGCCAGGACAAGAGATAAAACCAGCTCTAGCTAAGCGATGGCCTCGAGTATGGGCATCCTCCGGGACTGACAGTCAACCAAGCCCCCATACTCATAGAAGTTAATCCTGGGGCCCAACCAATTAGACAAAAGCAGTATCCGGTTCCCAGGGAAGCTCTCGAAAGAATCCAGGTTCATCTCAGGTGCTTGAAAGCCTATGGAATTATAGTTCCTTGCCAGTCTCCATGGAACACCCCTCCTGCCTGTCCCTAAGCCAGGGACCAAGGACTACTGACCAGTACAGGACTTGCGCTTGGTCAACCAAGCTGCAGTGACTCGGCACCCAACAGTTCCTAACCCTTACACATTGTTAGGGCTGCTGCCGGCTGAGGACAGCTGGTTTACCTGTCTGGACTTAAAAGATGCCTTCTTTAGCAACAGAATAGCTCCTGAGAGCCAGAAGCTGTATGCCTTTCAGTGGGAAGATCCGGAGTCAGGTATCACTACTCAGTACACTTGGACCCGACTTCCCCAAGGGTTCAAGAACTCTCCTACTATCTTCAGGGAGGCTCTGGCTGGAGACCTGCAAAAGTTTCATGCTAAAGACCCAGGATGCATCTAGCTCCTGTACGTGGACGACCTTCTGCTGGAACACTCCACGGCAGTCGGGTGCGCAAAAGGGATGGATGCCCTGCTTCGGGACCTGGTGGACAAGAAGAAAGCTCAGATCTGCAGACAGCAGGTACGCTACCTGGGATTCACTATTCAGAAAGGGGAGCACAGCCTGGGGTCAGAAAGAAAGCAGGTCATCTGCAGCCTACCGGCACCTAAAACCAGAAGGCAAGTAAGGGAATTCCTAGGAGCTGTGAGGTTTTGCAGATTATGGATTCCAAACTTTGCAGTGCTAGCCAAACCTTTGTACGGGGTTACAAAGGGGGGTGACTGGGAGCCCTGTGAATGGGGGCCTCTACAACAGCAAGCCTTTTGTAAGTTAAAGGAAAAACTTATGTCGGCCCCAGCCCTAGGACTACCAGATTTGACAAAGCCCTTTACACTCTGTGTGTCAGAAAGAGAAAAAATGGCAGTTGGAGTTTCAACCCAGACTGTGGGGTACTGGCCAAGGCCAGTGGCCTATCTCTCAAAACAACTAGATAGGGTTTCCAAAGGCTGGCCACCATGTCTAAGGGCCCTGGCAGCAACAGCCCTGTTAGCACAAGAAGCAGATAAACTAACCCTTGGGCAAAACCTGAATATAAAGGCCCCCACCATGCTGTGGTAACTTTGGTGAATACCAAAGGACATCATTGGCTAACAAATGCTAGATTAACCAAGTACCAAATCTTGCTATGTAAAAATCCCCGCATAACCATCGAAGTCTGTAACACCCTAAATCCCACCACCCTGCTTCCAATATCAGAGAGCCCGGTTGAGCATAACTGTGTAGAGGTGTTGGACTCAGTTTATTCTAGCAGACCTGACCTTCAGGACCAGTCATAGGCATCAGTAGACTAGGATTTATATGTGGACAGGAGCAGCTTCATCAACCCACAAGGAGAAAGATGTGCAGGATATGCGGTGGTAACTTTGAATGCTGTCATTGAAGCCAAACCATTGCCACAGGGCAATTCAGCCCAGAAGGCTGAGCTCATTGCTTTAACTCAGGTGCTAGAACTCAGTGAAGGTAAGACTGTAAACATCTACACTGACTCTCAATATGCCTTTCTAACCCTCCAAGTTCGTGGAGCATTATATAAGGAAAAAGACCTGTTAAACTCTGGGGAAAAGGACATAAAATATCAACAAGAAACTCTACAATTACTAGAGGCAATGTGGAAACCTCAGAAGGTGGCAGTCATGCATGCAGGGGACACCAGTGAGCCTCCACCTCAGTGGCCTTAGGAAACTCTCGAGCTAATTCAGAAGCTCCAAAGGCAGCATCTACCCCTTACTGGGCATCAGTAGCAGCCCCTTTACTCCCTCAAACACCTGAACTGGTACCTACCTATTCTAGGGAAGAAAGACTTCTTCCATGCAGAAGGGGACAAGTAATAAAAGGAGGCTGGATCAGACTGCCAGATGGGAAAGTAGCTGTGCCGCAGTTGCTGGGAGCCACAATCGTATTGGCCATGCATGAAACCACTCATCTAGGTCAAGAGTCACTTGAAAAATTGTTAGGCCGGTACTTCTACATGTCACACTTGCCAGCCCTTGCCAAACCAGTAGCATAGTGGTGTGTGACTTGCTGACAGCACAATGCGAGGCAAGGCCCCACTGTTCTGCCCGGCATACAAGCTTATGGAGTGGCTCCTTTTGAGGATCTTCAGGTAAATTTCACAGAAATGCCGAAATGTGGAGATAACAAGTATTTGCTGGTTCTTGTGTGTACTTACTCTGGGTATGTGGAGGCTTATCCAACACGAACTGAAAAGGCCTATGAGGTAACCTGTGTGCTTCTCTGAGATCTCATTCCTAGGTTCAGACTGCCCTTATGAATCAGCTCAGATAACGGGCCGGCGTTTGTGGCTGACTTGGTACAGAAGACAGCAAAGGCATCAGGAATCACTTGGAAGACACATGCCACCTACTGACCTCAGAGTTCTGGAAAAGTGGAGTGAATGAATCAGACTATCAAAAGCAGTTTAGGGAAAGTATGTTAGGAAACAGGATTAAAGTGGATAGAGGGGGGTGGAGCCAAGATGGCCGAATAGGAACAGCTCCAGTCTACAGCTCCCAGCATGAACGACACAGAAGACAGGTGATTTCTGCATTTCCAACTGAGGTACTGGGTTCATCTCACTGAGGAGTGTCGGACAGTGGGTGCCGGACAGTGGGTGCAGTGCACCAAATGTGTGCCAAAGCAGGGCGAGGCATCACCTCATCCGGGAAGCGCAAGGGGTCAGGGAATACCCTTTCCTAGTCAAAGAAAGGGGTGACAGACGGCACCTTGAAAATCTGGTCACTCCCACCCTAATGCTGCACTTTTTCAAAGGTCTTAGTAAACGGCACACCAGGAGATTATATCCTGTGCCTGGCTTGGAGGGTCCTACGCCCACGGAGCCTCACTCATTGCTAGCACAGCAGTCTGAGATCAAACTGCAAGGAAGCAGTGAGGCTGGGGGAGGGGCGCCCGCCATTGCCGAGGCTTCAGTAGGTAAACAAAGCAGCTGGGAAGCTCGAACTGGGTGGAGCCCACCGCAGCTCAAGGAGGCCTGCCTGCCTCTGTAGGCTCCACCTCTAGGGGCAGGGCATAGCCAAACAAAAGGCAGCAGAAACCTCTGTGGACTTAAATGTCCCTGTCTGACAGCTTTGAAGAGAGTAGTGGTTCTCCCAGCACACAGCTTGAGATCTGAGAATGGACAGAATGCCTCCTCAAGTGGGTCCCTGACCCCCGAGTAGCCTAACTGGGAGGCAACCCCCAGTAGGGGCAGACTGACACCTCACACGGCCGGGTACTCCTCTGAGACAAAACTTCCAGAGAAATGATCAGGCAGCAACATTTGCTGTTCACCAATATCCACTGTTCTGCAGCCTCTGCTGCTGATACCCAGGCAATCAGGGTCTGGAGTGGACCTCCAGCAAACTCCAACAGACCTGCAGCTGAGGGTCCTGACTGTTAGAAGGAAAACTAACAAACAGAAAGAACATCCACACCAAAAACCCATCTGTACGTCACCATTATCAAAGACCAAAGGTAGATAAAACCACAAAGATGGGGAAAAAACAGAGCAGAAAAACTGGAAACTCTAAAAATCAGAGCACCTCTCCTCCTCCAAAGGAACGCAGCTCCTCACCAGCAATGGAACAAAGCTGGACAGAGAATGACTTTGACGAGTTGAGAGAAGAAGGCTTCGGACGATCAAACTACTCCGAGCTAAAGGAGGAAGCTTGAACCCATGGCAAAGAAGTTAAAAACCTTGAAAACAGATTAGACAAATGGCTAACTAGAATAACCAATGCAGAGAAGTCCTTAAAGGACCTGACGGAGCTGAAAACCACGGCACGAGAACTACGTGAAGAATGCATAAGCCTCAGTAGCCGATTCAATCAACTGGAAGAAAGGGTATCAGTGATGGAAGATCAAATGAATGAAATGAAGTGAAAAGAGAAGTTTAGAGAAAAAAGAATAAAAAGAAACGAACAAAGCCTCCAAGAAATATGGGACTATGTGAAAAGACCAAATCTACGTCTGATTGGTGTACCTGAAAGTGACGGGGAGAATGGAACCAAGTTGGAAAACACTCTGAAGGATATTATCCAGGAGAACTTCCCCAATCTAGCAAGGCAGGCCAACATTCAAATTCAGGAAATACGGAGAATGGCACAAAGATACTCCTCGAGAAGAGCAACTCCAAGACATATAATTGTCAGATTCACCAAAGTTGAAATGAAGGAAAAAATGTTAATGGCAGCCAGAGAGAAAGGTCGGGTTACCCACAAAGGGAAGCCCATCAGACTAACAGCTGATCTCTCGGCAGAAACTCTACAAGCCAGAAGAGAGTGCGGGCCAATATTCAACATTCTTAAAGAATTTTAAACCCAGAATTTCATATCCAGCCAAACTAAGCTTCATAAGTGAAGAAGAAATAAAATACTTTACAGACAAGCAAATGCTGAGAGATTTTGTCACCACCAGGCATGCCCTAAAAGAGCTCCTGAAGGAAGCACTAAACGTGGAAAGGAACAAGCAGCACCAGCCACTGCAAAAACAGGCCAAACTGTAAAGACCATCGAGGCTAGGAAGAAACTGCATCAACTAATGAGCAAAATAACCAGCTAACATCATAACGACAGGATCAAATTCACACATAACAATATTAACCTGAAATGTAAATGGGCTAAATGCTCCAATTAAAAGACACACACTGGCAAATTGGATAAAGACTCAAGACCCATCAGTGTGCTGTATTCAGAAAACCCATCTCACGTGCAGAGACACACATAGGCTCAAAATAAAGGGATGGAGGCAGATCTACCAAGCAAATGGAAAACAAAAAAAGGCAGGGATTGCAATCCTAGTCTCTGATAAAACAGACTTTAAACAAACAAAGATCAAAAGAGACAAAGAAGGCCATTACATAATGGTAAAGGGATCAATTCAACAAGAAGAGCTAACTATCCTAAATATATATGCACCCAATACAGGGGCACCCAGATTCATAAAGCAGGTCCTTAGAGACCTACAAAGAGACTTAGACTCCCACACAATAATAATGGGAGACTTTAACACCCCACTGTCAACATTAGACAGATAAATGAGACAGAAAGTTAACAAGGATACCAAGGAATTGAACTCAGCTCTGCACCAAGCGGACCTAATAGACATCTACAGAACTCTCCACCCCAAATCAACAGAATATACATTCTTTTCAGCACCACACCACACCTATTCCAAAATTGACCACATAGTTGGAAATAAAGCACTCCTCAGCAAATGTAAAAGAACAGAAATTGTAACAAACTGTCTCTCAGACCACAGTGCAATCAAACTAGAACTCAGGATTAAGAAACTCACTCAAAACCGCTCAACTACATGGAAACTGAACAACCTGCTCCTGAATGACTACTGGGTACATAACAAAATGAAGGCAAAAATAAAGATGTTATTTGAAACCAGCGTGAACAAAGACACAACATACCAGAATCTCTGGGACACATTCAAAGCAGTGTGTAGAGGGAAACTTACAGCACTAAATGCCCACAAGAGAAAGCAGTAAAGATCTAAAATTGACACCCTAACATCACAATTAAAAGAACTAGAGAAGCAAGAGCTAACACATTCAAAAGCAAGCAGAAGGCAAGAAATAACTAAGATCAGAGCAGAACTGGAGGAGATAGAGACACAAAAAACCCTTCAAAAAATCAATGAATCCAGGAGCTGGTTTTTTGAAAGGATCAACAAAATTGATAGACCACTAGCAAGACTAATAAAGAAGAAAAGAGAGAAGAATCAAATAGCCGCAATAAAAAATATAAAGGGGACATCACCACTGATCCCACAGAAATACAAACTACCGTCAGAGAATACTATAAACACCTCTACGCAAATAAACTAGAAAATCTAGAAGAAATGAATAAATTCTTTGACAAATACACCCTCCCAAGACTAAACCAGGAAGAAGTTGAATCTCTGAATAGACCGATAACAGGCTCTGAAATTGATGCAATAATTAATAGCTTACCAACCAAAAAAAGTCTAGGACCAGATGGATTCACAGCCGAATTCTACCAGAGGTACAAGGAGGAGATGGTACCATTCCTTCTGAAACTATTCCAATCAATAGGAAAAGAGGGAATCCTCCCTAACTCATTTTATGAGGCCAGCATCATGCTGATACCAAAGCCTGGCAGAGACACAACAAAAAAAGAGAATTTTAGACCAATATCCCTGATGAACATCGATGCAAAAATCCTCAATAAAATACTGGCAAACTGAATCCAGCAGCACATCAGAAAGCTTATCCACCATGATCAAGTGGGCTTCATCCCTGGGATGCAAGGCTGGTTCAACATACGCAAATCAATAAACATAATCCAGCATATAAACAGAACCAACGACAAAAACCACATGATTATCTCAATAGATGCAGAAAAAGCCTTTGACAAAATTCAACAACCCTTCATGCTAAAAACTCTCAATAAATTAGGTATTGATGGGACATATCTCAAAATAATAAGAGCTATCTATGACAAACCCACAGCAAATATCATACCGAATGGGCAAAAACTGGAAGCATTCCCTTTGAAAACTGGCACAACACAGGGATGCCCTTTCTCACCACTCCTATTCAACATAGTGTTGGAAGTTCTGGCCAGGGTAATCAGGCAGGAGAAGGAAATAAAGGGTACTCAATTAGGAAAAGAGGAAGTCACATTGTCCCTGTTTGCAGATGACATGATTGTATATCTACAAAACCCCATTGTCTCAGCCCAAAATCTCCTTAAGCTGATAGGCAACTTCAGCAAAGTCTCAGGATACAAAATCAATGTGCAAAAATCACAAGCATTCTTATACACCAATAACAGACAAACAGAGAGCCAAATCATGAGTGAACTCCCATTCACAATTGCTTCAAAGAGAATAAAATACCTAGGAATCCAACTTACAAGGGACGTGAAGGACCTCTTCAAGGAGAACTACAAACCACTGCTCAAGGAGATAAAAGAGGATACAAACAAATGGAAGAACATTCCATGCTCATGGGTAGGAAGAATCAATATCGTGAAAATGGCCATACTGCCCAAGGTAATTTATCGATTCAATGCCATCCCCATCAAGCTACCAATGACTTTCTTCACAGAATTGGAAAAAACTACTTTAAAGTTCAAATGGAACCAAAAAAGAGCCTGCATTGCCAAGTCAATCCTAAGCCAAAAGAACAAAGCTGGAGGCATCATGCTACCCGACTTCAAACTATACTACAAGGCTACAGTAATCAAAACAGCATGGTACTGGTACCAAAACAGAGATATAGACCAATGGAACAGAACAGAGCCCTCAGAAATAATGCCGCATATCTACAACTATCTGATCTTCGACAAACCTGACCAAAACAAGCAATGGGGAAAGGATTCCCTATTTAATAAATGGTACTGGGAAAACTGCCTAGCCATATGTAGAAAGCTGAAACTAGATCCCTTCCTTACACCTT
Source organism: Homo sapiens (assembly GCF_000001405.40). Lineage (NCBI taxonomy): Eukaryota > Metazoa > Chordata > Mammalia > Primates > Hominidae > Homo > Homo sapiens. Next base: position 100,637,999 of record NC_000012.12, on the reverse strand, counting down.
ATACAAAAATTAATTCAAGATGGATTAAAGACTTAAATGTTAGACTTAAAACCATAAAAGCCCTAGAAGAAAACCTAGGCAATACCATTCAGGACATAGGCATGGGCAAGGACTTCATGTCTAAAACACCAAAAGCAATGGCAACAAAAGACAAAATTGACAAATGGGATCTAATTAAACCAAAGAGCTTCTGCACAGCAAAAGAAACTACCATCAGAGTGAACAGGCAACCTACAAAATGGGAGAAAATTTTCGCAACCTACTCATCTGACAAAGGGCTAATATCCAGAAACTACAATGAACTCAAACAAATTTACAAGAAAAAAACAATCGGCCCCATCAAAAAGTGGGCAGAGGATATGAACAGGCACTTCTCAAAAGAAGACACTTATGCAGCCAAAAAACACATGAAAAAATGCTCATCATCACTGGCCATCAGAGAAATGCAAATCAAAACCACAATGAGATACCATCTCACACCAGTTAGAATGGTGATCATTAAAAAGTCAGGAAACAACAGGTGCTGGAGAGGATGTGGAGAAACAGGAACACTTTCACACTGTTGGTGGGACTGTAAACTAATCAACCATTGTGGAAGTCAGTGTGGCAATTCCTCAGGGATCTAGAACTAGAAATACCATTTGACCCAGCCATACCATTACTGGGTATATACCCAAAGGATTATAAATCATGCTGCTATAAAGACACATGCACACGTATGTTTATTGCAGCACTATTCACAATAGCAAAGACTTGGAACCAACCCAAATATCCAACAACAATAGACTGGATTAAGAAAATGTGGCACATATACACCATGGAATACTATGTAGCCATAAAAAATGAAGAGTTCATGTTCTTTGTAGGGACATGGATGAAACTGGAAACCATCATTCTCAGCAAACTATCACAAGGACAAAAAACCAAACACCGCATGTTCTCATTCATAGGTGGGAATTGAACAATGAGAACACATGGACACAGGAAGGGGAACATCATACTCCGGGGACTGTTGTGGGGTGGGGGGACGGGGGAGGGATAGCATTAGGATATATACCTAATGCTAAATGACGAGTTAATGGGTGCAGCACACCAACATGGCACATGCATACATATGTAACAAACCTGCACATTGTGCACATGTACCCTAAAACTTAAAGTATAATAATAATAAAATAAATTAAATTAAATTTAAAAAAAGTCAGGAAACAACAGGTGCTGGAGAGGATGTGGAGAAACAGGAACACTTTTACACTGTTGGTGGGACTGTAAACTAGTTCAACCATTGTGGAAGTCAGTGTGGCAATTCCTCAGGGATCCAGAACTAGAAATACCATTTGGCCCAGCCATCCCATTACTGGGTATATACCCAAAGGATTATAAATCATGCTGCTATAAAGACACATGCACATGTATGTTTATTGCAGCACTATTCACAATAGCAAAGACTCGGAACCAACCCAAATGTCCAACAACGATAGACTGGATTAAGAAAATGTGGCACATATACACCATGGAATACTATGCAGCCATAAAAAAGGATGCGTTCATGTCCTTTGTAGGGACATGGATGAAGCTGCAAAGCATCATTCTCAGCAAACTATCGCAAGGACAAAAAACCAAACACCGCATGTTCTCACTCATAGATGGGAATTGAACAATGAGAACACATGGACACAGGAAGGGGGAACATCACACACCGGGGCCTGTTGTGGGGTGGGGGGACGGGGGAGGGATAGCATTAGGAGATATACCTAATGCTAAATGACGAGTTAATGGGTGCAGCACACCAATATGGCACATGTATACATATGCAACAAATCTGCATGTTGTGTACATGTACCTTAAAACTTAAAGTATAATAAAAAAAAAGTGGATAGAGGCCCTTCCTATGGTATTGTTTAAAATTAGATGCACTCCTTATAAGAAAACAGGATACTCCCCTTATGAAATACCGTTATCATAGGCCTCCTCCCATCCTATGGGGGCTTCCAGGCACTCCCTGAGAGTTAGGTGAAATTAAATTACAGCGACAACTACAGGTTTTAGGAAAAATTACACAAACAATCTCAACTTGGGTAAATGAGAGGTGTCCCATCAGCTTATTCTCCCCAGTTCACCCTTTCTCTCCAGGTGATCACATGTGGATCAAGGACTAGAACATAGCCCCTTTGCAGCCACGGTGGAAAGGACCTCAGATTGTCATCCTGACCACCCTCAAGGCTGTAAAGGTAGAAGGAATCCCAGCCTGGATCCACCACACCTGTGTGAAACCTGCAGCCGCTGAAACCTGGGAGGCAAAACCAAGCCCGGACAACCCCTGCAAAGTGACTCTGAGGAGGACGACAAGCCCTGCTCCAGTCACACCCAGAAGCTGACTGATCTACGCACGGCCAAAGCATGAGAAGGATCATCGTGGGACTCATTTTCCTTATAATTTGGACTTGTGTAGTAAAAACTTCCACTGATTTTCCCCGCATGGAGGACTGCTCTCAGTGTATACATCAGGTTACCAAGGTAGGGCAACAAGTTAAAACAATCTTTCTGTTCTATAGTTACTATGAATGCCTAGGAACTTTATAGGGAACATGTTTATATAATGACACTCAGTACAAGGTATGTAGCCCAGGAAACGACCAGCCAGATGAGCCAGATGTGTGTTATGACCCCTCTGGGCCTCCCGTGTCCACAGTTTTTGAGAGATTAAGGACCGAAGACTGGTGGGGACTCATAAATGATACAAGTAAAGTATTAGCCACAACAGAAGAAAAAGGGGTGCCCAAACGCATAATCTTGAAATTTGATGTCTGTGCTGTCATTAATAGCAGTAAGTTAGGAAGGGGATGTGGCTCTTTTAGTTAGGATAAAGGCTATATGACCGAAAATAAGTACATTTGTCATAAATTAGGACTGTGTGGAAATGAATGTGGATACTGGTCTTGTGTCATTTAGGCCACTTAGATAAAAAAAGAAAAGGATCCAGTCCACCTTCAGAAAGGAAAAAATGGCCCTTCCTGTACTAAGGGACAATGTAACCGCTTAGAGCTAGTAATAACCAATCCCCTTGATCCTCGCTGGAAAAACGGGGAGCGTGTGACCTTAGGAATCGACGGGGCCGGACTGGATCCTTGAGTAAATATCTTAGTTCGAGGAGAAGTTTACAAACGCTCTTCTGAGCCAGTGTTTCAAACTTTCTATGATGAACTAAATGTGCCAGTACCAGAAATTCCAGGAAAAACAAGAAATTTGTTTTTGCAATTAGCCGAGCATGTAGCCCAGTCTCTCAATGTCACTTCATGTTATGTATGTGGAGGAACTGTAACGGGAGATCAATGGCCATGGGAAGCCTGAGAGTTAGTACCTACAAACCCAGTTCCTGATGCATTCCTGGCTCAAAAGAATCACCCTGATAATTTCTGGGTCCTGAAAGCCTCAATTATTGGACAATATTACATACCTAGAGAAGGAAAAGAATTCACTCACCCTGTAGGATGACTTAGTTGTCTAGGACAGAAACTGTATAATAGTACCACAAAAACAGTCACTTAGTGGAGTTCAAATCACACAGAGAGAAATCCATTTAGTAAATTCCCAAAGTTGAAAACTGTGTGGATCCACCCAGAGTCCCACCGGGACGGGACAGCCCCCACTGGATTGTACTGGGCATGTGGGCATAGAGCTTATGCCAAATTACCCGACCAGTGGGCAGGTAGTTGTGTTATTGGCACTATTAAACCATCTTTCTTCCTACTGTCCATAAAGACAGGTGAACTCCTGAGCTTCCCTGTCTATGCTTCCAGCGAAAAGAGAAGCATAGCTATAGGAAATTGGAAAGATAATGAATGGCCCCCTGAGAGAATCATACAATATTATGGGCCTGCTACTTGGACACAAGACGGTTCGTGGGGATACCGGACCCTCATTTACATGATCAACCGAATAATATGGTTAGAAGTTGTCTTAGAAATAATCACTAATTAAACCGGCAGAGCCTTGACTATTCTGGCCCAGCAAGAAACTCAGATGAGAAATACTGTCTATCAAAGTAGATTGGCTCTTGACTACTTGCTAGCAGTTGAAGGAGGAGTCTGTGGAAATTTAACCTTAATAATTGCTGTCTACACATAGATGATCAAGGGCAAGTAGTTGAAGACATAGTTAGAGATATGACAAAACTGACACATGTATGTGCCCATGCAAGTGTGGCATGGATTTGATCCTGAGGCCATGTTTGGAAAATGGTTCCCAGTGCTAGAAGGATTTAAAACCCTTATAATAGGAGTTATAATAGTAATAGGAACCTGCTTACTGCTCCCTTGTTTGCTACCTGTACTTCTTCAAATGATAAAAAGCTTCATTGCTACCTTAGTTTGCCAAAATGATTCAGCACAAGTGTACTATGTGAATCACTATCCATCTGTCTTGGAAGAAGACATGGGTAGTGAGAATGAAAGTGAGAACTCCCACTAATGAGTGAGATTCTCAAAGATGGGGAATAAAGGAGGAGACCACCCCTCAAATTGTCTTATGCCCAGTTTCTGCCTCCAAAGAAAGAAGAAGTAAAAACTAAAAGGCAGAAATGAAATCCACAAGCAGACAGCCTGGCGCCACACCCTGGGCCTGGTAGTTAAAGATCAACCCCTGACCTGTTCTGTTCCGTTCTAATTACTGGTGCATGCAGCCCCGAGTCACGTACCCACTGCTTGCTCAATCGATCATGACCCTCTCACGCGGACCCCCTTAAGAGTTGTGAGCCCTTAAAAGGAACAGGAATTGCTCACTCGGGGAGCTCAGTTGTTGGAGACGTGAGTCTTGCCGAAGCTCCTGGTCGAATAAAGCCCTTCCTTCTTTAATTTGGTATCTGAGGGGTTTTGTCTGCAGCTTGTCCTGCTACAAGATTACCTGTCTCTAGAGTTTCCTACACTTCTGAATGATTCTAATTCCATCTTCTGTGAGACTAAGTGTACATAGATTTCTGGGTTGCTACCAGATTTTTGTTATCCTTTTGGTTGCATGTATTCATAAACCAATACATTATTCAAGAAAGCTAAAGTGACTCTCTGTTCTTGCAGCCATAAGAGCTGAAGTAAACACACCAGATCTTTCCAGAACGTCTTTGGGTCTCTTGGGCTACAGGCCAGCCAGGAGGATGCAAAGGTCTGGAAGGTGTTCTGTGATTCATAGCAATGTATTTTACAGAACAAGTTTCCTCTGTCATCTGCTGGAGCAGGGGGACAAGACATAAATGTCGAATCATGGGGAGCACCTGCTCAAAGCTGTGCTCCTCTTACATAATTGAAATGGCTGTAGGGAGACCAGCCCATCACACAGGAAGCTGGTTTGAGATTTCATCTCTGTTATCACGGTTTACTTATTAAGACTGAGGTAGAGCTTAATGGAGGGAGCAGGGTGGAATCGATTCCCAGTGTCACAGGAAATATTTTAGAGAGTTAGAAAAGCATCCTTGTATCAGGATGTGAGTTAATTTTTAAACTAATGGCTTACCCAGAGAAAGCTCAGATTTCATGTTTTCATTCACTTGTTTAGGACTTGATTCTCACTATTGTATTTTCTGAGTAACAACGCTTAGCAGTAAATGACTCTTGTTCTTGAGGCTGAGATACAAATATCAGTTTTTTTTCTTTTTTAAGTTTTACAGGCTCCCAATCTGAAGCAATATGGGAAAACACAAGCTGCTCTCATGGAGGTATTTTATCCCGTGAGTAAAATATATCACAAAGAAAGAAGTGAGTGGGCTACAGTCAAAAAGAACATCACATTAAAAAAAAAAAAAAAAAGACAACCCTGGAATGAAGATTGTAATCGCTTTAACAGCAGTAATTAGGCTTATTGTGATATCCCTAGCACCTAACTTAGTGTCTGAGTAGACACTTGATATCAGAGTAGGTGCTCAGAGAGCTTGTTTGCTAAATGAGCAAATGAATGATGTCTCACTGCATTGTGGCCAAGGAGACTGCTTTAGAAATAATCATAAATACATATAATAAAAGGAATTTACTGTGCTAGACTCAGTACATCGAGGACCTGTTGAAGGGGCTAGCACCTGGGATGATTACCATCACGCCCTGAGATGACTATCTCGATTATTTTGACTTCATTCTGCTGCTGAGAGATTGATTTTAAAGAAATAAAACTAACAGACTGAGTTTCCTCCTCTGTTCCCTGTGAGGATTAACTTGGGTGGCGGCAGGACACTTGCTAGTCTATGTCAGTGTTACGCTCCGAGTAGCCTCTCACAACCCTGAAAATAAATATTTTAAAACAAAAAAAAAAACCTAGACAATAAATTGGGACGTTTCCAGCATCTTTCTTCTGTAAAAATACTACAATCTCTAGATGTTAACGCAACAAAAGAAATCCGTAACTTTAAGGCCTCTCATAACTGCCCTCTTTTCCCCTCCCTCCTCTCCTCTCTAAAACAGGTTATGTCTGCAGGCTTCTTCAAACTCCACCACACCATTTTCTCAGGAAAAATCCCTGCACTGTAGGTGGGTCAACAAAATCAAGCTAGAGGTTCTCTTTACACATATTGATGGCTTATTTCTATCAGTAAAAGGATATTTCCTTCCCTCCTTCCTTTCTTCCACAAACATCTGGGCACTGTGCTAAATACAAGGGGTGCAACTGTGAACAAGTGAGACAGAGTTCTCATTCTAGGTTTGGTGAGAGATTTAGATAAGTAAATGGGAAATTACAGTGTTAGATGCAATGCAATGATCAAAAAAATGTAAGGTTGGAGGGTCTGGAGGCTTCTGAGTAAATGATATTTAAGCTGAGACACGAAGGGTAACTGTGTGCCAGGTGAAGAGTTGGGATGGGGGAAAATAATGGGTAAAGTCAAAGGAACAATGCCTGGCACCTATCTGCTGGTATCGCCTCTTAGGATTCCAAACTATTCTCCCTTAACTTCCCCATTGAGCCTCACAGATTTCAAAGGCTATAATTCTCAGCAGGGTTGATTTTTTTTTCCCCCTTACCTGTAAGGAGTCCTGGGGCTTCATGCACTCACACTTCAAAAGATGCTTTTTCTGATGCTTAGGGTAAACGGAAACACTGCAAATTGCTGTTTGAAGACACTTGCTTCATTTAATTTCAGTGCTTGGGATTAAAATAAAAATTTTAAATGTCACATTTCACTCCCCTTCCAAAACACACCACAGGTTAGCCTATTCTTTAACCATTCATTGTTGGATTCCGGCATGTCTAGCATGGTGCAATGAATTATTAAAGGGATCTACATAATACAACTTCGTATCACATCTTCAAGGCTATGTGAAAGAAATTTACATTTTTTTCTCTTTTGGGAGAAGCATATGAAACCTGCTCACTCAGAAGACAATCACTTATTTTTAAATGTTTTTTTTTTTTAAAGGAGGTTCTAGGGTTACTTACAGTAACTTTGATCAATGTCTATTTCTATTGCACTGTCAGAAAATTTAATTGCCAATACTGCATAAGCATTTTGTGCTAGATTTAACTTTTTTCTCATTCATTTATCCACCAAATATTTACAGAGCACCTTTATTGTATTGTCCTGGGACTGAATGCAATAATTCATTGTTCCAAGAACAAAGCTCTGTACACAGTGATTTATAAATATTAAACTAGAAAATACAAGAATATGCTAATCTCTAAATCTTCAAGTTTATAATATCTAATAAAGTATAATTCAAAAACAAGATTTTTCTAAGAAATAAAGAAAAAGCAAGAGGTGATATTCCAGGTGTTTTTTTAAAGATGCTACGTAAGTCCTATTTCTGGATATTAACGTGGAGTACAACTCAACACTTTGTGGAAAAGTATAAAAAGCTTTAAAAAATCATCCTTTAAATAAAATTCAATTAATCTAACCCAGTAGGTATTTTTATATTGACTAACAACTTTCTTGAGCCTTAGTTTCCTCATCTGTAAAAAAGGGAGTTCATTCATTTATTAACAAATAGTTACTGAACGCCTACCAAGTGCCAGGGACTGGTTTGGGCTTTGGGAGCAGTGGTAAACAAAACAGATGTAATTCTTACCTTCCTGGTGCTTACATTCTAATGATAATACCCATCTCATGGAACTGTTGGAAAAATTGCATGTTATGTAATTACAAGTATTTTGTGACTTGCAAAGTGCTATATAAACCCAAGGTTCTTGAATATGATTGTCTTATTCCTCTATCTCCCAGAATAAAAATCAGTAGGTATTAATAAATGATGGTTTGAGTAGATACTAGAGTTTTAACACTGCCACATTTCACTACTAGAAGTCAACAGTCATACACAACTCTAATTCATTCTATTCTATTTGTTCATTCCAATATAATTTGTGAAATAATTTACCTAAAGTAATTTAAGAAAATATTAAATAAATGTATCATATGAAACCCTAAAAGACTACCCACAAGAGGTTAAATATAATAGATAACATTTATTGAGCCCATATACCATGTAACAAGTACTGTGCTATTCCTGGCCGAATGCAGAAGAAATATTACATAATAATGTTTTATCACTGCAGTCTCTCAAGACAAACCACTTCATCACATGTACTAATTTTAAGATAAGTCATTGTCTACAATGTTTTTAATGACTGTTACTTTATGGCTATACCAATATTAATATTCTATAATTAACATCCTTATAACTAAATCTTTGCATGTATTATTTCCTCAAGTCTTACTGTGTTTTTCTACAAGAACAAAACAGTGTTAAGAAAACAGCTTAAATTTAATAAAATGTGTGCCTTTATATTTTCAGACTTACTGGCACATTTTAAATATTTTCCCGGGCCGGGCACAGTGGCTCACGCCTGTAATCCTAGCACTTTGGGAGGCCAAGATGGGTGGATTGCTTGAGCTCAGGAGTTCGAGACCAGCCTGGGCAACATGGTGAAACCTCGTCTCTACTAAAATACAAAAAATTAGCTGGGCGTGATGGCACACGCATGTAATCCCAGCTACTAGGGAGGCTGAGACAGGAGAATCACTTGAACCTGGAAGGCAGAGGTTGCAGTGGGCCGAGATCGTGTCATTGCACTCCAGCCTGGGTGACAGAGCGAGACTCCGTCTCAATAAATAAATAAATAAATATTTTCCCAATGTTACCCAAAATTTCATAAAATGAATTTTAGGTTATAAAATTTTACATTCACAAAGGGTTAGGAAAATACAATTAAAATTTTGTCTACGTTGTTTTTGTTTCCTTTTTTGGAAATGTCACAGGAAATATATATGGAATTAACTGCTTTTTATAATTGCTCTGGTCATGAATATAGGAAAAAGATGAGTATGCAAGAATATACTAACTGTATCAAAGTGTGAAATTAAAACAGGATTACAGGAATTGAAAATTGGAAATTCCTGATATCAGTCATCTTTGGTGAACACAATGCTTGTATGACCTATAGAATTCTACCTTGATAACCAACAAATTATCTCTATTATTTCAAACATTATTAAATGTGAGTCTGGTCTTTCTGGAAAAACATCCAGCATATACAGCAACTTGAGGAACAAATACTGTTGATTAATGACAAGGCCTTATAATCTCCTGGGTGCAGTGAAATAAATTCCACAAATATAAAGAAAGCATTTTAAACAGCACTCTTCTCAAATTATGAATTCTTCCTATATGCAATTTCCAACATGAATTAAGTGATCAGACTGTATTCAGAATACACCAAAAAAGCAAACTGAGACCTTGGTATATATGTTTAAATTTTAATACTCAAGAAAACAAACCTAAGTTAAAATTGGATACAAATACTGCTGGCATAAGAAAATATACACAAATTTGGATTCAAATGGGGTTATTATGTGAACCTGGATGTAAGACTACATCCTAACAACCTGTTGTTGAAGCCTTTTAATAAAGTAACAGATTTTAAATCAGATAGATATAAAAAGACTGAAGAAAAACAGTAACTTTTCCTTAAGTTCTCTTATCCATAAAGAATGACAAACTCCATATGGACAGTAAAGTTAGAGGTCATCCAATTTACCAAGGCATTTTGAACACATAAACCTTAAATACCTACTTTAAGCCCAAACAAGGTAAAAATAATCGGCATTTCATTGTGCTCCGAAGTTTAATTTTACATATCATGTTAACAAATTATAGAAAATAAAATAAAAGCATTTTCCATTTTTTTGAAAGTACACATCATTACTTCTCCCAGGTACTTCAGTAATTTAAGCTTAATACTCGTTTTATTAAACATTAAACACAAAAAAGAATTTACAAAATCTTGCACTGTTATTAAGAAGAGATGGAAAGTTCTCCCAACTTCAGCAATGTTAAGAGCTGTTTTTAAATTGTGAAAATGAATAGAAACACTAGCTCTTTAGGAGAATTTCAAAATACATCTGAAGAAACTAATTGTCTTTCGGATATTGTTTATTCAAACAAAACTTTTCGCTGGGTGTGATGGCTCATGCCTGTAATCCCAGCGCTTTGGGAGGCTGAGGCAGGTGGATCACCTGAGGTCAGGAGTTTGAGATCAGCCTGGCCGACATGGTGAAACCCCCATCTCTACTGAAAATACAAAAAAATTAGCTGGGCCTGGTGGTGGATGCCTGTAATCCCAACCACTCAGGAGGCTGAGGCAGCAGAATCACTTGAACCCAGGAGGCAGAGGTTGCAATGAGCTGAGATTGTGCCACTGCACTCCAGTCTGGGCAACAAGAGTGAAACTCCGTCTCAAAAAAGGAAAAAAACAAAACAAAACAAAACAACATTAAAAAAACACTTTTATTTTGGAAGGGTAAGCTATATATAAATAAAAATTCATTCAACATGAATGTAATTGGAGAAATTCCCTACTGCTGAAAAATAGTAATGTATAAACTGACTTCCAATTATTCAAATAAACCTTTTTCTTTTCTTTTTCTTTTTTTTTTTTTTTGAGACAGAGTCTCACTCTGTTGCCCAGGCTGGAGTGCAGTGGCGCAATCTTGGCTCACTGCAACCTCTGCCTCCCGGGTTCAAGCGATCCTCCTGCCTCAGCCTCCTGAGTAGCTGAGATTATAGGCATGTGCCACCATGCCCGGCTAATTTTGTATTTTTAGTAGAGAAGAGGTTTCACCATGTTGGTCAGGCTGATTTCGAACTCCTGACTTCGTGATCTGCCCAACTTGGCTTCCCAAAATGCTGGGATTGCCTGGCCTCAAATAAACAATTCTTTGGCTAATTCTGGAATTTGTGTCAGATGCCTGTGGGATACTTTTATTCCTGATCACATTTAACACAAAACTTAGTGTTTATATACTGTAAACAACATAAATTACATATTGTAAAATCTACTAGGATTCATAAATTGCCTACAATTCCATTTACTTTTTGCTTTCTTTTAAGTTCTAAAAGTTACTGATAAAGAAGTGTTACTTGGTTTTATAAGGGAATACTTGATGATAAAATTCTTCCTGTCTGAAAAGATGCACTAAATATTTCTGATCACTAAAAAGTAAAGCTTCTATCACCTCTTGAACATTGACTTCACTTTCCAAAGATGTATATATCATCTCTCTCAATGCCCAAGTCAATAGTCGAGTTAAACCAAGTATTTGGTGACTGTCTCTTTAAAGAAGAGAAGCATCACTTCTTCCAAAAACTAGCTTGCACACATCTTTGATTTTATCTGTACTCTTCAGGCAAAAGGTCATTTATCTTCATAGAAAGTTTTCTTGCTTTGTAATCTATAGAACACTAGTCGCCAGCTTAAAATGCTTATTCTATGATTGTACATTTGTGTAAACTATTATTTTTTTCTTCAGAAAACACATTTTAGTTTAAAACAGAGAAACACAAACCTGAATACTGAATAACCTAAGATAATTGGCAATACTGTGAAGTTTTAAAAGCACTCTTAAAACTTCTCAAAGTTCATTAATAATTTTTAAAGTCACCATCCCTTAAAAATAAATTATTTACAAGTATCACCTTAGGTTGATGGAGTTTATGCAGTCATTACATGATCAGGATATGCTTGAGAGACTGTGCCTACAGTGCAGAAAACCTTGAACATATCCTGTCTACTTGCCATTGGAAAACTGAAGGCAGCATAACTTTATTAAAGAAAAGTAACCTAATTGGAAGAAATTAATTAAAATTGGTATTGTGCTATCTAGAGAAAAATAATTTCATGATAGAATTTTTACATAGCATAACTCTAAAATTATTTTAACATCATCTTAATTTTAAAGTTGTTAAAACATAATTCTGATGTTTCACATTATTTTAATGTAAAATGTCAGGTCTGCACTCACAGGAAATTACATTATAAAAAATTATTTTTAATATGCTAAAAGCTACTAAATCAGCTTCCCCTGTCACATTGCACAACATGTGAAACATAAGGTGTCTACGTTTTTATAGATAATATAAAAAATTGTTTACAAAATTTGTTTATATTTCAGTAAGTTAATTTGTTGGATTTTTTTTAACCAAAAATATTGGTGACAAAATATTACCAATGTAAATATAAGCCACATGAAACAATCAGTTCCTTCCAATTTGGAAAGCTTAAAAAAATAAATAATAAGAATTCTACCTAACACAGAATAATGCCAAGCTAGTCAGCAGCAGCCATGACTTAGCACTGTTGGATCAGGCAATCCTGATCAGAAAATTAAATTAGGTGCCTTTTGTAGGACAAGTGCCAAACTGTTGCTTTTTTTTTTTTAACCAAAATGCAATTAACTAATAGTAAGAGCACCACCGTTGATATTAGCAGGTATATGAACTCCATATTTAATACATATTCAAAAATAGAGCAACTATTGTTAAAATTCTTGTAGTGTTAAATAACTTTTACATTTCCTGCAAAAGGCAGATGTTAACAAAGATGCTATAGACTGAAAATCATATACATGTCTATTATTAATAAAAACCTTGCAGTGATTTTACAACTGTTTGCTTCAGAAGGGCTCTTTCCAGTGAATTCAGATATGTGAATTCTGATGAACCCTTTCCTCATCCCAGCCTCCATCCTCACTATCCTTAGTGTCTGCACCTATTTAGACAGACACAAATAGGAGAAACTTTTAAGATGTGAAGCTAACACATTCATTCTTCCTTTTCTCTTTTTTTATAATGAGTATGTATTTATTTTCTAGGTTTCTTACTTCCAGTCATGACAAAATAATGGTCATCATCTTCCTTTTTCTTTGCAGTAGGTTTTTTATCTCCACTATCTGCATCCTTAACAGATGAGGGTGGTTTCCTGATTGAAGCTGGGGTTTTGCCACTTCTGGGAGGCCCTTTAGTTGAATGCTGGCTCTTAGCGACAGTCTGTGCTGACTTCGGTGCAGTTTGTGTTTTGGTAGAAGACTGGGGTAGGCTCACGATGGACAGTGGGGTACGGCCAGGAGACTTCAAGGAGCTGGGTCCTGTCTTCTGAAATGCACTTTTATTCTGAGGCTGCTTTTTGGTAGCTGAAACTATATTCTTATCTTTTGATTTCTGTGTGGCTTTTACAGGAGAAACTGAGGACACAGAAACTGGCTGATTTAAATTCAAGGCCGATTTAAGTTTCTGTGCTGGGACTGGCTTTGCTTGTGGGGCTCCATCGGATGGTTGAGACTGTGTTCCTAGACCCGTGGCTATGGTTTTGGAACTGGTTTTTGTCATTTTTGCAGAGGACTGGAAAGAAGGTTTAGGTCTTACAGGTATATTTGCTTTAGGCAGCTTGGGACATTTTGAGGATGAATTTGAATGTGCAGCTAAGTGAGATACTGCATTATCTCTGGAAGAAATATGATTATGTTTCAAATACTTAGGTTGAGTTTTTCCTGAACACTTATTTGGCAAAAGTGTGGACTCGGGCAGATCTGCTGAATTCTGGGCTGGAATAACCTTGGCCTTGGGGGTATTGGGGGATGAAATACATTTTCTCGGTGACTCAGATATACAAGGTGCAGTTCTTGGTAAAGCTGGTGAAGAAGTGTTTTTACCTACTGGATTTAATGAAGCAAGTGAAGATGATGCATTGTTTGAAGGAGCCTGCGGTTTCTTCGTTATGCCTTTTGAAGACTTGAGCTTGGGATGAGAAGATGCTGCTGGAGAATTTGGCAATTTAGAACGGACTGACATAGAGCCCAGATTACCTCCTTTCAGTGAAGATGCTGGCACCAATGCACCTGGTGGACGTCCCTGTTTTTCTTTGCTTTTTGGAATACTAACTGGCACGCTGGGTTTTGAATTTTGTTTCTGAAACATGTTAACTGCTGACAAAGGATTCATTTCAGGAGGCTGAGGTGTTCTGGCAGGCGAATCAGGTACACTTTCATTAGAAACTCCTTTTTGAAATGCTAAAATTTTTTGTTCTAATGTGGCAAACTGTAATATTCGACAGGGGTCATATTTAAGCAAAAATCCTTGAAGAGTATCCCAGCCTCCACCAACGCGAACCATGACATGTTTTCCATGAAGCATCTGCCCCCAAAGGAAAACAAAAAGTAAAGCTGTAATACTGTGAGGTTTATAGTTACAATTCATTAGCAGTTACAATATGTGATGTCTGTGATCTATAAAATTCAGAGCATTTGCCAACAGCCTCACTACAAATTGACAGTTTGTTTCTTGTATTATTAATATAATAAATTTAACTCACATTGAATTATGCAACTAATGATACAAAATCTTCCAATTTGTAAGGAAGGTATTTACATATAACTTGCATCCTAAAAATAAGACATCCTGGCTCTGCCAATATATCTCAAGTTGGGTTTTAGGGCCCTGTCCATTCAGTAAGCAAATCTGCACAACTGTATGAGATTATCCACAAATTTTAACTCTAAGTCCTATGCTCTGTGCACTACTACATCATACTGCCTTAAAACAGAAAGCTAATTAAAAGAAAATGCATGCAAATGTTTCTGTATGAGCTAGGTGGGGCTGAGGAGGTAATAATATGTGAAATAGAAGAAAATATGGATGGTGAAATAATATTTTTAAATACTTTTATATTATTTTCCTAAATTGGAAATAAGACAGCTTCTGTATGAGAAGTGGAAAGAATGATGAACAGGTGAAATTTCAATCTCCTTACCAACAAAAGGAACAATTAATCAACTGTAGATGGGACAGAGGAAGGAAATGAACATATATATCAGCATACTGGTATACATACTGATTCTGTGTCAATGAGAAAAATATTTTCTGTTTAATGCCCAAGGCTTGTATTATTATAAACTCTACACTTCTTTCTTTTCTTTTTTTTTTTTTTTTTTTTTTTTTTTTTTTTTACTATGGATACTCAATCTTATTAGATGTTTTGGTTTTTCTTCTTATGATGGAAAATTATTCCTTTTTCTAAGAAAATTTGAGAAATATGTTCCTTGAGGTATGCAAGGATTTTTCCCCATTATACTCACTGCCTAAATAATCTTAGCTATCCTGAAGTTAGTTGTTTGCTGTGATGAGTGTTTACCTAAACTCATTATATACTCATGAAAGAAATTACTCCATTTTCCCTGTACAGTGAAATCCTTCCATTAATAGCATCTTTTCCAATGTTTTTAAAAGTAAAAGGAGAGCAAAAGGTTAGTAAAGCAATAAATCCAATTTCAAAACAGTATTTATGTGTAAATAAAGTGTAAATAATGGACTTACTCTTATAAAGAGTATTTTATCCCCTAGTCGGTACCGTCCTTCAGATAAATACTCAATAGAAAATCGATGAGAACAACTACAAGGAGGGTCCTCAGCAATATGTTTAACCTAAGATGACGAACAAATAAAATTTAGTGCTTGTCACAAAAAGCATTTTGTTTAAAGTGTAATATTATTTGATAGCTAAGGAAAACCAAACTCAAAGATAAAAATTTCAGGTTCAATAATTTAATCGCTTCTCCTGTGCTTATTAACAAATATTGAGATTAGACATTGCTAATCTAACATAAAAAAGCCACAGTCTTCCCAAAATGACTTTGTGGTAAAATTCTTATTTTCCCCAATTTTACCAAAGAGAGGTTAAACTTGCCTGAGATCATACAGCTAGTAAGTAGCAGAGCCAGGTTTCAGATCCAAACAGCCTAGCTGGTATCTCTCTGTCTGTCTCTCTCTCAGTGCCTCTCTCTCTCTCTTTCTCTCTCTCTCTCTCTCTCTCTCTCCCCCCCCCACCCTCCCTCCCCACCACCCTTCATCTTCGAACATATAACACAGTGAGGTCAATTAACACATTTGTTGAGTTTTAGGAAACATATGAGTTCGTTATTAAGCTTGAATTTATTTTAAGCCCTGAGTTAATAATACATGTCAAATCAGAGACAGGCCAGTCAGTAAAGGCTAAGTAGGAATTTTCACTTGTCCCTTAAAAGTGTACTAAACTAATATTTTGGGGGAAATATCTAGATTTGATCAAATTTATTATTAAAATTGGCAGAAACATATTTACATCTATTCTCTCAAGATTGGATAAAATTCTTAAAATTTTCAATTCAAGATGCATTTCTCTAAAAATGCTCTGTTTCAGTAGCCTGCTAAGGAAGTAGGAGTTGGCATGGGGGAACCCTACTTCAACCAGTTAAGAAGCTTATAGAATTTTCTATTATTATAAATATTTTTTAATGGTAGAACTGCAGTAAATATAAAAACAAATTTAAGAATTCTATATTTAAAACATGGAAATGGAAATATATTAAGTAAAGATATTTGTTGAAATACCTATGACTGAAAAAAGTCACACATCAGCCACTGTGGAAAATATTTGGCTTTTCCTAAAATTACATTTTTGAAAAAGGAAGGTCATGAATGTTTTTCTCAATTATTGCCACACAAAATTTATCAAAACGAATTCATATAACTAAACTTAGGCATGATATTAAAGAGAGTCTCTTTAGATAGGCCTAATTTAGCTGAGCACCAATAGAAATTTATATGATTGTCTTAAATATCTACCTAAATCAAATGAACACCTGTGGATTCACTAGGGCCTGAAAGGAAAGGTCCAGAACTTATTTTCCTATATCATTTATTTAACAAAATAACGTGCGTATAAACAAATAGAACTGATTTTCATAAGTCACCCAATCAAGTTTATCTTGTTCACATGCACACGTGCACATCTGCATCTATGTTGATACAAACATACACACCATGTGCATAAAATGGTGAAAAATAAACTGAACTCTGGGAAAGGGCTTACAGTTATTAGAACCATGCTGATACATTAGTTAACCAAAGTAATCTGAAAGGAGATATATCTTTTAGTCACCACTTTCTGTCTGTAAAAATTTCCTAAGTATATAGAATTGCTGTTGTATATTTTGTAACAGGACCCTAAATCGTGAATCAGAAAATAATTGTTCCTTATTTTCCAAGATATCTGTAGATCACATATTCACAGGTAGACAATGAATGTATTCATATAGCACACATATATTTAGAGAAATGTTTCTTTTTAGTTTTCATAACAAGAATGCAGATATAACAAGTCGTATCTTTTCCTTATTTAAGATACCCGAATCTCACTTATATTGAGCAGTACAAATCAGCACTAACCCACAATCAGAACAAGGCATGAGCCTAAAAGAAATAAGAGCTGTAGGTAAGAAATGATTTCTTCTGATTTTATTACATAATTTACATTACAATACTGAAGGAAATAGCTAAGGAAATAAAAATAATCTACAAAGGTACTATATTACTATTATTTTCATTCTCATTTCTATACAGTTTGTCTATATGTACATATTTTACACAAAATAAACATTTTTCTTGTTGCTACATTATTCTTCACAATGATCACAATGATTATCCTGTTAAGATTATGAATCCTAATTTGCCAAACCGTTGCCCTATTTGAGGGTATTTACTTTTTCACCATTCTAAGTCCTAATGTAATAAACACTTTCATTTATGCCACTTTTTCCCTCTTCAACTACAATAAAAATGAAAAAGTAATATTTTTGTAGCTCTTAATATTTGTCCATTTCTTTTTCAAAAGTTTACATCATTTTCCATTGCCAACAGTAAACACTAAGTACAGTTTGCTAGAATTTAAAAGCACCAGGTTTAATAGTTTTAAAAAATCTTGCTAGTGGGGCAAATGGTATTTCATAGCTGTTTTAATCTGATTTCCTTGATTATCAGCAAGTTTCAACACTGCACTTTCTTCTTGTGTGAACACAGACCTTGCCCATTTACTTACTGCAAGTTTTTCTTATCAAATTGTGTAAGGTCTTTATATAATAGGGAAATGAACACACTGTATTTTCCACTTGATAAAAATATTGTTCCAATGTTTCCTTTTCATTTATCATTCTTTAAGGTTATATGAGATTTAAATTTTATTTTCTACCTACTGCATTCTTTCTGCTTCCCATATTGATATTGACAATCATTATATATATATACACACACACACATGAATAGCATAATGTAGGTAGATATTTTGGCCAGATAAAAGAGTTATTCATTCTGACATGTTCTTAATCTGTCTTGCAAGGTTATCTGATAGTTTTACTATAGACTTTTATTACATTAAACAAAACAATCAAAGCAATACTTTTAAAATGTTTATTAGTAATGATTTATTCATTATTTCTTAATTTTGTATATTTAACCCCTTTATAAAATGCTACAGTCCAAACAACAGTCTAAGCAGAAAATGTTCATGCTCAGTTCACCTTCATTGTTCACATTGTAGTCACTGCAGAAGACCCACAACCCAAGGAAGAGCAATTCTATTAACTTCTACCTAATGAACAGATAAAGTTAAGAAGACTGTCCAGTTGTAACCTATCATCTAACAAGTTTGGATATATTCTGGAGGAGAGAATGCTCAAAAAAAAAAACCCATCAATCTTCCCTCACAACTTTTCCTCCTCCTGTATTCTGCAAGGATCAATATACCATCTACTTAGAGAAACCTTGGAAATCACCCTAGATTCTCTCTCACACACAAACACTCACTAATTCCTGTCAATTCTCCTAACAATTCTTCCTAAATATGTCTTATATTTGTTCCTGTTGCTCCATCCCCATTACTGCTGCTCAAGTTCAAGCTCTCATCTTATGCCTGGATTATTACCACAAAACCAATATAACCTCTACAAGACCATGAGAATATTCCTTATAATTTGCAAATCAGATTACAATACTACCAGACTGAAAAAAGAATCAATGAATTCTTGTGGCCTATAGTTCTCTTCATGATGAGTTCCAATCTGTTTGCCCCACCACTCCTCAACTACACATTTATTCCTCATCATACACAAGCAATAACAAATCACCTTTAAAATATAATGCCCTGAATTCATCAGAGAATGGAGAATAGTACCGGTTTATATTCTGAATAAGAAACACTTGCTTTTAAAAATAGCATCACCTGTAGCACACTAGAAGTGCTTAAAACTATGAGACTTCAAGGTATCATGGTCAAAAGAAAGTGTGGCAACTACTTACAGCTTCATGTAGCTCTTCATGCCGACAGCATGATTTTGGAATGCTGATGGAATCTTCAGGCCCAGAAGTATTAAGCAAAGTCTCTTCTAACTCAATTTCTTTCTCAAGTTTTACTAACACTGGTGGCTCAACCCCGTATCTGAAAACCAACCAGGAGATCTGATCATTCAAGCAAAGTTGACCCAGTACTTGCCTGCATATCAAGATAGATTTTCTTTCTGAAGTAAAGTCTATATGATCCTCTTCTACCAATTGTTTCACTGGGATATTTGAAAATGCTTTTTAATGTCTCACAGATTGTAAAATATCTATATTACAGTCCTCACATCATAGCACATATTTGGGTTGCAGGATGCTCCCAATATTCTACCTGGGATCCTGAAAGGTGGCTTTCGAATCAGCTGCTGAGTAAAGATAGAACTGAAGTAGGTATGGGGGACACCACTCCTTGCCTTCTGCCAGATCCTCTCTGTGTTCAGAGGACTTGCTTTGACTTGAACTGCCTTAGACTGCATGCTCTTACCCTATCCTTAATCTAAAAAATTTAAGTAACCACTCCCATAGTTTAACAGTAAAAGAAGACAAGCTATATTGAGAACTCGGATGTTTACATATGCTCATGCAAACAGAATGAAGTTGATAAAGAAACAAAAAGATAAAACAGGAAAATAGTTCATTTAAAGCATTTTTTTATTTATAGAAAATAGTGTTCTAAACTAAAATTCAGTAGATTTAAAATGTTTATAACATTGAAATTCTGAAATATTGTGGAATACATACCTTGACACAATTCGACCAATTTCAAGAAGACAAAGATACACCTGTCTTGGATCTTTGTGCAAAACTGTGGAAAATAAAACCACTTATTTTATACAGCAAAATTAAGTATGGAAACATATTTCTGGCATGGAAGAAGAGAGTTAAATAAAAAAGAATAATGAAGACAGCAGGTTTACTTGTTTAGAAAAAATGAAGAAAAGACACTTTTATTTTTTCTACTTATTATCTTCAACAAATTAGTTTAAAAAAAACAGCTAATAAGAACAGAATGAAAAATTACCATGGACCTTTATTTGCACAGCATTTGAAGTCTAAAAAATTGAGGGCTTAGTAACATTGCTTATGTTTCAGATCTTTCAACAAGAGATACCATTAAAAGATATATAGTACCGCAATTTTATTTTAAGCTATCTTTAGCATTGAATTATGTGTTAATACCTTTCTCAAACTCTTACAAAGAGGAGAAAGTACTTTCTAACCCATTCTAGGATGACAGCATTACCCTGATATCAAAGGTAGCCAAATGAAGATATCATAAGAAAACTAAAACCCAATATGTCTTATGAATATAGATACAAAAATCCTCAATGAAATACTGGCAAACCAAATCTGGCAGCATATAGAAGGATTATATACCATGCAAGTGGCATTTATGCCAGAAATAGTTCAATATAAGAAAATCAACCCAATGCAATATACTATTAGCAGAATAAAGGAAAAAAACCCAATTATCTCAAGAGACAAAGAAGTATTTCACAAAATCCAACCATTTCATGATTAAAAAAAAAAAAAGACTGAACAAACTAGGAAGAAAAAAGAAAGTTTCTCAATCTGATAAAAGGGCATCTAGGAAAAACCCACAACCATTATCATTCTTAAAGGTAAAAGACTGCAAGTCTCCCCCTCAAGACCAGGAAAAGACAAGGATGTCCACTCTTATTATTTCTATTCAGCATTGTATTGGAGGATGTAGCCATGGCATTTATGCAAGAAAAATAAATAAATCATATATAGACTAGAAAGGAAGAAGGAAAACTACCTCTATTAACAGATAACATAGGCCAGACATGGTGGCTCACACCTATAATCCTAGCACTTTGGGAGACTGAGGCGGGAAGATCGCTTGAGGCTAGGAGTTTGAGACCAGCCTGGGCAACAAAGTGAGACCCTGTTTCTACAGTTTTTTTGTTTGTTTGTTTTTTTAATTAGCTAGGCATGGTGGTGCACACTTGTAATCCCAGATACTCAAGAGGCTGAGGCAGGAGGATGAACTGAATCCATGAGTTCAAGACTACAGTGAGCTATTATCGTGCCATTATACTCCAGTCCTGGGTGACAGAGTGAGACCCTGTCTCAAAAAACAAAGCAACAAAAACAAAAACAAAAAAACAAAAAACAGGTAACATAATCCTATGTGTAGAAGAAAACCCTGAAGAATCTACAAAATAACTGTTAGAGCTAATAAGCAAGTTCAAAGTTGTGGGAGATAACATCAATACACAAAAATTAGTTGCATACACTAGAAATGAACAGTCTGAAAATGAAACGAAAATAATTACACTTACAATGGCTTCAAAAAGAAAAAGTACTTAGAAGTAAACCTAATCACAGAATTGTAATACTTGTACACTGAAAACTATAAAACACTGTTGAATGAAATTTTAAAAGATTATAAATAAAGACATCTCATGTTCATGGATTGGAAGACAACTTGTTAAGATAGCAACATTCCCCCAACTGACCTACAGATTCAGTGTAATCCTTATCAAAATTACAACACCCCTTTTTTTTTCCAGAAATGGAAAAGCTGATGATCAAATTAGTATGGGATTCCAAAGGGCACAGAAAAGCCTAACCAATCTAGAAAAAGAACAAATTTGGAGACCCACACCTCCCAATTTCAAAACTTACTATAAGCTACAGTAATCAAGACAGTGTATCACTGGCATAGGGATAGATGTACAGACCAATGGAATGGAAATGAGTGTCCAGAAATAAACCCATACATTTATGTACAATTAATTTCAACAAGATGCTAAGACAATTCAATAAGGAGAGAACAGGCTTTTCAACAAATGGTGTTGGCACAACTGGACATCCACATGCAAAAGAATGAATTTGAACCCCTACCTCCCACCATATACAAAAATTAACTTAAAATAGATCAATGACCTAAAAGTAAGAGGCACAAACTGTAACATTTATAGAAAAAAATGTTAAAAATATATATGACTTTAATTAGGCAATGGATTTTTAAATGACCAAAAGTATGGACAAGCAAAAGAAAAATAGATAAATTAAATGTCACCAAAATTTAAAACTTTCGTATATCAAAGGACACTATCAAGAAAGTAAAAAAATAACCCAAAGGCTAGGAGAAAATATTTGCAAATCTTATCTAATATGGCCTAGTATCTAGAATATATAAAGAATTCTTGCAAGTTGACAAAAAGGGTAAATGACCCAATTTTTAAAATAGGCAAAGGATTTGAATAGATAGTCTCCAAAGAAGTTATACAAGTGGTTAACAAGTATATAAAAAGATGTTCAATATCCTTAGGGAAACGCGAATCAAAACCACAACAAAATACTACTTCACACCCACTAGGATGGTTATAATAAAAACAAAAACAGGCAAATAAGTATTGACAAAGATGTGGAGAAATTGGAACATTGGGCACTGCTGGCAGAAATGTAAAATGGTGCAGCCACTTTGAAAACAGCTCCTCAAAAAGATAAACAGAATTATTACCATATGACCTAGAAATTCCACTCTTAGGTATATATCTGAGAGAATTAAGAAATATGTTTACTTCAAAATTTGTACACAAATGTTCAGAGCAACATTATTCATAATAGCCAGAGTGGAAACAATCCAAATGCCCACTAGCTGATGAATGGCTTAAAAAAATATGGCATATCTATACGATGGAATATTAGTCTACCATAAAAAGGAATTAAGTACTGTTACATGCTACAACATAAATGAACCACTGTGCTAACTAAAAGAAACAGACACAAAATGCCACATATTGTATGATTCCATTTATATGAAACATCCAGAATATGCAAATCCATAGAGACAGAGAACAGAGTTTGCCTTGGCATGGGGTAGGAGAATAACTGGGACTAATTGCTAATAGGTACAGATTTTCCAGAAATGTTCTGAAATTAGATAGTAGTAATGATTGTACAACATAGTGAATATACTAAAAACCACTGAAATGTACATTTTAAAATTGTGAATTTTAGATTATGTACAGCATATCTCAATTTTTATGCTACTACAAAAGAAACCTAATACACTTAAAAATGGTTACATGGTTAAGATAGTAATTTTTTTTTTTTTATGAGTCTCACTCTTTCACCCAGTCTGGAGTGTAGCGACGTGATCCTGGCTCACTGCAACCTCTGCCTCCCAGGTTCAAGTAATTCTCCTGCCTCAGCCTCCTGAGTACCTGGGACTACAGGCGTGCACCACCATGCCCAGCTAATTTTTGTATTTTTGTAGAGACGGGGTTTCGCCATGTTGCCCAAGCTGGTCTCAAACTCCTGACCTCAGGTGATCCACCTGCCTCAGCCTCCCAAAGTGCTGGGATTACAGGTGTGAGCCAATGCGCCCAGCCTAAGATAGTAAATTTTACGTGCATTTTAATACAATTTTTAAAATAAAAATAAATATAAAAGGAAATGCAATATAAAGGTAAACAGAGATCCTTAAAACAATTTTTAAAAAGGCCTGATCATAGAACACATGCTAAATGCAATGATATAGTAGTTGTGGATCATCTCCTTTTCTGTTGCAGTCCTTAAAGTTAGAAACTCTAGGAAACTTCTGAATTCTAACCTAATCATGTGCAATATGTGCATGAATTGCATGTGCCCTGATTCCCTCAATAGAAATAGTAATTGTTGGCCTGGCGTGGTGGCTCATGCCTGTAATCCCAGCACTTTGGGAGGCTTAGGCTGGCAGATCATGAGGTCAGGAGATTGAGACCACCCTGGCTAACATGGTGTAACCCAGCCTCTACTAAAAATACAAAAAATTAGCCAGGCGTGGTGGCAGGTGCCTGTAGTCCCAGCTACTCTGGAGGCTGAGGCAGGAGAATGGCGGGAACCCAGGAGGTGGAGCTTGCAGTGAGCTGAGATCGCGCCACTGTACTCCAGCCTGGGCGACATAGCGAGACTCCATCTCAAAAAAAAAAAAAAGAAAGAAATGGTAATTGTTCTTTGATTTATGAATAGCATCTATTATACACCCCAAGCACAAAGTATACTCTTTCAAAGCTATAAAAAGCCTACATTTGAGTTTAAAATTCATACCAACAGAGGAATTTATCCTAAAATTTTTACTAGATTTGTTTTTCTAAATATCTTCTAAGTTCCTTAAAATAGTATATTTGTTTCATAAAATAGCTTTGAGTTGCTAGCAAAGTGTAAAAAATTAAGAGGCTCATCTTTGAGACCTCTGGAGAGTAAAAACATTAGCTTATCGGTTCAATGCCTCAAAATGAATTACTGGTATTGGCAGTGCTTTACTTAGTCCTATACTGACCTTCAGGAGAGTGAGAAGATGCCTTCTACTGAAAATGAGAAATATACAACAATCTTATGTCCTTTCAGAAATAATAAACTAGAAACTAGAGAATTCAAAGCATTTCCACTTTGTTTTGATCTTTAGAAAGTAGATGTGCCATTACATCAACTACACTGTCAATAATGATCAGCCCATCTGGATCTAAAGCAAGGTGCAAACAGAGGGATAAAATAGCATCCCATGCTTGCTCTACACTGGATAGGGGTGCCCAGATGCAGAGCAAACAGGAGGCCGCTTACCCTGTGTGAGGGCAATAAGGGTGTGTACTGTCAGTAGAGAATTTTAAAATAATACAACCAACAAAAAGTCAGTTTGCTTTTTACTATCACCACAAACCAGCAATCCTAAACTATGTCAGTGATAAAACTTCTACCAGGGCAGACAACTCCCACAGCCCTGCCCTTGGTACACTGCTGCACTTATCACATTATGAATTCAATGTGTGGGGGTGGGGTGGTGGGTGTGTGTGTGTATGTACACATATATAAATGCTTTCAAATATAGTATAAAACTTAAATAGCTACCGCTTTAGTCACTGCACAGATGCTTCTGTTGACTTCAAGGAAATGAGAAAATACGTCAATAATTCTTCAACAGAGCATGACTCCTCAAAATGAATTGTCAAAAATATTAATCCATTAGATAATCAAGTTGGCAGCTGTTGTTTGTAAGGTAAAGCTAAACACCGTGATAATACATTATTAGGCCTCCTGTCATTTCCGTAATTATCCGGTTAAAGGGAAGTTACTACTTTTTAGGCTTGGTGGAGTAATTCTTAATGAAAATATCAATTACTAAAGCATTAGTCCAGAACCTTCCTGTAGCCAACTCATTTAGGAATTCAGAATTTTAGGACATTCTAGACACATAAAATCTTTAAGTGAAAAGGTTAATATATTTGATTTAGTATCTGATTCTCCAATAATTCTACATATATTCAAAGTATACATTTTTCTAGGAAAATGAGATGAGGCATTTGAGTCCTTATTTGGAAAGAAAAATTAGAGGTGAAGGATATTAAAACATCCTAGTAAGCATTAAAAACAAGAATGACAAGAACATCACTTACCTAAACCTTCAGATTCAAAGAGGTAAGTTTCATCAACCCCAATGTCCCTACACCAGTGAAGGAAGTTTGCGGTATTGTCCCGAGCAAAGAATGAACCTGATGCAGCATCTTTCTTACAGGGCACTTTTCTCATTGGAAAATTCTGGAAAAGACAAAAGAATAATTTCAAAAATGTATCAAGGATACTTTCATTAAACATTCATTTTGATATTGCTAAATAAATGTTCAATCCATCACCTGTAACCAAAAAGTACACAATTTTAGAGAAAAAAGATAGTTTTGAAAACTATTTTATTTTACTTTAAAGCAGAGGTCCCCAACCCCTGGGCCACAGACTGGTACCGGTCTGTGGCCTGTTAGCAATCAGGCCACACAGCAGGAGGTGAGTAGTGGGTAAGCAAGCATTACCACCTGAGCTCTGCCTGTCAGATCAGCGATGGCATCAGATTCTCACAGGAGCTTGAACCCTATTGTGAACTGTGCATGCAAGAGATCTAGGTTGCGTGCTCCTTATGAGAATCTAATGGCTGATGATCTGAGGTGGAGTAGTTACATCCCAAAACCACCCCCGCCCAAATCTGTGGAAAAACTGTCTTCCATGAAACTGGTACCTGGTGCCAAAAAGACTGGGGACTGCTGCTTTAAAGTATATTCCAGAAAATGATTCCTAGAAAAATGATTTGGTCAAAATTAGCAGTAAGATCAAACATCTCTCACCTCTTTCTTTTTAAAATGAAACAAGAATCTTAATTAAAATAAAAACTGACAGCCTAATAATTGCAAAGCACATCTCAATGTTATGTCTCTCTACACATAGTTCAATATAAACCTCAAATTCTTGCTATGTTAAAAGTTAAGAGATGAGTATGATGACTCACTTGTAATCCCAGTACTTTCGGAGGCTGAAGCAGGATTGCTTGAGGCTAGGAGTTCAAGACCAGCCTGGGAAACAGTGTGACCTCATCTCTACAAAATATTTCTTTTAATATTAGCCAGACGTGGTTGCATGTAGCTAAAGTCCCAGCTGCTCAGGAGGCTGAGGTGAGAGGATCACTTGAGCCCAGTAGTTCCAGGATACAGTAAGCTATGATCGTGCCACTGTACTCCAACCTGGGCAACAGAGCAAGACTCTTTCTCAAAAAAAAAAAAAAAAAGAATCACAGACACCCATTTTTGCTTACTTCCTTCCACGCAGATTAATAAAGATGGTTCTGAGTTTCTTGAGGAGACTATCAAATAAGGAAGTAGTTGTTCCTTCTTAATTAAAGTTCTTTGAAAACTGATGATCTAAGTTTCACAGAATCTTAATTTTTTTTACTATCTGCTCCAAGAGTATTTAGATAATTCTGCTGAGACTGAGAGATTTTTTTGTTTTGGTTTGGTTTAAATTTTTACTTGAATAAGCAATTCATGAATATGATCTTTGTTA
Organism: Homo sapiens; assembly: GCF_000001405.40. Lineage (NCBI taxonomy): Eukaryota > Metazoa > Chordata > Mammalia > Primates > Hominidae > Homo > Homo sapiens. Next base: position 100,610,712 of record NC_000012.12, on the reverse strand, counting down.
ATGCAGTAGGTACAGTAGGATATTAAGTCTTTCTCTCACCTACCCCCAGTTCCTCTCTCTCCCTAGAGTTAACCACTATTACCAGTTCCTTGTATATCCTTCCTGTTACTATTTATTTCCAAAACTAAAATAACGTTAGGAGTTTTTTTTTCCTCATTGAATACAGAATAGACAATCATTGCAAAAAAAAAAAATCAAACCAATAGCAAAATACAAACTATCAACTGAAATCCTCTCACCCACATTTTGGCAAGACATCTCTATGCACAACTACACACATATTTGTATCTACAAAATGTCACATAAACTATTCTTCAATTTGATTTGTGTGTGTATGTGTGCATATACATGAAATGATATGTTGTAGACATCATCTGGGGTTCAAAATAACATATTTAAAAAATTGTTTCCAATGAATGTATAATATTCCAACGTGTCTGGTTACCATAATTAATTTTTAACAATTTCTCTGTTGATAAACATTTAGGTTGTTCCTAATTTTTGTACTATCACTTTCATAAACTTCTGATTATTTTCTCAGAATAAACTGCTACAAGTAGAACTATGTATCAAAAGATGTGCTTTAGGGGGCAGAGCGAGATAGCCGCATACAAACCTACGCCATTCGTCTTACCCATAGGAACATCAAATTTTAACAACTAGCTACACACAAAAAGCACCATTACAAGAATAAAAAATCAAATGAGCAATCTGGTTTTAATTTCGTATCACTGAGAGAGACATTGAAGAGGGCAGGAAAGACAGTCTTAAATTGCCCACCCCTTCCTCCATCTTCCAGCAGCAACCACATGGCACAGAACATCTGTGTATTTGGGAGGGGGAGAGCACAGTGATTTTGAGGCTTTACATTGAACTCACTGCTGTTCTGGTTCAGCAGAAGGCAGAACCAGGCTTTAGTAGCTGATGTCTGCCCATAGAGAAAGCATTTGGACCAACCCCAGCTAGAGGGGACTCACCCATTAAAGTAATCAGAGCTTGAGTTAAGACAAGCCTTGCTACCACAAACTGGAGTGCTCTGAGGACCTAAGCGAACTTGAGGGGCAGTCTAGGCCACAAGAATTCCAAGTCCTAGGCAAGCCCAGTGCTGAGCTGGACTCAGACAGAGCCAGTGGACCAGAGGGGAGGGGCATATGACCTACTGAGACATCAACCAGGGTGGCTAAGCGTGTGCTTGTACCACCCCTCCCCCATCCCCTGGCAGCAGCCATAAGGTGCAAAGAAAGCTGTGCACTTGGGAGACAGGGAGCGCAGCAACTGGAGGACTTTACACTGAACTCAGTGCTGCCTTGTCACAGTAGTGACCTGGCAGGATTCATCACCTGCTGCGTAAAGAACCCCTGGGCCCCGAATAACCAGCAGTGATACCCAGGTAATATGCCATGGGTGTTGGGCTCTGAGACATGCTAGCTTCAGGTGGGACTGAATATATTCCCAGTATTGGTAGCTACAATGAAAGACTCCTCCTGTTTGAGAAAGGCAGGGGGAAAAGTAAAGCAGACTCTAGTCTTGTGCCTTAGGGGCCAACTCAGCCACAGTAGAGTAGAGCACCAAGCAAGCTCTGAGGGGTCCCCAGCTTCAGGCCTAGGCTCTTGGTCAGCATTTCTGGAACTGGCCTGGGCCAGAGGGGAGGCCACTGCCCTGAAGGGTGAATCCCAGGCCTGGCAGCATTCACCACAAGCTGACTAAAGAGCCCTTGGGTTCTGTTAGCAGTGGCCTGGCAGAAACCCACATGGGCCAGTGGTGGTAGTAGCCACAGGGAGAGGCTTCTCTGCCCAGAAAAAGAGGAAGAAAGAGTGGGAAGGATTTTGGCTTGTGGTCTGAGTGCTGGCTTCACTGCAGTAAAACAGAACATCAGGTAAATTTCTAAGGTTTAAGACTTCAGGCCGGGTGTAGCAGCTCAATCCTGTAATCCCAGAACTTTGGGAGGCCGAGGCGGGCGGATCACGAGGTCAGGAGATCAAGACCATGGTGAAACCCCGTCTCTACTAAAAATACAAAAAAAATCAGCTGGGCACGGTGCCAGGCGCCTGTAGTCCCAGCTACTAGGGAGGCTGAGGCAGAAGAATGGCGTGAACCCGGGAGGCAGAGCTTGCAGTGAGCTGAGATTGTGCCACTGCACTCCAGCCTGGGCGACAGAGCGAGACTCCGTCTCAAAAAAAAAAGACTTCAATCTCACTCCTAGACAGCATCTCTGGACCCAACAGGGCCTGGGGGAACATGACTCTGAAAGGAGGGACACAAACCTGGCTAGATGTGCCACCTGCTGATAATAGAGCCCTAGAGCCTTGAGTGAACTTAGGTGGTAGGCAAGTGGTGGTTACAGCAGGTCTTGGGCGAGACCCAGTGCTGTGCTGCCTTCAGGTGTGAAACAGTGCAGTCTCAGTGGTGGTGGCCACAGGGGTACTTGTGTCCCCCCATCCCCAGATCCAGGAGGCCCAGCACAAAGGGAGATACTCCATTTGTTTCGGATAAAGTAAAGAAAAAAACCCACACGCACACACAAGAATCTCTACCTGGTAATGCAGAGAATTCTTCCAGACCTTATCCAAGATCACTAAGGTGGTACCTCTATAAGTCTGCGAGAACCATGGCATTATTGGGTTTGGGGCCCAAGTCCCTTTGAATATCTGAAAAGCCTTCCCAAGAACAATGGACACAACAAGTCCAGACTGCAAAGACTACAATAAATGCCTAACTCTTCAATGCCTAGACACTGGAACATTTACAAGCATCAAGACCATCCAGGAAAACACGACCTCACCAATAAGGTACCAGGGACCAATCCTGAAGAAACAGAGATATGTGACCTTTCAGACAGAGAATTTAAAATAGCTGTGTTTTGGAAACTCAAATAAATTCAAGATAACACAGAGAAAGAATACTATCAGACAAATTTAACAAAGAGACTGAAATTATTTAAAAGAATCAAGCAGAAATTCTAGAGTTGAGAAATGCAATTGACATACTGAAGAATGCATCAGGGTCTCTTAATAGCAGAACTGATCAAGCAGAAGAAAGAATTACTGAGCTTCAAGGAAGGACTACTTGAAAATACAGAGTAGAGAAAAGAAAAGATAAAAAACAACGAAGCACACCTAAAGGATCTAGAAAATAGCCTCAAAAGGGTAAACCTAAGAGTTATTGGCCTTAAAGGAGGCAGAGAGAGAGAGAGATGGGGATAGAAAGTTTATTCAAAGGGGTATTATCACAGAACTTCCCAAACCTAGAGAAAGATACCAATATTCAAGTACAAGAAGGTTATAAAACACTAGCAGATTTAACCCAAAGAACACTACCTCAAGACATTTAATAAACTCCCAAAGGTCAAGGATAAAGAAAGGATCCTAAAAGCAGCAAGAGAAAAGAAACAAATAATATACAATGGAGCTCCAGTATGTCTGGCAGCAAATTTTTCAGTGGAAACCTTACAGGCCAGGAGAGAGTGACATGGCATTTAAAGTGCTGAAGGAAAAAAACTTTTGCCCTAGAATAGCATACCCAGTGAAAATATCCTTTAAGCATGAAGGAGAAATAAAGATTTTCCCAGACAACAAAAACTGAGGGATTTCATCCACACCAGACCATCCTACAAGAAATGCTAAAGTGAGTTCTTCAGTCTGAAAGAAAAGGATGTTAATGAGCAATAAGAATATTCTGGTTTCCCTTCAGATCGTATAAATCTTTTGACTTTTAATGAGCAATAAGAAATCATCTGAAGGTACAAAATTCACTGGTAATAGTACACAGGAAAACACAAAATACTATAACACTGTAATTATGGTATGTAAAATATTATATTAAAGTAGAAAGACTAAGCAATGAACCAATCAAAATTAATAACTACAACTTTTCAAGACATAGACAGTATAATAAGACATAAAGAAAAACAACCAAAATTAAAAAGCAAGGGGATAAAGTTAGAGTTTTTATTAGTTTTCTTTTTGCTATTAATAGTTCATTTGCTTACGTAATCAGTTTAAAATAATGGGTTATATTATTTGCAAGCCTCATGGTAACCTCAAATCAAAAAACATACAACAGATACACAAAAAATAAAAAGTAAGAAATTAAAGCATACCACCAGAGAAAATCACCTTCACTAAAAGAAAGACAGGAAGGAAAGAAAGAAGGAGCCAACCAAAAAACAACCAGAAAACAACAAAATGGCAGGAATAAGTCCTTATTTATCAATTATAACACTGAATGTAAATAGAGTAAATTCTCCAATCAAAAAACACAGAGTAGCTGAATGGATGAAAAAGCAAGACCCAATTATCTGTTGCCTCCAAGAAACACTCTTCACCTATGAAGACACACATAGACTGAAAATATAGGAATGGAAAAAGATATTCCATGCCAATGGGAAACTGAAAAAGAACAGTAGTAGCTATATTTATATCAGACAAAATGAATTCTAAGACAAAACCCATAAGAAGAGACAAAGAAGGTCATTGTATAATGATAAAGAGGTCAATTCAGCAAAAGGATATAAAAATTGTAAATATATATGCACCCAATGCTAGAGCGCTCAGATAAATAAAGCAAATATTAATACAGCTAAAGAGAGAGAGAGACTCCAATACAGTAACAGCTGGAGACTTCAACACCCCACTTTCAGCATTGGTCAGATCTTCCAGACAGAAAATCAAAAAAGACACATCAGACTTAATCTTCACTATAGAACAAATGGACCAAATAAATATTTACAGAACATCTCATTCAGCAGCTGCTTTATTCTCCTCAGCAGATGGATCATTCTCAAGCATAGATCATATGTTAGGTCACAAAACAAGTCCTAAAACATTAAAAAAAAAAACCTGAAATAACATAAAGCATCTCCTCTGACCATAATGGAATAAAACTAGAAATCCATAACAAGAGTAATTTCAGAAACAATATAAACACATGGAAATTAAATAATATGCTTCTGAATGACCGACCAGTGGGTCAATGAGGAAATTAAGAAGAAAATTGAAAAATTTCTTGAAAAAAATAATAATGAAAGCACAAATACCAAAACCTATGGGATACAGTGAAAGCAGTCTTAAGAGGGAAATTTATAGCTGTAAGTGTCCACATCAAAAAAGAAGAAAAACATAAAATAAATAACCTAACAATGCATCTTAAAGAACTAAAAAAGCAAGTGCAAATCAACTCGAAATTAGTACAAGAAAAGAAATAATGAAAATCAGAAGAAATAAATAAAATTGAAATGACAAAAACAGTACCAAAAGATAAAACTTGAAGTTGGTTTTTTGAAAGGATAAATAAAATTGACAGACCTTAAGTCAGACTAAGAAAAAAAGAGAGAAGACCCAAATAAAATCAGAGATGAAAAAGGAGACATTACAACTGATACCACAGAAATTTAAAGGATCATACTGAGCAACTGTATGACAACAAAACCTGAACAGACCAATAACAAGTAACAAGATCAAAGCCGTAATAAAAAGCCTCCCAGTAAAGAAAAGCCTGGGACCCTAGGGCTTCACTGCTGAATTCTACCAAACATTTAAAGAACTAATAGCAATCCTACTCAAACTATTCTGAAAAACAGAAGAGGAGGGATTACTTCCAAACTCATTCTATGAGGCCAGTATTATACCAAAACCAGACAAAGACATATCAAAAAATGAAGACAACAGACCAATATCTCTCATGAATGTTGATGCAAAAATCCTCAACAAAATACTAGCAAACTGAATTCAACAATACATTTAAAAGGTTATTCATCATGACCAACTGGGATTTATCCCAGGGATGCAAAGATGTTTCAACATATGCAAATCAATCAGTGTGATACATCTTATCAACAGAATGAAGTATAAAAACCGTATATATCATTTCAACTAATGTTGAAAAAGCATTTGATAAAATTTAAATCCCTTTGTGATAAAAACCCTAAAGAAACTGGGTATAGAAGGAATACTCCTCAGCATAATAAAAGCCATATGATGATAGACCTACAGCTAGTATCATACCAAATGGGGAAAAACTGAAAGCCTTTCCTCTAAGGTCTGGACCACAACAAGGATGCCCACTTTCATCACTGTTATTCAACACAGTTCTGGAAGTCCTAGCTAGAGTAATTAGACAAGAGAAAGAAAGATTTGGCATCCAAACTGGAAAGGAGGATGTTAAATATTCTTGTTTGCAGATGATACGATCTTATAGTTAGAAAAACCTAAAGACCCCACACTCAAAAAAAAAAAAAAAACAACTACAGCTGATAAACAAATTCAGTAAAGTTTCAGGACACAAAATCAACATACAAAAATCTGTAGCATTTTTGTGCCAACAATCTGAGAAGGAAATAAAAAGTAATCCCATTTACAGCAGTCACAAATAAAATTAAATACCTAGGAATTAACTTAAGCTAAGAAGTGAAATATCTCTACAATAAACAAAACACTAATGAAAAATTGAAGAGGACACCAAAAAATGGAAAAATATTCCATGTGCATGGATTGGAAGAATCAATATTGTTAAAACGGCCATACTACTCAAAGCAATCTACAGATTCAATGCAATACTTATCAAAATACCAATGATGTTTTTCATAGAAATGGAAAAAAGATCCTAAAATTTATACAGAATCACAAAAGACCGAGAATAGTCAAAAGCTATCCTGAGCAAAAAGAACAAAATTGGAGGAATTACCTGACTTCAACCAAAACAGTATGGTACTGGCATAAAAAGAGACACAGACCAATGGAACAGAAAAGAAAACCCAGAAATAAATCCAGATAACTACAGTGAACTCACTTATAACAAACATGCTAAGAACATAGATTGAAGAAAGGACAGGCTCTTCAATAAAATCTGCTGGGAAAACTGGGTATTCACATGCAGAAGAATGAAACTTGACCCCTATCTCTCACCATATATAAAAATGAAATAAAAATGGATTAAAGACTTAAATCTAAGACCTCATACTATGCAACTGCTACAAGAAAACATTGGGAAAACTCTCCAGGATATTGGTCTGGGCAAAAGCTTCGTGAGTAATACCCCATAAGCAGAAGCAACCAAATCAAAAATAAATAGGATCATATCAAGTTAAAAAGCTTCTGCACAGTAAAGGAAACAACACCTTGAAGAGCAACCCAAAGAATGGGAGAAAATATTTGCAAACAATCCATCTGACAAAGGATTAATAAGTAGAATATATAAGGAGCTCAAACAACTCTGTAGGATAAAATCTAATAATCCAATTTAAAAATGGGCAAAAGATTTGAATAGACATTTCTCAAAAAGACACACAAATGGCAAACAGGTATATGAAAAGGTGCTCAACATCACTGATCATCAGAGAAATGCAAATCAAAACTACAATGAGATATCTCATCCCAATTAAAATGGCTTTTATCCAAAAGACAAGCAATAACAAATGCTGGCAAAGATGTGGAGAAAAGGGAACCCTCATACACTGCTGGTGGTAATATAAATTATTACAGCCACTGTGGAGAACAGTTTGGAGGTTCCTCAAAAAACTAAAAATAGAGCTACCGTATGACCCAACAACCCACTGGGTATATACCCAACAGAAAGGAAATCAGTATATTAAAGAGACTATCTGCACTCCCATGTTTCCTGAAGCACTGTTCTCAATAACCAAGATTTGGAATCAACCTAAAAGTCCATCAGTAGATGACTAGGTAAAGAAAATGTGACACACATATACAATGGAGTACCACTGAGCTACTAAAAAGACTGAGATCCTGTCATTTGCAACAACATGGATGGAACTGGAGGTCATTATGTTAAGTGAAATACATCAGGCACAGAAAGACAATCACCACATGTTCTCAATTATTTGTGGGTGCTAAAAATCAAAACAATTGAACTCACGGAGATAGTAGAAGGACGGTTAGCAGAGGCTGGGAAGGGTTGTGGCAGGTGGGGGGAAGTGGAGATGGTTAAGGGTGCAAAAAATATATAGTTAGAAAGAATTAATAAGACCTAGTATTTGATAGCACAACAGGGTGACTACAGTCAATAATAATTTAATTGTACATTTAAAAATAACTAAAAGAGTACAATTGGATGGCTTGTAACACAAAGAATAAATGCTTGAGGGAATGGATATCCTATTTTCCATGATGTGATTATTACTTATTGCATGCCTGTATCAAAGTATCTCATGTACCCCATAAATATATATACCTAGTATGTACCCACAAAATATTTTTTACAAGATATACTTTATTTTCAGTGATATATATATTATATATATATACACACATATCATCCACTATCCCCCAGAATGATGATACTCCTTTATATTTCCACCAACTGTGTGTAAATTTCCAGACTCCAAACTCTTGAGAATACCTACATTTGATGAAAAGACAGGAAACCTTATCTACTTCAAATCATGACTTCAGGGTTAATGAATGAAAACTGTCTAAAAAATGTATTATTTATCCAATCAATATTTATAAAATTTACCACTAATGCAATATATGGAGAATATATAAAGAAGAAAATAATAATAATAGCAGCTGCTACTTGTGTGCCAGGAACCATCACAAGCTCTTTTCCCATTTAACCCTCACAACAATTCTACAAGGAAGTTATGTTAATGTTCTCAAGAAGAGCTGGATCTACTATGCATCAAGCACTATGTTAGACACTATCTATACATTCACCCATTTAATTTGATTGAACTCTCACAAATAAATCCTAAGGAACTGTTAATCTCATTTTATGAAAGAGAACATTTTTCCAGATCTTGAAAAGGGTTAAGTAAATTATTCAACATCTAATCTCATTTTATGAAAGAGAACATTTTTCCAGATCTTGAAAAGGGTTAAGTAAATTATTCAACATCTCATAGCCAGTTGGCATGGAAGTTTACAACCTTCTAGAGATAAGAAGTGTACATAAATTAATATGTACCAAGACATAAAATCAATACTGTCGAACATTTACTTACCCCTGATTCTTCAGAGTTGCATGTTTTCACCATGTTTTGAAGAACATCAATCAGTTGACATAATAGTACTCCATTATCAAGTTCTTCCAATAATTTTTCTGCCTTAACTTTAATACCTAAAAACATATTTCAAAGTTAAGAATCTTCTAGAAACATAAAAACAATATGGTTAAAATTAATTAAATAGAATCAGATTACAGCAAAACACTAGAAAAATATCAGATCAGACTCTAAATACTTACTCTTAGAAGGTACAGTTAAAATAGCAAATAATGGCCAGTTAACTTAATGATACTGAAACAAAAATATCTGTAATGTAGAAGTACAGAAAAACTGACATCGATTTTATTTCATTTAAAATGAAATAAATTCACTGCATATTAATATTCCTTGCACAAGAAAAACAGTCTCTATAAATAAGATGGACTTGGTTGCAATTTTAAAATTAAAGACAATACCATAACAAATACCCAGGGAATACTAACTTTTTACTTCTAGAATGTCTTCTTTAAAAACATTATTATTACATAATAAACTCTAAATATTATCCATCAAACTGATAATAGACAACTACAGTGGGTATTTGGTATTTAATTATCTTGGAAGAGCTGTATCTTTTAAGATATTCTTTTTCAGGAAAACTTTAGAATTCTACATAAAATTATTTAAAGTAAAATTTTTCTGGGGAGAAAGCTTAAAGCATTCATCATATTCTCTAATAGAGTAAAAAATACAATGCCATTCTCCAACCTGACATTTCTTCCTAGGTTTCATATGGCTGTATCCTTCAATGCCTCAAAAATTGTAATCATTTAACCTACAGTATATGTTTCACTCAAAGTTCATGGCTTATACAAGACTAAGGTGGGTCGAGGCAGGAGGAAATCAGTAAAAAAAAAAATTAGACCAATACAATTTTTAAAGATGATTTTAATATTAACAGTGAAAATGTTCATTATTCAAAGCTTACTGACCTCTTCGGTTAAATCGCAAATTTCCTACTATTCAAGACCCAAGGTTCAGGGTGAATCAGACTATTTCCCCAGCTGAAATGTAACCTGGGTGAGACCAAGGGCACTGAATATTTCATTCACTGGAGTATCCCCAGCATCTGTAACAATCACTCCTTGACAAAGAGTAAGGCTCTCAATAAATGCATATTGAATAAGATAATACAATTTTGGGTATTGTTTCAAGCCTCACCTAATAAACCAGATAACCAGATTGACAGATCTTCTTGCATGGGCAACAAAGTGGCTTCATGCCTCACAGCTATCCACTCATCGTACTGACAAACATTAGCCAATCCTGGTCCGTGTCTGGGAGTCAGAGGACTCCGAGGACTTAGAGGCAGATCTTCTCCAAACCATACCTAAAGAAAAAAAAAATCAATCAACTGAATGAATAAAACCTTTGCTAAAAGTCATCATAATCCACATCAATATTTAAATGATGAAGCATAAATCATACATAATAGACACATATAAAAAGCTGCTGTGGCTCACAGCAAATATATAAATTAGAAGCAAAGTATTAGTCCTATTCTGTTGCCCAGGCTAGAGTGCAGTGATGCGATTATGGTTCACTGCAGCCTTGACTCCCAGGCTCAAGCAATCCTCCCACCTCAGCCTCCCGAGTAGCTGAGAGCACAGGCACATGCCACCACACCCAGCTAAGTTTTTAATTTTATGTATTGCAGAGATGTGGTCACCCTATGTTGCCCAGGCTGGTCTTGAACTCCTGGACTCAAGCGATCCTTCCACATCAGACTCCCAAAGTGCTGGGATTATAGGCATGAGCCACTGTGCCCAGCCAAGACATTTTCAATATTCAATACTGTGGTCAATGTAAGAAAACCCCGAATTAATGAATGGATTCTACTATTGAGCCAAGAGGGTAGAATTCAACAAATAATATTTTTCCTTCACTTGTTAGCTGAGTAAGTTTAACAAGTTACTTGACCAGAGTCTTAACATCCTAGCTGTAAGATGGGTTAGTGATTCCTGCCTTATAAAATACATGTTTGTAGCATCTGGCATTGAGCCTAGCAGATAGCAGAGACTCAATAAACATTTGTTGAATGAATGAATAAATGAATGAATGAAGCATAAATGGCATTTTGTAAACTTCAAATCATAATAACAGTGTTATCTTTAAAAAAATTTCTAAGTACTTTAGTTTAAAACAAGTGGGTGGCAAACTATAGTCCATGGGGCAAATCTTGTCTCACCTATTTTGTAAGCCCAGAAGCTAAGAATAGTTTGTACATTTTAAAATGGTTGTTATATAAGTAACTGCGTAGTATCTCAATTTTGCCTACTGGTCCACAAAGCATGAAATACTACCTGAACAACTGAGAGTTTAGAATAAAAACTGACACTCTATAAATTTTATAATTTTATAGATGTTATAATCGACACTTGCCAAATTTTGAAATATGATTATTCTTTAATGTAAGATTATTCATAGAAAAGGCTGTATCAATTCTTCAGATGGTAAAAGAAGTAATCATGTCATTATGAAGTCACTTTTTAAAACAGATATAAATATCTCTTGTCCTTCTCCTTACTGAACAACTTAGAAAGGAATATTAGAGCCTAAGAGAAACGCATAGGAGATTCCAAGAGTGGGGTGGCTTGGAATGGAGAGTCAGAGCATGAGTGAGGTGAGTGGGCATCCGGGTATGGGGACAGCCCTGTGCAAGATGTCAGGCCCTGAGTAGGATAAAGAGGGCATCTAACAGGTGCAAAGGGGGAACGTCCCAATACAGAGTGTCAGAGTCCAAGTGAGCTGAGCATCTACCCAGGGTGTGAGTGGCAGCAACAATAAAAGAATGGTAACACACATGAGGATTTATCAAATGGGAGCCAATCTTCTCACTGAAGACAGGTACAAATATGGAATGAGAGAAGTAAGAATGAATCCTTTGGTGTTGAATTCAAATATCTCTTATCTGAAAGTAAAGAAACTCTCAAAGAATGCCAAAAGGACACATAAGCCAGCATGAAGGGACTTCTACTGGCTGAACTGAGGGCAATTTGAGCATTGAGATAAATGATAGGAATGGATTATACCACACTGAATAAAATAGGAAACTATGAGTTAACACAGATATAAATGAATACACTGAAATTTTAACAAGAATGGGATTTTTACATAGTTTCAAAGTACCTGCATAAAAAATACTACAAAGGGAAAAGGAGTAATTTTACAGTTCAGAAACCTGACAGACAGCATCGGAACCAAATAATGGAGGTGAACTCTATCAATAATGGGACAAATCAAAATCATATGCTACCTGATAGGAGGCAATGATAAAAATTCCTGCCCAAGATGCATAACCTGAGTTTAGTCATGAAAAAACATCAAGCAAATCCAAATTGAGGGACATTCTACAAAATAAGTGGTCGGGAATATTCAAAAGTATCAAGGTAATTAAAGACAAGCAAAGACTGAGATACTGTTCCAGCCTAATAACTAAAGAGACATGAAAACTAAATGCAACACATAATTCTGAGCTGGTTATTATTGAGACAACTGGCAACACTTGAAAGTGGCCTGCGTATTAAATGGTAGTACAGAAGCAGCATTAATATCCTGATTCTGACTATTTCATTGTGGTTGTGTAGGAAGATGTCCTTGTTTTTGAGAAATACACACTAAAATATTCAGAGGTAATAGTGCATTAGAGTCGCCACTTCCTCTCAAATGGCTCAGGCAAACAAATTTCTTTGTACTACACTTAACTACTCTGTAGTCTGTGATGGCTTTAAAATTTTTTTTTAAAAAAACCAAACTTTTAAAAAAGAACTGTAAGTAAAAGGAATACCAAGTGAATCTAGTCCTTTCTTGATTTTTAAATATAGACCATTTTCCTCTTAAAATATACTAAGCTTATTGAGGTTAATTTGAGGCAAGTCTTACTATACCAGATCAAAAGCTATAGCAATGCCATAGGTAATGCAACAAACTGGTGGCGGGGAATGGGGGAAACTACTTCCAATCTCCCATGATGAGAAATAAACAAGTTTTTTTTTTGTTTTTAACCCCAAGGCAAACAAAGAAAATGAATACACTCAAGAAGCATGCAGGGGTAGGGAAATCTAATAAAAAATAAAAAATAAAATAAAAGTAAATTTAAAAACCCCATCAAAGACAAAAAAGAAATGTAAGTTATTTAAGGGACATTTACTTCAGGAATTAAGGTAGGGATTGGGCAATGAATTCCTAAATATATGAGGATCCTATGAATAGGAAAATGATGTTATTTATTTCCCTGAATTCTCTTAAAATTATTTCCAAGGAAGTACAGTAACGCTTTACTAATTCTTCCCTTTATAAGCATATTTTATTTCTATTATAATCCTGAGACTCAGTGTAATGCTTACCACATAGTATTCAAACATATTTGTTCAATAATTGAGGAATAGATATTAGCAAATGACTCTTTGTACCATCAAAATCAAAATGTATCTTACAATCAATTGTATTTGACAGTCAATGGAATATGTTATTTGTCCATTAACCATCTGGTTGAGCTGAAAAAAAGCAGAGCAGATGTAAATGTTTGTCAAGGAAAGAAGGGCATAAATTAAGAGGGTGGTTTTTTTAAAATCATGTATGAAAATGGAGATGCTAACATTTTTTAAGAAGTCATTTTTACTTCTTGTCACATTAGAGAGAAGAGTACATGTTGGATTTTCCTATTATTGCAAGCAGACGACTTTAGTAATAACCTGGGCTAGTCAGTAGAAATTAGTATTAAAAGTCAGATATTAACAAAAACTGCATGTATGAAGATTGTTCTCAAACATGCTGAAAGCTGTCATATTGTCATTAAGAGATATTTAATTCATGGGTACTCTACAGATTAACTTAGGTACTTGCACTTGCTTACATTTAGGCAAAATTTTATGCCTATATACAAATGGGCCTTTTCACAGAGAGTGACTTCATAGCCTTTGTCAGGTTTTCAAATGGGACTATGACCCCAGAAAGGTTAAGAACTATTGTCCATTGGCTTTTATATGTTTATTTATTAATCAGAATGAAGGACACAGATGAATGGCAAGAAATATCTTGAAGTATTAAATTAGTAAGACATCAATTAATAACAGCTATTCACTGGATGTCTCCTCTCTGCAAGGCACTTAATAACCAAGTAACTGTCTAATATAATTGGCAGAGAAAGAGGTGGAAATCCTGGGAAGTCCTCACATGCAGCAGCAAAAACCTCCATGAGACATGTGAAGGGAGGATAGTCTTGGAAAAAAAAATCAGTAAAGACAGATCTTGGAATCTGGATCAGAGAAGATTTTATGAAATCATTAGACAAACTATGAAAGAATCTACCATGTTAAGAAAATATAAATGGCCATTAGTGTAGAAATAAGAAAAAACATGGGCAATGTGGCAACAATAGAAAACACTCTATAAGGAATCTAGAAAATATAATTGATAAGAAACTATGACATTCCTGAGACTGGATAAAAAGGGGATGAATAGAAGTAATCAGGTCAAAAATGATTTTGAGTAATAACAGAGTTCTAAGCATATGCAAGTGGATGTGAGAGGACCCAAAGGGGAAGAATAAGACCTTCTGGGAGACAGTCATGGACTCCCCAGTCCCAAAAGGAAAAGTATGATGGAACTGTATTTAGTAGAGTAGGAGACTACAGCTGCAGAATATAGGAAGGTGGACAACAGGGTCACATGCAGGGCTGTTCTTAACCATTTGATAAATTCTCTTCTCTAGGCTGTCATCCACTGTTAAATTGATAAGGGAAAGGAAAGGAAAGAAGAGAAGAAGGAGGAGGGGAAGGAAAGACTGACTTTTATGACACAGGTACTATCTCTAGGTTTATATCTGGAAAATTTTATCATATCAAGGATACAACCAAACTTCTGACGTGCTTACAGGCAATATATATTCTAGCAGTCCATTTGCACATGTTATCTCATTGATTCCTCAAAACTACCCTCAAGTTAATCACTATTATCCTCACCATAGAGGTAAGGAAGCAGAGACTCAGAAGTAAGATAACTTGCCAGAATCTCAGAATCAAAGGGGCAGAACTAGGATCAGAACTGAAATCTAATTGATGCAAGTTTTTACTTCCCAAGGCAAATTTTATTATCAGTTGCTTGCTTCTTTCCAGGCAGACCTTCAATGTGACTTTTATTTTTAAGTTAATATTCAATCATGTTCTTTTTATACAAAAGAAAGAAAACTTAAAAAATAAGAATAATATAGCAAACACCAACTCTGGAAATCATTCAGATATAAGGCTATTCTGATTGTCTCATTATACCCAGCTTGCACCCCTCCACAAAAAACAAAACAAAAAAAAAAAAACCCACTCTTTAAAATTTTAATGGCCAGTCATATACAGGCATTTATAGAGCACATGAACAACTATCTGAAATTTAAAAACATATATTTGTTTTCACTGAAAGCTCTTTTAACTGTAAATACATACTAAATTGTAATGAGGGGAAAACCACAAAATATTCCACCTCTTTTCCCACAGTGGTATAAATAAGACAGACCTACCAACCCTAAGGTATTTTTACACTTGATCTTAGCCAAAAGGCTGAGAAGAGATAACCCTAAGGTATTTTTGAATTTTACAAATATTCAGTATAAACAAAAGCTTAGAATTGAACGTTTTTGAGAACTAGAAAGTCAAAATATAGTATGTGTTATTAAAATGTGATGCTTAAAAAAACTAGCACAATAAGAACACTGTGATAATTTTATCTTTGCTAATTATTACAGTTCAATTATATTAATCTCATAATTTAAATATTGTTTCCAAGAAAAAAACTTACTTGAATTGCAGGCTGCATAGTCACCTATATTGAAATGAAATTTCTTTTCTGAAAAAAGAACAAAATATTAACATACAGTTAACAGTGGCAGTTTTGCTACTCCCCCAAACCCCCAAATTACAAGATTTAGGAATGTGTTTACTCGACTGCAAACGCAAAACTTTTTCTTCTAGTTAGAAAAGTCTGAGTATAAGAAAATTCATATCACTCCTTTTTACTTCATAAAGGACTACTCATTTGAAAAAGGAAAACCTGAAACAGACTTTAATATAATATGTATTTTCTGGCATTAGCATCAAAGTAATTCTTGAACCATCTGGACAGTTTTGAAAAAAAATCAACAAAACTTAGCTCATATAAAAGTCTCCCAGAATTTTATTTTCCCCTGTGAATATAATGTAAATATAAATATTACAACAACTGATATTGAAAGTCAAGTATCTTTTATCTGACTGTCATCAAAGTCCTAACAGGTCATATGCACTTTGCATAAATTCACAAACTTGACTATAAGCTTATTCTGCTAATAAAGATAAACATCAATTTTAACTGTGAACCAAAATGCTCAATGCCTCCCCATAATAATTTCCCAAAGACAAAGAAGAAACAGCAATTTTAGCTCCAAAGTAGTATTCTTGAAATCTACATGGAAAAAAAATACTTTAATTCATTGAATTAGGTAAATGCAATTCTTTCCTATATTTTCAAAGGGATAAAAGTGAAGAGTTTAAAAACATTCAACAGTATAGACTATAAAAACCTAGGATTTTTTATTGCTCATAGCAGCATAATAAGCTAGTCTAGTTTTATTATAAACCATCTTTAAAATATTTTAAGAAAAAATATATAATAATTACAAAGCTATAATGCTATTACTTTCCAAGAAAAAGTTATTTTTTCCTCTAAGTTATATCAGACATACCTCATGCACAGTGTCAACTATACATACCACTTTCCTTTCAGGAACATTTCTTCTAGTACCAAAGTTGAACCTGAGCTAAACCATACTGAAAAGCCTAATATTATAACACATTTTCTTTGCAGGAAGGCAAAAGACAACAGAATGTCCTTTTTGATGTCATTTTCCCTTCTCTCCACCACAGCAAAAGGCCAAAGTACAAGTGAGCATTCCTAATGAGCTTGTTATGCTTCCCACGAGCTAATTCAGTGGGGAATACATTTTCCTTTAGCATAAATAATCCTTTGTCCGCAACAAAGATCCACTTCTCGGAAGTAAGAAGCTTCCAAGACCATTTTTTAAAAATGCAGCAAAGAAGCTGCTCCTATTAAAATGGAGTTCCACATAATCAGACAAGAGCTTTAACAGTTGGAGCTGCCAGCCCAAAACAAAAGAAAGCCTAAATTATAAGGCGTGTGCAAATCAAGAACAGTGACACATTCACAAAGAAGCTATCACAAGAATGTTTAGTCGCTGCACTTTTTATGGAAAATTCAACAAAATTAGTTTTATGAAAGAAATAAAGAATTTATGCACAATATTTGGTCACTTGAACTTTAGCAAGAGTCTTCACATACATTTTTAAAATCATCCTTCTTGCATAACAGAAAAAACTACTTTTAAGATGACAAAAATATAACCATCTGGATTAACTTTAAAAAACAAATTCTTTAAAAAATAGTATGCAGAGAAGTTATTATGTATCTTCATACATGAAAAGCTATAATATACATGAGCATGTGCTTTTCATTGATGAGATTTTATCAGTCAATCATCAATTAAGTAATAAGTACTCACTATATAACAGATACTAAGAGCCAGTCTTTGGTATTTTCTAGTCATTCACTATCATCTTTCCAAGATATTTTTGTGTCTCAGGCATTTATTCCCAAGAGTACCTTTTTAGCCCCAGTCCTCGATACTATCACAATCACATTTCTTGCTTCTCCTTCATTTTATTACCTATTTTCCTCTTTTCTATCATTCCCTAAAAATCTCTATTTGTTTCATATAAATCAGTTACACTGAACCAGTAACATTTAATTTTGCATCTTAATTAGCAACATATTGTCCTTATTTTTTGTTTTTGTCTTTCTGTCTTTTTGAAGAAGCCTATTTCAATTCTTTGCCAACTTGAGGAAGTCTTTTCCCTTAGATTTCGCGAGGGTGAGGGAAGACCTCTCACGTAACCAAGTCTAAACTCCACTCTAAACCTGTTGGGAATCTTTCACAAGACACTCTTATGCATAGATCATACAAAGTTAGGAATACTATACTTAACTTTTAAAATCCGAGGAAAATGTTGGAAACACAGAATGTGCTCATCCACCTGAAATTTGACCAGAATTTGAGCCCAACCCACTCATCTTTAAAAATTTTTAAAAAGTCATGAGGTACTCAAGATTATTTGCATTAAGGCTCTTCATTCTAATTTGACTTCATACCATAATGGGATTAAAAACACCAACTACTGAACCGATCCTTCGTCCCAAAAATACAGGATCTGAAACTTACACATTTTCAATCCTTTCTCACGTTATACGGTATGATGGGGAGAATTCAAAATGTCATGGCTCCATCTGTTACAAATCTGAAGTCAACCAGGAAGAGTAGCAAACAAAAAAAAGCAAAGAAATAAGGTAAGTTTCTTCAGGAAAAAGAATAACATTAATTGCCATTGTGTCACCCATCCATTCAGCCCTCAGCCACCAGATTATCGCCAAGATACACAAGCTGCAAGGATAGGATCAAGTTGAGATCGCGGTTACTACTGAGGAAGAGAGAGGAAAATGACCCTGGGGAGGAATGCACAAGGGCCTTTCAACTGTACCAGTAAGATTTTATTTCAAGATAAGCGGTAAGAACAAAGGTGTTATTATACTAGTCTGTATGCCTTTCTGTATGTCAAAATATTTCATCCTTTTTTAATGCTTCATTTAGAAAAATAGTTGAAGAAAACATCCTTTCTGATTTACTCAGAAAAAAAGTTTCTTAGCTTTAAAATTTTGAGTTAAATGTTTCCTAACTGCCTAATAAAGAAAATAGAAATAATATATCTATACCAATCATATTTCATGTATTTCTTAATGTGTACTAAAATAACTCACCATAAAGACAGCAATGGGGTAGTAGAAGGTATTGAACACATCTGATTTGAATTACAGCTCCAGAAAATACTGGCTATATGACTTTGGAGTAGTTAACTTCTCTGAGCCTCAGTGTTCTGATCTGTAAAATGAAATATGACCATTTCCTTCTTATGGCTGCTGTAAAAAATTAAATGAGACGATACCTATAAAGTACCAGATACACAGTTAGCACTTAACAAATGAATTATGAATATGGTGATGAGACATAATTGTAGTTCATTTGATATAATTTATCCAATTAAAGAGATAAGAAAACAAAGCTAGTAATACTCAGATATCATTAGGCATAATTTGGAAAGCTGCTTTTACTAACACAAAAATAAATATAGTTATAAATGAGAGTAAAAGCTTTAAAATACCCACATCATAATTGGCAGGACACTCAGATAAAAATTTGTGACTGACAACTCACTTTGCTAGAATAAATATTTAGGAATTTATTTAACATAGTCCCTTCATTCCCTTCAACCTGTCTCCTCAATGTCCTCTCTAAAAGTTATACTTATTTCTGGGGCTATTTAACTGTTTGCGCTGTGATCTTTTTTCATGTGGTATACGCTTATTTATTTATTCACCTCCTTTACTGAACTAGACGCCATAGGCAAGAGACACAGTGATGAACATAAAAGACATGTTTCTGCCCTTATGGGGTTAATATACCAGTTGAGAAGACTGAAAATAGCAAATACCTAAATGAATACATAATTTTATTTTTTACTTTTATTTTTTATTTTTCTATAAGTTATTGGAGTACAGGTGGTATTTGGTTACATGAGTAAGTTTTTTAGTGGTGATTTGTGAGATTTTGGTGCATCCATCACCCGAGCAGTATACACTGCACCATATTTGTAGTCTTCTATCCCTTGCCCCCCTCCCACTCTTCCCCCCAAGTCCCCAAAGTCCATTGCATCATTCTTATGCATTTGTGTCCTCATAGCATAGTTCCCACCTATCAGTGAGAACACACAATGTCTGGTTTTCCATTCCTGAGTTACTTCACTTAGAATAATAGTCTTCAATCTCATCCAGGTCACTGCAAATGCTGTTAATTCATTCCTTTTTATGGCTGCATAATATTCCATCATATATTATCTATATGGTGGGGGGGAGTGCACACACAGTTTCTGTACTCATTTATTCATGGGTATTTGGGTTGTTTCCATGATTTTGCAATTGTGAATCTTGCTGCTATAAACATGCATGTGCAAGTATCTTTTTCGAATGACTTCTTTTCCTCTGGGTAGATACCCAGTAGTGGGATTGCTGGATCAAAAGGTAGTTCTACTTTTAGTTCTTTAAGGAATCTCCACACTGTTTTCCACAGCATCTGTACTAGTTTACATTTCCACCAGCAGTGTAGAAGTGTTCCTTGTTCACCGCATCCATGCCAACATCTATTGTTTTTTGATTTTTTGATTATGGCTATTCTTGCAATAGTGAGGTAGTATCACATTGTGGTTTTCATTTGCATTTCCCTGATCATTAGTGATACTGAGCATTTTTTCTTATTTTTATTGGCCATTTGTATATCTTCTTTTGAGAACTGTCTATTCATGTCCTTAGCCCAGTTTTTGATGAGATTGTTTGGGTTTTTCTTACTGATTTGTCTGAGTTTGTTGTAGATTCTGGATATTAGTCCTTTGTCAGATGTATAGCTTATGAAAATTTTCTCCCACTCTGTGGGTTGTCTGTTTACTCTGCTGACTGTTCCTTTTGCTATACAAACTAAAAGCTCCTTAGTTTAATTAGGTTACAGCTATTTATCTTTGTTTTACTGCATTTGCTTTTGGGTTCTTGGTCATTAAATCCTTGCCTAAGCCCATGTCTAGAAGAGTTTTTCCAGTGTCATCTTCTAGAATTTTTATAGTTTCAGGTCTTAGGTTTAAATCCTTAATCCATCTTGAGTTGATTTTTGTGTAAGGTGAGAGATGAGGATCCTACACGTGGCTAGCCAATTATCCCGGCACCATTTGTTGAAAAGGGTGTCCTTTCCCCCACTTTATGTTTTTGTTTGCTTTGTCAAAGATGATTTGGCTGTAAGTATTTGGGTTTATTTCTGGGTTCTCTATTCTGTTCCATTTCCTATGTGCCTATGTTTGTAGCTGTACCACGCTGTTTTGGTGACCATGGCCTTATAATATAGTTTGAAATCAGGTAGTGTGATGCTTCCAGATTTATTCTTTTTTGATTAGTCTTGCTTTGGCTATGTGGGCTCTTTTTTGGTTCCATATGAATTTTAGAATTGTTTTTTCTAATTCTGTGAAGAATGATGGTGGTATTTCGATGGGGATTGTGTTGAATTTGTAGATTGCTTTTGGCAGTATGGTTATTTTCACAATATTGACTCTACCCATCCATGAGCATGGGATGTATTTCCATTTGTTCATGTTGTCTATGATTTGTTTCAGCAGTGTTTTGTAGTTTTCCTTGTAGAGGTCTTTGACTCCTTGGTTAGGTATATTCATTTTTTTTTTTGCAGCTATTATAAAAGGGGTTGAGTTCTTGATTTGATTCTCTGTTTGGTTGCTGTTGGTGTATAGAAGAGCTACTGATTTGTGTACATTAAGCTTGTATCCAGAAACCTTGCTGAATTTTTATTGTTGCTGGAAGTCAGGGACCCTAAACGGAGGGAGCCGCAGCAGACGAACATAAATTGTGAAGATTTCATATTAATATGGACATTTATCAGTTCCCAAATAATACTTTTATAATTCCTTATGCCTGTCTTTACTTTAATCTCTTAATCCTGTTATCTTCGTAAGCTGAGGATGTACATCACCTCAGGACCACTGTGATAATTGTGTTAACTCTACAAATTGATTGTAAAACATGTTTTTTAACAATATGAAATCAGTGCACCTTGAAAAAGAACAGAATAACAGCGATTTTTATGGAACAAGGGAAGACAAGCATAAGGTCTGACTGCCCGTGGGGTCAGGCAAAAAGAGCCATATTTTTCTTCTTGCAGAGAGCCTATAAATGGATGTGCAAGTAGGAAAGATATTGCTAAGTTCTTTTTCTAGCAAGGAATATTAATATTAATACCCTGGGAAAGGAATACGTTCCTGGGGGGAGGTCTATAAATGGCTGCTCTGGGAATGTCTGTCTTACACAGTTGAGATAAGGACAGAGATATGCCCTGGTCTCCTGCAGAACCCTCAGGCTTACTAGGGTGGGAAAAAACTCCGCCCTGGTAAATTTGTGGTCAGACTGGTTCTCTGCTCTCAAACCCTGTTTTCTGTTAAGATGTTTATCAAGACAATACCTGCACTGCTGAACATAGACCCTTATTAGTTCTGCTTTTCCCCTTTGTTCTGTTCCCTCAGAAGCATGTGATCTTTGTTAGACCCTTATTAGTAATTCTGTTTTTTGCCCTTTGAAGCATGTGATCTTTGTACCTACTCCTTGTTCTTACACTCCCTGCCCTTTTGAAACCCTTAATAAAAACTTGCTGGTCTGAGACTCAGGAGGGCATCACAGGCCTACCGATATGTGATGTCACCCCTGGCAGCCCAACTGTAAAACTCTTCTCTTTGTACTGTCTCTCTTTATTTCTCAGTCAGCCGACACTTATGGAAAATAGAAAGAACCTACACTGAAATATTGGGGGTGGGTTCCCCCAATATTTTATCTGTTCTAAGAGCTTTCTGGAGGAGTCCTTAGGGTTTTAAAGGTAAACAATCATATCGTCAGCAATCAGTAATAGTTAGACTTCCTCTTTACCGATTTGGATGCCCTTTATTTTATTTTATTTTATTTTTTTGAGATGGAGTCTCGCTCTGTCACCCAGGCTGGAGTGCAGTGGCACGATCTCAGCTCACTGCAAGCTCCACCTCCTGGGTTCACACCATTCTCCTGCCTCAGCCTCCCGAGTAGCTGGGACTACAGGTGCCCACCACCACACCTGGCTAATTTTTTGTATTTTTAGTAGAGACAGGGTTTCACCATGTTAGCCAGGATGGTCTTGATCTCCTGACCCTGTGATCCACCCGCCTCAGCCTCCCAAAGTGCTGGGATTACAGGCGTGAGCCACCGCGCCCAGCCTGGATGCCCTTTATTTCTTTCTCTTTTCTCACTGCTCTGGCTAGGACTTCCAGTACTAGGTTGAAGAGGAGTGGTCAGAGTGGGCATCCTTGTCTTGTTCCAGTTCCCAGAGGGAATGCTTTCAACTTTTCCCCATTCAGCATTACGTTGGATGTGGGTTTGTCCATAGATGGCTTTTATTATATTAAGGTATGCCCCTTGTATGCCGATTTTGCTGAGAGTTTTAATCAGAAAGGGATGCTGGATTTTGCCTAATGCTTTTTCTCCATCTACTGAAATGATCATGTGATTTTTGCTTTTAATTCTGTTTATGTGCTGTATCACATTTACTGACTCGCATATGTTAAACCATCCTTGCATCCCTGGTATAAAACCCACTTGATCATGGTGGTTTATCTTTTTGATATGTTGTTGGATTCAGTTAGCTAGTATTTTGTCAATTACAAAGATTTTAGCATCTATGTTCATCAAGGATATTGGTCTGTAGTTTTCTTTTTTGGTTATGTCCTTTCCTGGATTTGTTATTAGGGTGATGCTGGCTACATAGAATGAGTTGGGGAGGGTTCCTTCTTTCTCTATCTTGTGGAATTGTGTCAAAAGGATTGGTACCAATTCTTCTTTGAATGTCTGGTAGAGTTCTGTTGTGAATCTATCTTGTCCTGGACTTCTTTTTTGTTGGTAATTTCTTAATTACCATTTCAATCTCACTGTTTGTTACTGGTCTGTTCAGGGTATCTAATTCTTCCTGTTTTAAGCTAGGAGGGTTGTATTTTTCCAGTAATGTATCCATCTCTTCTAGATTTTCTAGTTTATGTGCATAGAGGTGTTCATAGTAGCCTTGAATGATCTTTTATATTTCAGTGTTGTCAGTTGTAATATCTCCTGTTTTGTTTCTTAGTGAGGTTATTTGGATTTTTTCTCTTCTTTTCTTCATTAAGCTTGCCAATGGTCTATCAATTTTATTTATCTTTTCAAAGAACCAGCTTTTTGTTTCATTTATCTTTTGTATTTTTTTGTTTCAATTTCATTTAGTTCTGCTACGATCTTGGTTATTTCCTTCTGCTGGGTTTGGGTTTGGTTTGTTCTTGTTTCTCTATTTCCTTAGAGGTGTGACCTTAAGAGTATTAGTTTGTGCTCTTTCAGTCTTTTTGATATACACGTTTGGGGCAATGAACTTTCCTCTTAGCACCGCCTTTGCTGTATCCTAGAGGTTTTGATAGGTTGTGTCACTACTGTAGTTCAGTTCAAATGACATTTAAATTTCCATCTTGATTTCGTTTTTGACCCAATGCTCATTCAGGAGCAGGCTATTGAGTTTCCATGTGTTTGCACAGTTTTGAAGGTTCCTTTTGGAGTTGATTTCTAGTATTACTCCTCTGTGGTCTGAGAGAGTGCTTGATATAATTTCAATTTTCCTAAATTTACTGAGGCTCGTTTTATGCCCTATTACATGGTCTATCTTGGAGAAAGTTCCATGCGCTGTTGAACAGAATGTGTATTCTGTCTGCTGTTGTTGGATGAAATGTTCTGTATATATCTGTTAAGTCCATTTGTCCCAAGGTATAGTTTAAATCCATTGTTTCTTGGTTGATTTTCTGTCTTGATGACCTGTCTAGTGTTGTCAGTGGTTTATTGAAGTCCCTCACCAGATATTATCCTAAATGCAATGGAAGCCCCTAATGAATTTTAACTAAGAGAGTAGCGACATGATCTAATTCACAGTTTTAAAGGAAATCCGAGGAAGAGAGAGAAAGGGTGGAGTGAAACAGTGATGCGTTTAACAGAGAAAAGGGGGAAAAGTGGATGAATATGTAGGAAAAAGAACTAGGGAAACACTGAGAGAAGGAGAAACAAGTAGGGGTAGAAAAGGTGAGAGCCAAAGAAACACTGTATAAGAAATGAGATGGGAGAGTAGTGTGGAAGAGGGAAGAGTCCACTGCAGTAGTTCAGTGACAAACAATGGTGACTGAGCTAGAATCTAACAGTCTCCACTGGAAAGGAGATGGATCTGACATATATTTGGAGTTAAGAACAAACGGATTTGGCAACTGTCAGAGATGATGGGGTAAAGGAGAGGAATGTAAGAGCAGAGTGTCAAGAACTACTGTTTCAGGCTTAGGGAATTTGAGCAGAGACAGAGGCAGCATTTACTGAGATGAGGGTGATGAACAACCTGAAGCTGGATACACAGCATACATGGGTCAAGAGTGCTGTGTTGGCTGGGTGTGGTGGCTCACGCCTGTAATCTCAGCACTTTGGGAGGCCAAGGTGGGTGGATCATGAGGTCAGGAGTTCAAGACCAGCCTGGCCAACATGGTGAAACCCCGTCTCTACTAAAAATACAAAAATTAGCCAGGTGTGGTGGTGGGCACCTGTAATCCCAGCTACTTGGGAGGCTGAGGCAGGAGAATTGCTTGAACCCAGGAGGCACAGGTTGCAGTGAGCCAAGATTGCTACACTGCACTCCAACCTGGGTGACAGAGCAAGACTCAAGACTCCATCTTGGGGGAAGAAAAAAAAAGAGTGCTGTGTTTTGGTTTGTTTCAGGAAGCCTTTAAAAACATTCAAGTAGGACCAGGCACAGTGGCTCACACCTGTAATCCCAGCACTTTGGGAGGCCAAGGCAGGCAGATCATGAGGTCAGAAGATCGAGACCATCCTGGCTAACACGGTGAAACCCCATCTCTACTAAAAATACCAAAAAAAAAAAAAAAAATAGCCAGGTGTGGTGGCGGGTGCCTGTAGTCCCAGCTACTTGGGAGGCTCAGGCAGGATAATGGCGTGAACCCAGGAGGCAGAGCTTGCAGGGAGTCAAGATTGCGCCACAGCACTCCAGCCTAGGCAACAGAGCAAGACTCCGTCTCAAAAAAAAAAAAAAAAAAAAAAACCATTCAAGTAGGGCCCAAGCACAGTGGCTTAGGCCTGTAATCCCAGCACTTTGGGAGGCCAAGGTGGGTGGTTCACGAGGTCTTGAAATCAAGACCATCCTGGCCAACATGATGAAACCCTGTCTCTACTGAAAATACAAAATTTAGCTGGGCATGGCAGCAGCACCCATAGTCCCAGCTACTCGGGAGGCTGAGGCAGAAGAATTGCTTGAACCTGGGATGCGGAGGTTGCAGTGAACCTAGATTGTACCACTGCACTCCAGCCTGAGTGACAGAACGAGACTCTGTCTCAAAAAAAAAAAAGACATTCAAGTAGGAATGTCGGGTAGGCAGTTGGAAATATGAATCTAGAACTAAGAAAAAAATTCAGGAGGAGATAAAAATTGTCAGCAAATACTTGGGAGTTAAAGCCATTGGAAAGAATGACATCATCTGAGGGAAATGGAAAAGGAAGTGACAAGGGTCTAAGAACAAGACCTGTGAAAATCCAACATTTACACTTCGAAGGAGTCAGCAAAGGAGACAGAGAAGAAACAGTTGGAGAGTTGCTTCATGATCTTAACTAATCTAGGCTTGTAACTTTTTTGATTCACCTCTTTCTAGTAGCCCTTCCTGATTGGCCTGAATTAATTCTGATTATATCTTTAGCCCTTGAATTCACATTTCTCCCTATTACTTGCCTGTATGGTGCCTTTTACTATTTTGAGCTATTCCTATACACTGCTTAGCCAAGCATAAGTTTTCCTGGGTTGCTATTGGAAATAGAGTTGATAGAAGTATTCAAGCCTGGAGTTTAGGAAACAGTTTTTGTAGGAGAAATGTGAAAACCCCTAGGAAAAACTGATTGTCTCCCTTCTCCACAATGTTTCTGCTATCGATGAAATGTGACAGTAAAGTTTAGAAGCAGCCACATAGTGAACAGCATCTGCCGGGGGACCTTTTTTGATATCATTTATTATTTCTTATTATTATTTACGTGACCTGAATTGATACATAATTTTGCCTCTCACCCAACATATTCCAGGTAAAATATGTACAGTGATTACGGTCAAGGTGCTAGCATGTCAAGTGAGCTGCCTGATATACCAGAGGAATTACTAGGAAAAAAAATGACGGCTGGGTGCGGTGGCAAATGCCTGTAATCCCAGCACTTTGAGAGGCCAAGGCAGATGTATTATGAGATCAGATCAAGACCATCCTGGCTAACATGGTGAAGCCCCGTCTCTACTAAAAATACAAAAAAAATTAGTCGGCATGGTGGCACACACCTGTAGTTCCAGCTACTAGGGAGGCTGAGACAGGAGAATCGCTTGAACCCGGGAGGTGGAGGTTGCAGTGAGCTGAGAGAAAAAAAAGAAAGAAAGGAAGGAAGGAAGGAAGAAAGAAAGAAATGACTAAGGTTTCTGTGTAGGCAGAGGTTCCAAGTTAACAGGACAACAGCTCTGCCAAGGGGCAAGGATTCTGATAAATGAGCTACTCAGGAATTCATACAACTGCCCCAGTGGGCACAAACATTTTTACATCTTAAGTAAACTCCATGTGTAGTAGACAGAATGATGGCTCTCAAAGTTGTCTACATCCTAATCCTCAGAACCTGTGAATATGTGACCTTACAAAGCAAATGGGACCTTTCAGATTAATTAAGGCTCTTGAGGTGGGAGATTTTCCTAGTGGACCCAATGTAGTCCCAGGAGTTCCTGTAAGAGGGATGCAGAGCTGCTCTGCCTATGGAGTGCCATTCTTTATTCCTTTACTTTCTTAATAAATTTTCTTTTGCTTTACTCTATGGACTTGTCCCGAATTCTTTCTTGCATGAGATCCAAGAACCCTCTCTTGGGGGTAAAGAAAAACAAGAGGGATGCAGAAAGGTCAGAGTCACCGAAGGTGATGTGAGGACAGCTGCAAAGAGACAGGAGGAGAAGTCATGATGGAAGAGCATCAAAGAGAGATCTGAGGTGCTACACTGCAGGCTGTGAAGACGGAGGAGGGAGCCAAGGAATATGCAGGTGTCAGCGGAAACTGGGAAAGGAAAAGAACTCTCCCTTGGAGGCTCCAAACACAGCACAACCCTGTCAGCACCTTTTAGCACTGAAAGACCCTGAGTTCTGATTTCTAAACCATAAGATAATGAATATGTGTCGTCTTAAACCAATAAATTTGTGGTAATTTGTTACAGCCGTAACTAGAAGCTAATACACTCTGGGTTTTTTTGTCATTCTGGTCTTTATTTTTGAACATGTAGCATGTTTTAACAAATCAGTTTGTCATGGGCAACCTTTTGAAACATCAAAAGAAATATATTTTTCATAAATTCCTCATCACTGTAAATTAACTTTCAAATCAATGTAAGTAGCAGGGTAGAACAATGTGTTTCCAAATACTGACCAGTGCAACACTGACAGTTACAATTAAGGTATCTGTCAGGCCTCTGAGCCCAAGCTAAGCCATCACATATCCCCTGTGACCTGCACGTATACATCCAGATGGCCTGAAGCAACTGAAGAACCACAAAAGAAGTGAAAATAGGCAGTTCCTGCCTTAACTGATGACATTCCACCATTGTGATTTGCTCCTGCCCCACCCTAATTGATCAACTGACCTTGTCACATTCCTTCTCCTGGACAATGAGTCTCAGAAGTTCCCCACCAAGCACCTTGTAACTCCGGCCCCTGCCCCGCAAGGGAAAAACCACCTTCGACGTAATTTTCCACTACCTACCCAAATCCTATAAAACTGCCCACCCTTATCTCCCTTTGCTGACTCCTTTTTCAGACTCAGTCCACCTGCACCCAGGTGATTGAAAAGCTTTCTTGCTCACACAAAGCCTGTTTGGTGGTCTCTTAACATGGGCACGTGTGACAGTATCTAGGAAAGTTGAAAATTAAGATTTATGTAAAACAAATTTACTTCCACTTGTTCAAAAAAATAAAAATATTTTAATTTGCAAGTTATATATTTTACATGCAAAGGCAACTAACTTTAAATCTCATTTCCATCTCAAATAAATGACAATTTAAGAATTAAATGACAATTTTTAAAAATTAAGCAAAAAATAAGGAAAAAACGGTGGTATGCCTTTAAAACTTGTTAAGTAAAATAATGTTATAGTTTCTCACTTTACCGTGAATATTGGCAGTGGTTATTTCATGTTTATATGTGAGTTCCTACACATAAAAATCTCAACAAGAATGAATGGTTTAGATCAGTCCATTTTTCTCCAACAAAAGAACTCCCTAACTTCTAGATATTAAAAACTGGACTCTTGCTTTTGCATTTTAGTGCAAACAAAACCCAAATATATTTCTTTTTATATCAGTACAACCAGTTAACAGACATGTTACTTTTTAGAAAGTAGTAAGTTTTGTGAATTTTGTCATTTTTTAAAATCTCATAATCACAATACTGACGGAATCTATCTAGTGCACCCACAAGTGCCTCCTTATTTTGATTTCACAGTCCTTTTCTCACAAAAACCTTAAAAGTTCAAAGAATAATACACACCATGTGGATAATTTGGGGTTAAAAAACCCATGGCTCTGGGCAACAACAATTACAGTTAATAACATCCACCCACAAAGACTGTGTTCTTAAAACTTTCAGACTTGGTTTGCTATAAATAAAACATTCTGAAATAAAGCCTTTTGCACACTGACAATACTTATCAGACATCAGCAAGGCCACAGCAAAGGAGAGTGACTTACATTAAAAGGACAGGGTAGCAGCTGGTTTTGGGATGGCACACCTCGTACATTCTGCTCAGAAAACACGAAGGCTTTTACAGAAAACTTAATTATGGAGGGTTTCTCTGCACTATCAACAGTGATATCAGTCCCTAGTATTTAAAAAGCAAAAAATATCTTCATCAACACAATGGAAGATGAAGGCTCTACCTAGGAGAATGCATAGAACAGGATCAAAGAAGTACTAGTAGTGTGTCGGTGATTTTTTTCCTGGCATTAACTGGCATGAGCATTTTTGGCATGTAGGCTATATATCTTATATCAACCATGACTATGATGAAATAAGCCATTTGAATGATAAAGAGTTAATGCATTTCTGGTCCTTAACGGCAGGAAGCATCTAGTTCAACATTCCACATATAGCAGGTGCTCAAAATGTGCTGGTAACTGATGGACTATCTTACTCAAGGAACCTGTTAATTTTATGTTAACACCTACTGAGTGAACCTAATAAATGTTTAAAGGCATGACTTAGATTTCTAATAAATGTATATAAACATGACTTAAAATAGTTCATATAGTTGTTGTACTTCCCTGAAGAAAACTTGTAAACATCTAGTGAGTGTCTAACTAATGGCATAACATTAAAAACTGGCCAAAAAAATGCCCAGAAAATGTTTGGCCCTTCAGCACCCAAAGCTCTCAAAATATAATGTTAAAACATCTCTGCTACAGGGATTTCAGTAGTCTGAAAAATTTAATACCTGAATGGTTTAAATGTTCTCTTCTAAATTTTAAATAAGTGCAAGGTTTCTACACTCAGGAATTGCCTAAGTTTTTATCTTTCCTCAAAAGAAAACATTGAATGATATAGAAGTAGCATAACTTACTAAATTAACTTATAAAAAACTAATAAAAAACACAAGCCCCCAAAAAGCAGGTTATTTTCCATAGTCTTAATACAACTATTACAAATGTTTAAAATCTTACAATGTAGGCTCTCTTCTACCTGGTTTTAGATATCTTAATATTCTCACCCCCTCTTTTACTGTGAGAACATTTATGAGTCCAGGCACCCCTTGGCCCAGTGGCATCTATTCCAGTATCAATGATAAGAATCTGGAGTCATCCATCTCAAGAAAATGAGGAAGAGGAAGTTGAAAACAGCCAACAAAGCAAAGATGTAGCCTGTTACTGGTCCACTGTGAGAAATAAGTCTGTCCAGTTGTTTGTCCATTGGCAACACAGATTCCACTGATACTTGGTCATACGCTTTTTCAGTTCTCTCCACAACATTCCTTCAGGTGTGGAAAGTCTTTACTATGTTACGGATATTTTCTGGAGCCAGCAATGCCCCTGACTTCAGTTGGAAAATAGCTTTTTCCAATCCCTCACACAAAGATTTTACTGAAGTTTCTCATAAAATAGTAAGATTTTCCGGAAGCACCTCAGGAATTCCACCAACCCTGGTACTTACAACCTGTAAACCACAGCTGGCTGCTTCCATGATCGCCATGCAGAATGCTTCAGTAAGGGAGGTATTAAGAAAAATATGTCCTTGAACTAAGACATTTCTAACATTCTTGTGTTCTAAAGCTCCCAAAAGATGCACCCTGTCATGCAACTGGTATCTTTCCGGAACTTCTTGCAAAATGATTCTCTTTGGTCCCTCTCCTCCAATTATGAAATTTAAATCTTAATATTTCTGACAAGAGTTTGGGTATAATACCACTAACCAAATTTGTTCCCTTTCTGTAAACAAGTCTGCTGACAACAATAGTTATACTATCATGCCTTCTAAATGGGTCTGGAGTGAAGTCAATAGGATCTACAGCGTTAGGAATGACAGACACTATTTCAGTAATCAGTGCCGCTCGTAGTACGGTATTTTCCTTACTAGTATAAGAAACGCAAATGATACGGCTTGTGTCACAAAGAGACACAGTTAGAAGTTTGTTTGTAAGCACTGAATGGACCTTAGCAAATCCAGAAAGGGGATGGTCTGTTAAGACTGTTTGAAGCCCCATTGTCTTGGCATGGAAGAGAACATCATGGGCCATGGCAGAAAATGAACTATGTGAATGGATTATTGTGACTCTCTCCTGAACAAATATGTACTTGAGCAATGGCAGACTGTGAAAGAGGGTCATGGCCATAGACTGGTTATACATGACTTTCAGAGGCAAGTAATAGACTTTGAGGTCATTAGTGAGGTAACGGATGCCTTTTCGATTTCCATAAGCATGGATGACAATTATAACCTTATCCCCTCTTCCAATCAGGCACTGAGGGAGCTGGTAAATGTGGCTTTCCACACCTCCCATATTTGGGTAGAAAAAGTCAGATGCCATACATATATTATGGGTATGGGTTCTACGTGTGTAAAGACTTCCAGGGCTAACCTGAGACAGTGTAGCTGAGGGAGGCTGGCCATGCCCACCTTCTCCTTTATACGCCATGCTGAGATGGTTTAGGCATCAGTTCTTAGAGCAACCCAGTTAAGAGATGTGTCCTCTATTACCAGCGAGTTCCATGGCCACCTGTGTCTGGACCTCCCACGGCTGCCGCCAATACACATCTTACGTGAAGAAAGGAAGATTTGCCAAGACACTTGACCTAGAGAAAGTAATATGTATCCAAAATATGATATACAATTAGAAGATGCAGCTAACCTAATCTGTTGAAATAATGAAGAAAAGAGCACCAGCTATATAAAGCATGCAAAAGAAGAAAAAAACTGATAGGTTAAACCTACCGCAAGTACTATGTATTTACTATCATCCTCCTCCTCATCAAATGGTCCTGCCTTTGTACATCTATCATTCATCCATCCATTCACTCATTTATATGTTTACAGAGGCTGCCTGTGTTTACCATCTCAGGGAACACCATTAAAATTCACTAAGTTACCAGGACATTCTTAATTCCCTCCTCTCTCACACCTCCACCTGCCCCATCTTTCCTCAGCCAGAACAGTGACTATATCTTGTTGCTTCTACCTCTAAATTTTCTCAATACCTACAGCCACTCCTCTAGTTCAAGCCACCATCATCCTTCTCCAGGTTTACTGAAACAGTCACCTTTTCTCCAGCCTTGCAACCCTGTTCTTCATGAACCACAGCCAGAATGATTTTTTCACAACTCTGATCCAAGGACATTTTACTACTGCCCTGCTTATAACCCTTAATGGTTGCCCAGTGTTTTCAGGATAAAGCCCAAACTCCTTAACCAAGCTAACAAAGATTTGTAGGATCCTCACCAGCCCTGTCTCTTGACTCTTACACTTCAGCCTTAGTGAACTTGTTAAAGATCCTTCTAAGCGCCATGCTTTCACCTCTAGGTCTTCGCACTTGCTGATCCACCTATGCTCTTCTTACACCTCTTTTCCAGACTCACTCTTACCTGTCTAGATTCTATTCCTCCAAAGTCTTCCCTGAATCATCTCCCCAATTTAGGGATATAGCAATATTATATGCTTCTATTTTGCTGCACTCTATACTTTTAAAAATAAGATCCTTAAGGTGGTTAACAGTCTTCATTTCTTCTATGTCACTATGAAATCAGAGTTAAAATTAGTACTAGAATTACTCCTAAATGCAACAGATGCTTCTATTACAGATAAAGATTTTTAAGAGAAAAATAAAATGTTTACAGTTTAATAAAACATTACATGTTATTTGAAAAATATAGAGACTTTGTTGAGAATCTTTTTTTATTTGAAATTTTCCTTTTGAAATGTTTGGCAGAGACCCAACCTGAATAACTTAATTTTATATTAGACATAATTTTTAGTTTGTCAAAAATTTTGTGGCATACAATTTTTTTAACGAACTTAAGATCAGTTTGCCTTTACACATGATAGATTAAAAGAATGTATGGGGACATATATAAACACTAACATAAAAAATATAAGAACAATATCTAACTATCCATTAACAGGGAACTGCTCAAATAACTAATGGGACATTCATACAGTAGACTCATTTAACCACTTCAAAGAATAACACAGAGCTATATGCACTGATATGAAAATATGTCTATTTTGTTAAGTGAACAAAAGCAACCTGTAGAACAGTATATGTAATGTTACTGGGATCACAGTGCTTTTCTAAATTCTCTGTGTGTGTAACAAAGAAGACATGCTGAACATCAAACTTTTTTTCAACAGCTAACTATCTATATAAAGTGAGCCCTTCACCATAGCTAATATTATACTTTCTTAGAGAAACGTTTATGTTGTATGACAGTAGGCGGAAGTCTCTATGAGTCACCACTTCAGCAATATCCAGCACATGACTGATGGTCATAATACTATAAACTCTAGGATGCTTACAGAGGCAAAGATGACATCACATTTAGTAGGCTGCTACATTTTATTACATTCTAGTTCTTTGGAAATTTGTAACACCCTTATGAAATACATGGTGGCTTTCTGTTAACCAAAACACCCTACCTACTCTGTAACAATGTAATCAAATGAAAACACTTTCTGAGTTTTTAGGAGAAACATTAAAGAAATACAGTTATAATTATGGTCTGTATCTCATAAACATTACTTCTGAAGCATTTCTCTGTGACAACTAAACTCTAATTAAAAATCAAGAAACTCAATGTGAGACAAATTGGCCAACAGACTCAAGTTTCCTATTTTCTCAGATTCTATGTCCATTGCATGACTCATTAGATCTGTAAAGGTATATCTAATATCATTCTATGTCCATTGCATGACTCATTAGATATGTACTGGTATATCTAATATCAAAGTATGAAAACCAATAATAAGAAGTAAAATACACACGTTACTGTAAGAAAGTAAAACATAAGAATACATATTAAGTTTAATCTCTTACTTTCCTCATCATCAACAGCAAGCTCTTTAGTAATCTATCCAAATAACTGAACCTTTCCTATTATCTCCAAACTTAAATTGATAGGAAAAAAAAAGGAAGAGTAGCTTAGTAAAAACATAGTGAATAAATGAAAATTAAATGAGAAAATATAAATGAGGAGATACTACTTTTGAAACAGCCAATTCTCCAAACATCATTTCTATTTATCAAAATATAAATTAGGAACATCATTTCTGAAGTGGCCATTCTCCAAACATCAAAACTCCAAAATATCACTGTTTTTTTTACTAATAGCATGCATTTTGTTGACACTATTCTTTTATCACAAATTTTGATTTACCATCACAAGTTATTTCTCATTATTTTAAAATTCATAATGTATTCAAAATAAACCCATACCCACAGCAGAAATTAATCTGGGTCACACTGACAATCCAGTGCAGGAAAGTTACTTAATGTTAGGAATATAAAGGTGTGTAACACAGAAAAAAGCCTGCACTGAATTCCAGGTGAACCCTAGTAAGTGATTTCCCTTCTTTGAGCTTCAGTTTTGTCCCCTATAAAATAGAGATAACGGCCAGGCGCGGTGACTCATGCCTGTAATCCCAGAGCTTTGGGAGGCCGAGTCGGGCGGAACACGACGTCAAGAGATCGAGACCATCCTGGCCAACATGGTGAAACCCCGTGTCTACCAAAATACAAAAATCAGCTGGGCGTAGTGGCACACACCTGGAGTCCAACTACTCGGGAGGCTGAGGCAGGAGAATCGCTTGAACCCGGGAGGCAGAGGTTGCAGTGAGCCGAGATCGCGCCACTGCACTCCAGCATGGGCGACAGAGCGAGACTCTGTCTCAAAAAAAAAAAAAAAAAAAAAAATAGAGATAACATGAACTACATTTTAGGATTACTAAGAGGTTTAACAATAATATAAGTAAAGAACACAATACCTGATATATAATGATGTGTTTGATAAATAGTAATCCACGTGTTTATGATGTGTCAGATACTGTTTTAAATGCTTTACATGTATAATTTAGTCAATAAACAATAATTATCCCTATCTCTGGTACTGCCTTCACCTTCTACCTCTCCCCATCCTTTGGGGAGAGCTCAAAACTTTTTGTCTAAGTTAAACAGCAGAGAAATAATAATAGCTATGTATCAGGCACTGTGCTAAATTAGTTACGTGGAATTTCATTTAATCTTTACAACAATCCTCTCAATAAAGTAGGAACTATTATTAACCTTCTTTCACAGACTAGGAAATTTAGGCTTAGAAGGATTAAATAATGTGTCTAAAGTCAGATATCCAATGAAGTCTGATTTCAGAGCCCCCCTGCTTAGCAACTCTGTCACGCTAAAAAAAAAAAAATTACTACTTCTAATTCAATGTCAGATAGCAAACACCTACTGTTCAATGACAGTTGGTTTCTAATGAGATTTTGAAACAGATGAGTCAGACAACAGGTATCGGCATCTACACCAGATCACTAGAGTTTCCACTTCTGTCATTTGAAACAGTTCCAATTTGTTCCCAAAGGGAATCTGAGGTGGTGAGAATTTCAATTTCTAATCATTTAAGTGCCAAGACAGGTGATCAGATAGCAATTCACAAAGCGGTTCTGTTGTTCTTGTTGTTTTTGTTTGTTTGTTTTTTGCTCTTCACACAAGCGAAGCAAAACCCAGGCTCTGACCTAAAATCATCTCTTTGCAACCACTGGGGATCAGCTATTCCACCATGCCATGCCACAAAGCACTCAAATTTACAACATTCAATCCCTCGGTGTGAAAAGATTAGGAAAGGAACCACGGGTGACTGCATAGAGGAGCACGCCCTCCAAAACTTTCCTCTGACTTCCAAGGCACTCTACAAGCCTTCCCTTTCTTTTGCCAGCCTCTCCCCGGGCAGTCCTCCAAACTGAGGGTTGTGGGCGGAAGGCATCGCGCAGGGTCTCCAGCTCTATTCCCCAGTTCCGCACATGTGGGCGTTCTAGACCCTGCATGGACTGGGAGAAAAAACAGGGAAGAGCCTATAAACCTTGCTAGAGGGCAAGAATAACTGTCTGTCTCTTTCTCTTTGCAGGGCCAGAGACTTCATCAATTCTTTCCGAGGATGATGAACAGAAAAAAACAGACCCTCTAAGTGCCAGGCGCTTAGGGATGAGGGTGCCCCTGAAGATCCCACAGTACCTTCGGGCTCTGATACCGCTCTGGATTTAAAGCAGGGCGAGTAGCGGCTGGATCCCTCCTCCCCAGCTGAGCTCGCCCACACCAGCAGCCCCAACCGCCCCGCACACCTGTCGCCCCTCTCTCCGCACTTGGGTGGACAGGTGAAGGCAGGCGCAACGTCACCTTGACGGCCCCAGGAGCCAATCAGAGCACGCGACTGCCGCAGCCAGGCAAACGCAGAGCGTACTGGCTCCCGCAGCCGGGAGACCCAACAAACCTCAGCTTCGGGGCCTCAGAGAGCGGGGGGCTCCTGGAGCCCTCAGGCTGAGGCGCGGAGGCCCCGAGACAGCGCGTAAAAGTTCGCCAGGAAAAGAGAAGACAAACAGGGAAGTACTCACCAGGCGCAGGAGGGTCACTTCTCCCAGCGGGGCGACAACTCGGCTCAATCTGTGCGGGGCCAACACGCCCCTGACCAACCGCCGCCGCTGCCGCCGCCGCCTGGGCCTCAGGGTCAGTAGCCGCTGGCCGCCGCCTGTTTCGAAGGGACCAATCATAAGGCGGGGGCGTGGTCTGAGGCCCCGCCCCCGGGCTGCCGGGAAGCACGCGACCCGTGGGCGCTCGCCTGTCAGCGCGTCCAGCGCTGCGCCTCCGGGCGTCTCGGAGCTTCGGTGGCCAAGTCCCTCTGTTCACTGAAAGGCGAAGTGGTTCAGTCAGAGCAGGTCCTCCGATCTGGCCTTTCAGCGACAGCCAGTTCGAAAGCCACAGCCCGTCCTGTTGTTCCCACAGGCCTGAGAGGTGAATGAACCTCGCCTGTAATAATTGCTTCTGAGCGTCCTGGAATGTTGCGGTGCAGCTGAAGGCGCTTCCCTGAGTTTTATCCTGGTCTGTTAAGAGCCGCTCCCAACCCCACATCCACTCGGGAGCTGGCTGACCTGAGGGCGCCACGGTTTCCAGAGACGCAGCCTGGAACCCAGCAGGAATGGGGGTCCTCAGCAGAAATCTTTCAGAGAGAGGCCCCTCTTCTCAGGTGCGGAGGGATGAGGAGGAATCCTGTAGTCCCAAGTCACAAAAGGAGGATGTTGACTCTTCAGCAAACACCGGAGCCTGAAAACAAAACAAAACAAAACAAAAAAACAATGAACTTCAACGTAAGGGATGCTTACTAGCTCCCAGGGTTGAAATAAAGCCGAGACTAGACATCAGTGTAACAATCCCAAGTCGGTTATATCTGTAAATGTGGCTTGTTTCATAGCAAAAAATAAAATAAATAAATAAATAATTTTTTAAAAAAATCACTGGCTTTGTCCCCGAGGCCTGTGTTGCAGCCCAGGCCCTTCTTTTTTTTTTTTTTTTTTTTTTTTTTTTTTTTTTGAGACAGGGTCTTGCCCTGTCACCCAGGCTGGAGTGCGGTGGCACGATCTCGGCTCACTGCAGCCTTGATCTCACGGACTCAAGAGATCCTCCCACCTCAGCCTCCAGAGTAGCCAGGATTACAGGCCTGTGCCACCACACCGGGCTAATTTTTGTGTTTTTTGTAGAAATGGGTTTTTGCCATGTTGCCCAGGCTGGTCTTGAACTCCTGGGCTCCAGTGATCCTCCCACCTCGGCCTCCCAAAGTGCTGGGATTACAGGCGTTAGCCACCTCACCCGGCCCTATTCAGTCTTTTAGCCTTCCTCAAATCATGTCTCCTCTCTGGGCCTCAGGTCTCCATCTGTGAATGGTGGGCACTGAACTGGAATGACATCTCTCTCTAGCATTTATTCCTTCCTTTACTCAACAAAAACAATGAGATGTACTGTTGCTTGCTAAAGAAACTGAAATGAAAACAGCCTTAGGCTTCAAAGTGCTCAGCAGCATGGTAAAGGCCAAATGGAAGTCTGTGGAGGTCCATGAAAGAAGGAACCCCTAAGAGTCTTGAAGGGTGATGGCAGAGGTTTGAAAGGAGCTGAATTTTTAAAGATGAATTAAGACTCTGCCAGGAGGGAGGGATAACTGGGAATAAGAATTAATTTCCAGGCAGAGAGAGCAACAAAGACAAGGTTCCAGAGATGTGAGAGTACATGAAATGTTCTGAGAATACTCATTTTGAATGACTGAAGTCTGCAGATTGGGAGGCAGATCAGATGGGAGAAGTAGACACAAATGAAAGGCCTGGTAGATGCTGAGGAATTTAGTTTCTTTCCCACAGGCAATTGGGATGATTATAAGGAAGGACTGGTAGGAACAGATTTGTGTTTTAGGGGAAAAACAATATTTTCACAGATGTTTGAAGATGGTAGTAAGACAGGTGGCAATCCCTTAAATTAAAAGATGACGGTTACCTAAATTATCTCAGAAGGGATGGTGAGGAAGAGGTATCTGGTGATACCTAAGAAGCTGACTCATCTGGACTTAGTTATTATGTGATTGATGATGGTACCAATCTAAAGAATACAAGGAAAACAGGCTGTGGGGGAAAATAATGCATTTTGGTTTGGAGTGTGTTCAGTTTGAAGTGTGAGAGGAGTGTGCAAGTGGAGATGTTCAGAAGATAAAGTTAGACCTGAAGCTGTTTAAATTGGTCTGTGTAGGAGATATAGATTTGAGAAGTAAATTCAACAAATATTATTTTACACATCTTCTGTGTCAGGCTCCATTCTAAGCACAAGGGATCCTACTGTCATGGAGCTTACATTCTGGGGTAGGTGGGTGAGTGAAGATGGTAACTAGGAGTTGATATTTAAGTGGTAAATGAACCTGAAACCAGATAGTGGTTGCCACTTTTGAAATTGACTCAGTAGTCCCAACCGTAGAAATTGACCCTTCTGGTCTTAAAACCTAAAACTTACATTTGTTTTATCCGAGTTGTTTCCTTAGGAAAGGATCCCTAGACCTCTCAAAAAGTATCAAAGAACTGAAACTCACCAGATCATCTCAGCCAATGAAAGCCTGGCCCTTCATTCATCCTGATTGCTTCCTTGCCCCTCTCTAGTTCCTTTCTTCTTACACATTGCTACATTTCTTCCCTGCTATATAACCCCCTAATTTTAGCGGTCAGGAAGATGGAGTTGAGACTGATCTCCCATCTTTTCAGCTGCAGCACCTGATTAAAACTTTCTTCCTTGGCAGTACTTGTCATATCAGTCTTTGGCTTTCTGTGCTGCAAGCAGCAGGACCTAGACCAAACCCCTGGTGTTTCAGTAACACTTTTAATATTAAAATCAATCCCACAACACTTTGCTGCTCACATCACCACAATAGATAGGTATTCACAGGACCTATTTTTCAAATCTATGTGTCATAGTGTTTCTGTTTAAAACTAAAGGGCAGTTTGTATACCACCCCATTTAGCCAAATTTTGAGTTGAATTAAAGTATTACATTGGATTTCTTGAACCCTAACATCAAAATATGTGCACTGCTCTACAGAAACTTAAGAAAAAAATGTGTTATACAGATCTTGTTTAATGAGTCCTTAGCTGTCAACTTTTTATTTTTATTATGTGCATACTATGTATCTAAACATTTGAATACCATTTATTAAAACTTGAAACTATCCTATATGAGATATGTACACAAAAATTCTCTGCCTCATACACACACACATAAACACACACTACTTAATATTTCTAAACCTTTTACTAAAATCTTGTCAGCAGTGCATTTTTATGATAACTTGCTTTTTGTTCTATTTTGTCTTTGTAATTTCTATACCTTATAAAGATATAAGGACAGTGTAGTGGCAAGTGAATCCTGAGTCAGGAAATCTATGCAAAACACTTTTCTCTAAGGCCACATCCTTTGCTGGTTAAATGTGGGGATTAGGTGAGGAGTTTGCCTCTAAATTATTATTATAATTATTATTTTATTTATTTATTTATTTATTTATTTATTTTGAGATAGTCTCACTCTGTTGCCCAGGCTGGAGTGCAGTGGCGCGATCTTGGCTCACTGCAAGCTCCGCCTCCTGGGTTCACGCCGTTTTCCTGCCTCAGCCTCCGGAGTAGCTGGGACTACAGGCGCCCCGCCATCATGCCAGGCTAATTTTTTTTTTTTAATAGAGGCGGGGTTTCACCGTGTTAGCCAGGCTGGTCTGGATTTCTTGATGTGGTGATCCGCCCGCCTTGGCTTCCCAAAGTGTTGGGATTACAGGCGTGAGCCACCGCGCCCAGCCTTGCCTCTAAATTATTTTAATTCTTGTTGCTTTTCTCCTCTGTATACTCTGTGTGTGTGTGTGTGTGTGTGTGTGTGTGTGTGTGTGTGTGTGTGTGTGTGTGTCTGTGTCTGTGTCTATCGCCTTACTTTTACGTTAATTCCCAGCTGGTACCCAACTATCTAAATACACTTACCATTTACCTATCTTGATTTTAAAACTATAATTAGCAATTGAGGGTTTCATCTAATGAGCTGCAATCTACTTTCAAGTGTAGGCTTTCTAATAGGTGGTTAGGTTAATAGCCATGTTTTAGAGGTTGTATCTTTACATGAAATTGGCATAATTGTAGAATGCAAAACAAGACTCACCAGTTTGACTTTCCAATTGTGGAGATGTGCTGCACTTTTAAAGAAAGCACCATGTTTGGAAATCTAAATTTTAAAAGGTATTACATTAGGAATAGTCATTCATCTGCCATAAAGGTATACAGAATACAGAAGGGTCTGTGATAATCAAATAACCATCGGGTATTGAACTATGATTTGGCCTTTTCACAGCCATGCAAAGAATGCTTCTATTGTTTAAAATACACTGTAATTTAAATACACTGAAGACTTTTTTAAATTTTGATTGGTTTATTAGTTGTTTTGTTCTGCATTTTGTTGTTTTAGAAATGTTTTTATTTCTGACTTATTGAATGTCAATCTATGGATTGTGCCTTGTGTAAAGTACTGGATGAAATATTTGGGCAATAGAGGTATTGATTCATTCACAATTAATTAAACTATCTGTTCAGCAGATAATCTGTTGAGAGCTAACTATTCTAAAAATAATACTAAGCTCTGTCTTAGAAGAATGATACTGATTCGTGTTAACAAATAATATGTATAAATAATTCAATGATATGAAATTTTATAACATGTTATGGTCAATACTAAAATGGTGTGTTAAATTTATATAGTGGATTGAATAGTGCCCACCCAAAATTCATGTTCGTCGAGAACCTCAGAATGTGACCTTATTTGGAAATAGAGTCTTTGCAGGTATAATTAAGGTAAGGATTGAAATGAGATCATATTGGAGTAGAGTGGACCCCAAATCCAACGGGAGTGTTTTTACAAGAGACAGAAAAGGGACAGAGAGAGAGAGAAAGTCCATGTAAAGACAGAGGCAAAGCTTAGGGCTTTGCTGCCACAAGTCAAGCAATGCTAGGAGCCATCAGAAGCCAGAAGATGCAAGGAAACATTCTCTCCTAGAGCCTTTGGGGGGAGTTTGGTCTGCTGACACCTTGATTTTGGACTTCTAGCCTCCAGAAACGTGAAATAATATAAATGTCTATTGTTTTCAGCTGCCAAATTTGTGGTACTTTGTTAGAGTACCCCTAAGAAACTAATACAATCTATATCTGGAGAGAGATGTAAAAATCTAACAGCCTAGCAAGAATGATTACATTGAGCTACACTCCCTACTCCCCCAGTTCATCTATAAGACGTCTTCACAGATATTAGCATTGTAGCCACGCCAGGCTCTTACAGAGCACAGGTTATTTCTAAATGGCTTACTGTTCAAGTATGATCAAGTTTCTATCACATTTAGTTATATTTGATAGCAAAAAAAAAAAAAATCCTCGAACTCACTTAAGAAAAAAAGGGCAGGTATTGGCTTATGTAATTAAAATCTCAGGATAGAACTCTCTAACTTTAGGCACAGCTTGATCTAAGATTTCAGATATTGTCACCAAAATCCAGTCTCTATTGGCTCTGATTTTCATGTTGACTTTATTCTCAGGTTCCTCCTGGTTATATGATGGTTTCCAGAAGTTCTAGTTCTTCATTCTCTTAGGTTTGAGTCTAACCAAAAAAAAGTGAGTCATTCTATATAGTTCTCAAGTCAGAAAACACAAACCACTATAGGTGCATCAAAAAGCAGGAACTTAACACAGACTTGGTTTTGCAAGAGAAGGTAAACAGGAGCAGGTAAGACAACTCAGAGATTAGCAACAGTAGGAAGCCACTGCAATTCTAGGGCTTAGGGTTCAAAAGAGGAGTTTAGAAACCAGGGCCATCAGCACTGGGGCAGGAGGGAGTTTCCCAGTGGGACTGGGAGCCATGTAGGAGATGCAATCTTTACCAGAGATACAATCTGAGGCAGAGAGAGTGAGGGAGAAATACCCTGGCTTTTCCCTTCTTCTCATCCTCCAGTCTCCCATCAATACTTTCCATTGATTGAAACTGGCCAAAGCCAGTTAACAGAGAAACCTATAAAATGCAGCCTGTCAGGGGTTAGCCCTCCCTCCCTAGATGAACAGAGAAGGGAAGGAAGGGAACAGATCTGAACACAAATAGGATATATTAGCTAGACTGTTGCTGTGATAATGCTGTATCACAAACAACTCCTAACTTTCAGTGGCTTACAGTAATAAACATTGATTTTTCTTGTTTGTCGATCTGCATGTTAGCTCATGGTGGACAGGAGGGATGCTGCTTCAAGCTTAAGTTGGGTTTAGGTGTACTC
This sequence comes from Homo sapiens, assembly GCF_000001405.40. Lineage (NCBI taxonomy): Eukaryota > Metazoa > Chordata > Mammalia > Primates > Hominidae > Homo > Homo sapiens. The sequence continues at coordinate 100,567,534 of NC_000012.12, read as the reverse complement.
CTTCTGTCTCTCATTCTGAGACTTGCAACTATCCAGGGCATTCCCTTCTCATGGCAGATAGCAGAAGTGCAAGAGCAGCAGCAGAAACATGTGATGTCTCTTAAGGCCATAGCTTGGAACTGACACTCTCACTTCCACCCACGTGCTATTGCCAAAAGCAAGCCACAAGGACAAGCTCAACATCAGTGGGTGGGGAAGTCTGTTCTGCCTACTCCTGTGAGAGGCACTGCAAATTCACGAGTCAAATAACCTGGCCATATAATTCTACTACAGGGAGAGAGTGAAGAATTTGGAACAATTAATACACACACACACACAGAGGCATGTAACTGACACTGCCTTCCTCCTAAAAATTCTTCCAGCAGTATATCTTATTTTCTTTAAATAAGTCACCTGCCCAATTCTAAACCAATGACTGTGACCTAAGATATGTGATATTCTGATTAGCTATGCCTGAATCACACTTCCAACTCTGGAGCTGGGGGTGGAATCAACTCCACTTAAAACATATGGACTAAGAGATGGGAAGGGGGTGGTTCCCCTGAGGAAATCAGAGTACTCTTCCAGAAGTAAAGGCAGTGGATTCTGAGTGTCCAAAAAATAAGTCAGCTAACACCCAAATGTGATATGTGATAGTGTACTGAATTTATTATTTCACATAAGGGAAAAAATAATAAATTGTAATTTTGTAAAAATCTGGGGAAAAGTAAAATTCTGCTGCTATAGGATCAATGAGTGAAATCAGTTTCTCATTCTGAACAACAAAGAAAGAAAACAAAATTTCAAAACAGTTGCTCATATCCAGTATTTGGATTCACTAATAAAATGACTGTCCACAATGTTGTTATGAACTAGAAAACCACCACCATGAGAATTATGTTGAAGCTAGATGCTAGATCAGGTCAAGAGAGAGTACAGTGTAGGAGTCATATTTTCTTGGGATATGCTATGGTCTGAATATTTGTGTCCCCCCAGAATTCATATGTTGAAATCCTAACCCTTAAATTGATAGTATTAGGAGGTAGGGCCTTTGAGAGGTGATTAGGCCATGAAGGTGAAGCCTCGTGACTGGGATTAGTGCCCTTATAAAAGTGACCCAAGAGAGCTAGCAGGCACATCTAGAAGATGCCATCTAGGAACCAGGAAGTCCTCACCAGACGTTGAATCTGCCAGTGCCTTCATCTTGGACTTCCCAGAACTGTAAGGAATCAATTCCTGTTGTTTATAAGCTACCCAGTTTATGGTCTATTTTTACAGCAGCCGGAATGAACTAAGACAGGATGGGAGAGAGCAGGGTTTCTAAACCTCAGCACTGTTAACATTTTGGGCCAGATAATTGCTGAGGGAGGCTATTCTGTGCATTGTAGGAAGTTTAGCATCATCACTAGCTCCTACCCCCTAGAGGCCAGTAGCACCTCTATCTCCAAGTTATGAAAACCAAAAGTGTCTCCAGACATTGCCAAATGTCCCCCTGAGACACAAAATCACCCCTACTTGAGACCTGGGGTGGAAAGGAAAAGGAAGAAAACAAGCAAACCCATTTCTTTTCCCCTGTCTCTATACTTTCTTTCTCATTTGGTGTAAGAGAAGATAGACCTCTGGGGAATGCATTTTATTTGGAAGCCTAGAATATAGGTAGGGCAGGAGACAAAACCGGTAGGAGGTCTCAATAGCCAACTGCTCTCCCAAGGAGTTCTGGGTCTCTGCTGAAGTCAATGGGAAATCAAGTAGCACAGGGAACATGTAACCAGATTTGCATTTTAGAAAAAAAACTCACTCTACTAGTGTGGAAAATGACCCATAAAAGTGCATATCAGAGCAAGGGAAATACTTCTGTTTCATAGCACTTGTAATTTGTATTTTATTTTTACCCAGAGTTGCTCCTATTACCCCTATCACTCAGGAATTCCCAAAGCTTTTAGAAGCTGTGTCAGAAACCAGGAACAAAAACACAATATGTATTTCTTATAGTATCACAATTAGTTTTCCATGTGATGAGCATTATTGTTTGCTATTACAAGGTCTTAACCACTTGAATAAATGCAGATCTAGAGGATTAAGCTTCTTGCTCTGTCTCCAGTGCCCCACCAGTTCCAGGCTCATTTCTCACTGCTGTCTGCGCAGACGGCATGAGATCTGGAGACACCAAACTGAAATTTACTCCTTTCTTCAATGTCCTTTCCTCACCAACCCTCTCCCTGGTGGGCCTGCTACTTCCCACTTACTCTTCATTAATAAGCTAAATCCCCTTATGCAATAAATGCTGATCTCTGCATTTTACAATGGTGAAATTGAGATTTAGAAAGAGACTGTGCATCCTCCCTCCCTCCCCAGATTACGTATCGTCTTTTAACATCTGTACAACTCACCACCTTCCTTCTGTTGCTCCTGCCACCCCTTTCACCTTGAACCCCTTCCCTCCTACCTGGACCCACTGAATTTGGGGCTATCCCTTGAAGCCCAGCAGAAGTACCATCTCCTGTATGAAACTTTCCCAAGTTCCAGGGTAAACCCACAGCAAGTTCCGCTGCAGCCTTTATAACTCCCTCCAGGCAGTTACTGGGTTTTTTTCTTTCTCTTTTTTTGAAGACAGGGTGTCGCTCTGTTGCCCAGGCTGGAGTGCAGTGGTGCGATCATGACTCAATGCAGCCTCCATCTCTGGGGCTCAAGCAATCCTCTTGCTTCAGCCTCCCAAGTTGCTGGGACCACCACAGGTGCAAGCCACAGCCCCTGGCTGATTTTATTCTTTTTTATTTTTTGTAGAGACAGGGTTTCCCCTATGTTGCCCAGGCTGGTCTCAAACTCCTGGGTTCAAGCAATCCTCCAGCCTCAGTCTCCCAAAGTGCTGGGATTACAGGTGTCAATTGGGCTCAGCTCTGTTACTGGATCTTAATCATTTTTGTATCCTCCATGGAGTTTAGCAAATGAATCTTGTACTTACTAGGAACTCAAGACATTTTTGTTGTATCAGAATCCAATTGATGCTAGCCTCAACACAGTTTTCCACTGACTGGTTATTTTTAGAATTCCAGGGTTGTCCTAGTATTTTGATACAAAAAAACTGCTTGCTAATCATGCTCCACTTTGGCTAACTTTAGGAGAAAGGGAGATATACGCCCATTACTTATAGAAGGTGTTTTATTGTATTCACCAAAGGATAATAGGGAGAAGAATGCAACAGTGTAACAATGAAGGAAGGAAATGAACTAATTCCTGCTTTGGGGGAAGTATACAGCAGCTGTGCTCCCAGCTGTAGGAATGTTTTCAAAAGCAAAACAAAACAGAAAGATGATTGGATACAATGAAGCCAATCATTTCCTCACTTTTAAGAGAGGAAAGCGAAGGTCCCATCACTGCAGTTAGCTGCATACTCTGAATTTGTGAATCCTGCCTCAAGACTAACTATGGGGGAAAGGATTGCTTGAGGGAATATTTTATGTGAAAATTGTTAACTTTTCTGTTTGCTATTCTCTTTGAACTTCAAAGAAAAGGAAATGATCAGAGGGCTATTACAAATGAATGACTATTCACCAGGACTTTTCCAGAGATGACAAAAGTGCGAGAGACAGTATCTTTCTGTAAATTACCCCCTCAGATTCAATAGGATGTCTTTCAACATTTAAAGAAATGAGTTTGTATATTTATCAAATTTTGTTCCCAAAGAAAATCCTGTTGCCATTATGTTTGCTTTATTGCCAAGATTGAATACAACTCTTTAATAAAATATATGCAATATGGTAAGATGAGCAAAATGAGATTTTCCCTAGTTCAACAGATAGAATTGAAGTAACAATCAATTTAATTAGGCAAACAGGGCTTGCCAATTAGAATGCAGGATTCCCTGGAGCCTTTTAAAACACAATGTAGAGAAAGTTGTTCTATCTAGCCCAATATTTACAGTTGTGGAAGTTACACATGTAATTACAACATAAATATTCATCAAGATTTCTTGAGTGAAACTGGGTACAAGTGAAATAAAGGAAAGTTATACATCAGATTAATATGAGAGAGAAAAAGGAGCTAGACCCCTCCCCTGTAATCCCCATCACTGCACGTCCCAGATTTCACAGAGAAGTGGGGTAAACTTGTGGTCGTTTACTCTCCATGACATCAGCATCTCAGCGTGGTGATGATTGAATGTCCGTAATTCAGTCAGGCGACCCAGGAGACAGGCAAAGTGTTGAGGATTTTCAGGCTGGTGAATCTTACACAACTTTTGTAGCACATCAAGAAGTGGCTCCTGAAGCTTCTCTACTGCCTCTCTATCCTTTATGTATTGTCTATCTGTTTTGAAGTTTAAAATAAAATGACAAAATTAAAAAGTGGAAAAGCATTAATTCAGCATAATTATAGCAACGTTAACTATTTTGAAGTGTAAGTTAAATGTTGTACACAAAATGTGAAAATTAAGTGTTCAACCTGATGAATTTTTATGCACACACACGTAATTATAACGAGATCAAGATACAACACATGTAATGCTTCCCAGAAGCCTCCCAATTCCCCTTCCAATCAAAACCCCTAAAGATAACCTGTAGGGTGGACGTGAGCATCCTTTCTGTTGAGTATATTCTCAGAAGTGAAATCACTGGGTCATAGGACATATCCATACATAACTTTAGAAGGTTCTGCTGAATAGTTTTTTAGTCACAAGTCATAATTTTTATGGTAAAGCAAAGTAACAACTAGCTTCTGCCTCAAGATAATGTATAAAAATGGCCTAAGGCTAACATTGTTATTATGCTCTACAAATCATGAGCATGGCATCATTCGACACCCAAATTATTAAAGTAACCAAAAAATATAGAAAAAAATATGGAAAGAGGTATCATTTCAACAACCAAAAAAAACTGTTGAAGAAACATTTTCAACATCAAAAAAACTGGAAATATCCTGAATATACAAACATGTGGTAAAGATTAAGTAAATGATTGTATATTCATACAATGGAATATGTAGCACATATTACAACTTTACCAATGTAATTTTTTAATGACTTGGGAAATGACTTTTAGAAGAAATATAAACTCAGAAAAAAGTTCCTTATTATGTTAAAAAGTATGTAATTTCATTTAGATCCCTGCTCCAATGCCACCCACTTAAAAAAAGCCTCCTGTGACCACAAATTAAAATACCATTTTTGTGCCACTCTCTTTCTTTATATTCTCATTATATTTTTTGTAGCATTTACCACCTTCTGAAAAAATATTGTTTCTTCATTTATTATCTTTCTCATCCTACCAGAATGCAAGCTGCATGGGAGCTGTGTCTTGTTGCATCCCCGGTGCTTAGCATCATGGTTAGTACATAGTAGGTGTTCAATATACATTTATTAAATGAATAAGTGTGATATTTTTTAAAAAGACTGAAAAGAAGTGCACTGAAAGGTTAATAATGGTTCTATTTGGATAGCAGAATTATAGGCTACTTTACTTTTTCTTTATATTTCTATGTTTTCCAGATTTTTTTCAATAAACGTTATTACTAGTATACTGAAAAAAATGGCATAAAAATTAAAATGTAACATTGGAATTACCTGGAGACAGGATAACAATTGCTGTAAGCAGAGCATACTCCTCTTGAGTCATTTTCAGTTCCCCAATACTTTTATAAAAACTAAACATAGGTGTTATATATTCATCAGAGATACCTGTGGGGGAAAGTTGCAATCATAATACAATTTTTGAGTGACTAAACAGTGTAAAACTAGAAACACATTATACATATAAACACATGGTAATTTTGCAACTATATGCACACATTCAAATAATGACTATATTATTTTTATTATATGTCCAAAGGAAGGACATTGTGAAGACAATCAGTTGACAAAATTCTCAAAATATAGCCAAAACAATGAGTGTAATGAGTGTATGTCTAATTTTGTCAGTGTCTTTGTTTCAGTCACTACTAATAATCAATGATAATGCTCTTGAATTGCCAAAAGAATCTCAAAAACGTCTCCATTTTCCAGATGGGATTTAGTGAATCTTTTGAATATGACTATCGATAATTAAGGCAGAGATCACATCTTAAACAACTAACAAAAAGTGGTTGTTATTCAGTCTGGAAGTATAGACAGCTTCATTTCTAAATGGGCCAGGGTTCTTTATTTATTTATTTATTTTATTTTTTTTGAGATGGAGTCTCGCTCTGTCACCCAGGCTGGAGTGCAGTGGCGTGATCTCGGCTTACAGCAAGCTCCGCCTCCCGGGTTCCCGCCATTCTCCTGCCTCAGCTTCCCCAGTAGCTGGGACTACAGGCTCCCGCCACCGCGCCCGGCTAATTTTTTGGTATTTTTTAGTAGAGACTGGGTTTCACCGTGTTAGCCAGGATGGTCTTGATCTCCTGACCTCGTGATCCGCCCGCCTCGGCCTCTCAAAGTGCTGGGATTACAGGCGTGAGCCACCGCGCCCAGCCAGGCCAGGGTTCTTATCAAAGGGTTCTGATCTCTTCCTGAAGCACCAAGCCATTACCTACTAAGCATCAGTAATTGGCTGTTCTCTTCAAACCCAGTATGTCCAAAATCAAAGACACCACAGAACTAAGCTCCCCCACGTTTCTCCAAATCCACTTCTTTCCTGGCGTTCCCATTCTCGGTGAGTGGTATCCACACCACTCAACTGCCCAGGCCTGACAACTGAGATTCAGGCACCCAGGCCTGTGGCTTCTCCTCCTCACTCTCACCTGGTGCTCCCTCTCCTCTTTATTGCACCTGGCATTTACTTAATTTAAGCTTCCATCTCTCTTCCTCTGGATTACTGCAGTTGCCTCTTTACTGGCCTTCCTATCTTTAGTTTGATTCCCTTTGATCTATCCCTATCCACGTATTGGTGTGTCCGGAATTGGTGGGTCCTTGGTCTCACTGACTTCAAGAATGAAGCCGCGGACCCTCGCGGTGTTACAGCTCTTAAGGTGGCACATCTGGAGTCTGTCCCTTCTGATGTTCAGATGTGTTCGGAGTTTCTTCCTTCTGGTGGGTTCATGGTCTCGCTGGCTCAGGAGTGAAGCTGCAGACCTTTGCGGTGAGTGTTACAGCTCTTAAGGCAGCACGTCTGGAGTTGTTTATTCCTCCTGGTGGGCTCGTGGTCTCGCTGGGTTCAGGAGTGAAGCTGCAGATCTTCGCAGTGAGTGTTACAACTCATAAAAGCAGCGTGGACCCAAAGAGTGAGCAGTAGCAAGAGTTATTGCAAAGAGCGAAAGAACAAAGCCTCCACAGTGTGGAAGGGGACCCGAGTGGGTTGCCAATGCGGGCTCGGGCAGCCTGCTTTTATTCTCTTATCTGGCCCCACCCACATCCTGCTGATTGGTAGAGCCCAGTGGCCTGTTTTGTCAGGGCGCTGATTGGTACATTTACAATCCCTGAGCTAGATACAAAGGTTCTCCACGTCCCCATCAGATTAGTTAGATACAGAGTTTCCACACACAGGTTCTCCAAGGCCCCACCAGAGCAGCTAGATACAGAGTGTCGATTGGTGCATTCACAAACCTTGAGCTAAACACAGGGTGCTGATTGGTGTATTTACAATCCCTGAGCTAGGCATAAAGGTTCTCCAAGGCCCCACCAGAGCAGCTAGATACAGTGTCGATTGGTGCACTCACAAACCTTGAGCTAGACACAGGGTGCTGATTGGTGTGTTTATAATCCCTGAGCTAGATATAAAGACTCTCCACGTCCCCACCAGACTCAGGAGCCCAGCTGGCTTCACCTAGTGGATCCGGCACCAGGGCTGCAGGTGGAGCTGTCTGCCAGTCATGCGCCCTGCGCTCGCATTCCTCAGCCCTTGGGTGGTCGATGGGACTGGGCGCCGTGGAGCAGGGGGTGGTGCTCGTTGGGGAGGCTTGGGCCGCACAGGAGCCCATGGAGTGGGTGGGAGGCTCAGGCATGGCGGGCTGCAGGTCCCGAGCCCTGCCCCTCGGGAAGGCAGCTAAGGCTCGGTGAGAAATCCAGCGCAGCGCCGGTGGGCTGGCACTGCTGGGGGACCCAGTACACCCTCCGCAGCCACTGGCCCGGGTGCTAAGTCCCTTATTACCCGGGGCCAGCAGGGCTGGCCGGCTGCTCCGAGTGAGGGGCCCGCCAAGCCCACGCCCACCCGGAATTCCAGCTGGCCTGCAAGCGCTGCACGCAGCCCCGGTTCCCGCTCGCGTCTCTCCCTCCACACCTCCCTGCAAGCTAAGGGAGTGGGCTCCAGCCTTGGCCAGCCCTGAAAGGGGCTCCCACAGTGCAGTGGTGGGCTGAAGGGCTCCTCAAGTGCTGCCAAAGTGGGAGCCCAGGCAGAGGAGGTGCCGAGAGCAAGCGAGGGCTCTGAGGACTGCCAGCACGCTGTCACCTCTCATTGGAATGACCTTTCTAAAAATCAGATCACATCACATACTTTCTCTCTACTTCTTACAAAAACCTTCTAAACCTCCCCATGGCTTTAGGCATATAGTTTTAATTTTCTTCCTTTTAACGTAGGAGCCTCTAGGACCTGTCCCCTGCCTATCTAACTATTCACAATAACAATAGTAATAGTAGGAGTACTCATTATGTATTATGCAATATTTTAAGCATTTAATATACCATAATTCATTTAATAGTTCTAAACCCCGTGAGGTAGATACAGAGAGGTTATATAACTAGCCCAAAGGCACTCGGCTGAGAGAGGTGGAACTAGGTTTCAAACCAAAGCTGGCAGGCTCCAAAGTCCTGACAGTGGCTACGGCTAAGCTGCACTCTATCACTCTATCACACTGCCTTTCCTCTAGCCACCTCGGCCACTTGTAGTTCCCTAAACAATTCACATTGCCCAGTTTTTGTACATGTTGTGCTCTCTACTTGAAATATCCCTTTTCTCTTTTATCTAGCTCACTCCTCTTTGTCATTTAAGACTTCTAACCAGGTGCAGTGGCTTACGCCTATAATCCCAACACTTAAGGAGGCCAAGGCTGGAAGATTGCTTGAGCTCAGGAGTTTGAGACTAGCCTGGGCAACATGGCAAAACCCCATCTCTACAAAAACTACAAAAGTTAGCTGGGTGCAGTGGGCACATGCCTGTGGTCCCAGCTACTCAGGAGGCTGAGGTGGGAGGATCGCTTAAGCCTGGAGGTTGAGGCTGCAGTAAGCTGTGATTGTGCTACTGCACTCCAGTCTGTGTGACAAAGTGAGATGCTGTCTCTTTTTTTTTTTTTTTTTTTTTTTTTTTGAGATGGAATCTCACTCTTGTTGCCCAGGCTGGAGTGCAGTGGCGTGATCTTGGCTCACTGCAACCTCCGTCCCTTGGCCTCCCAAGTAGCTGGGACTACAGGTGTGTGCCACCACACCTGGCTGATTTTTTTTTTTTTTTTTTTGTATTTTTAGTAGAGACAGGGTTTCACTATATTGGCCAAGCTGATCTCGAAACCCTGACCTTGTGATCCACCCACCTCAGCCTCCCAAAGTGCTGGGATTATAGGCGTGAGCCACCACGCCCGGGCCAAGATGCTATCTCTAAAAACAAAAACAAAAACAAAAAAAACAGACTTCTTAGTGCCACTTCTGTGCATTGCTTTATTCCACAAGAGCCATTGGATGGAGAATCGTGGTGACAGAAAAACAAAACAAAACCAACACAAAAACCTGTGATGTGACTTATGGATTAATTGAGATGAGGATGTTTCCTGGGATTGGTCCAGATGAGAATAGACTGCTCCATTTCTTCCAAACCAGATCCAGAGTTAAAGAGCTTTGGCTGAGCAAACCAGAATAAACTTTGATTCCAGACGCTAAAGAGTACAATTATCATCTAAGGTATACTTACCAGAAAGCCTAAATTCTCACTGTTAGAAGAGTATCATAAGTGAAATAACTCAGAAGCAGAAAATCAAATACCGCATGTCCTCACTGAACAATGGATACACATGGACATACAAATGGAAATAATAGACACTGGCAACTCCAAAAGGCAGGAGGGTGGGATGAAGGTGAGGGTTGAAAGATTACCTATTGGGTACAATGTTCACTATTTGGATGAGGGATGCGTTCACCAGAAGTCCAAATCACATCATTACACAATATATCCATGTGAAATAGTTTGGATGTTTTTTGCCTCTAAATCTCATGTTGAAATGTAATCCTCAGTGTTGGAGATGGGGCCTGGTGGAAGGTGTTTGGGTCATTGGGGTAGACCCCTCATGAATGGCTTGGTGCCCTCCCCATGGTAATGAATGAGTTCTTACTTTATTAGTTACTGTGAAATATGAATGTTTAAAAGAGCCTAGCATCTCTCTTTCTCCCTGTCTCACCATGTGACATGCCTGCTCCCCCTTCACCTTCCACCATGAGTAAAAGCTCCCTGGGGCTTCCCCAGAAGCTGAGCAGATGCTGGTGTCATGCTTGCACAGCCTGCAGAACCATGAACCAAATAAACCTCTTTCCTTTATAAATTACCCAGTCTCAGGTATTCCTTTATAGCAATGCAAAACAGACTAACGCACCATGTAACAAACCTGCACATGTACCTCCTGAATCTAAAATAAAATGTAAAAAAAATTAAAATAAAATGAATACAAAAAGGAAAAAAATTACTTCTAACATGCATGGACACAGCTCTCATTTTTCTCTATCTTACAGTGATGCAAATGGTAGTAAAAGATCCCGAAGTATGCTAGGATTTCTTCTTTTCAATAATTACACCCATCCCTTCCGTAGATATTTTTCAAATATATAAACGAATTTGATTCTGTACAACAATCCTGTGCAGGAAGTACTGATAAGCCAGTATTACTATCCCCATTTCAGACTTGAGAAAGTAAGGCTCAGAATGGGTAATCTGAGTTGACTAAGTTTACTGGCATAATAAATGGAAAACCCAAGTCTACATTATCTGAATCTTGATCCAACACACATTCCCAAATTGCCTTTGGTGAAACATATATACATGCCACGAGACAGGCCTCTCAGGCAGCTGTAATCATGGGTAACCTGCTTTAAGAAAATCTTAGCTACAAACATTTAGATGAAATAATGGGTAAATAATAAAGGAAGGTGATGAATTATTTTGTACTTTAAAAGAGAGTTGTTTTTTGTTTTTTGTTTTTTTTTTCTTTGAGACGGAGTTTCACTCTTGTTGCCCAGGCTGGAGAGCAATGGCACGGTCTAGGCTCACCGCAAACTCCGCCTCCCAGGTTCAAGCAATTCTTTTGCCTCAGTCTCCCGAGTAGCTGGGATTACAGGCATGCACCACCATGCCCAGCTAATTTTATATTTTTAGTAGATACGGGGTTTCTCCATGTTGGTCAGGCTGGTCTCGAACTCCCGACCTCAGGTGATCCACCCGCCTCAGCCTCTCAAAGTGCTGGGATTACAGACATGAGCCACCGCACCCAGCCTATAAAGAGAATTATACGATTTATTTAATTTTTTTGGATTTAAATTTTGAGCACAATAAATGTTTAAATATTTTTTAAAAAACAGTCTTCCCAAATTAAATCCTTGCCGTTTTCCTCTCTGGTCAAAATACCACCCTCTGCTCCCCTTTGACTTTGATTTTTTAATTGACCCCAGTGGACTCTATTAACAACAATGTCTTTGTTGAGCAATTTGGGGATTACATCATGTGGAAGATTGCCCTTTATCCAGCTGTTACAGAATGAACTAAATACCCATGACCCAACTAGATACAACTTAAAGTGCAGAGGATTGGAGAATGTGAGCCTGGAGAATACCAGTCCTGGCTTCCAGCAAACCTAGTGGTTAAGAGGTCATAAGCTAGCTCTGAGTTTGAAACCAAACTCCACGACTTGGTCTTGGGACATTACTTAAATTTTTTAAGACTTCATTTTCTCATCTGTGAAATGTTGTCACGTGTAATATAATGTGTACTCCATATAACAGTAGTGTTATATGAGATATATAGAGAGTGCTTAGCACAATTCCAGGTTCATAGTAAATCCTCAATAAATGTCAGAGTAGATAATTATAATAGTAGCTATTATTATCATTATTCAGGAGAACTGAATCAACACATTAGTCCATCTTAATTTCAGTTCATCTTAAGTCTTAGATTAAACGTGTGAACTTTTGTCTTTACAAAGCCATGTAGGTTTTAAAAAACCAACAAATTCTGCAAATTACTGGGGATAAATACAAACTGGCTGATCAGTGATTTGCTTCAGTATTTTTCCAGGTATTAAAGCTAAACTAAGTTCTCTATTTTCTTGGTAAGGCTGTTCTTTTTCATCTTCAAAAAAATGTCAATCTTTATGCTTTCTTCAGCATTCAGAGACTACACTCCTCAGTTGTGGTTACCTAAAATAATAATTTATGGCTATGCCATTAAATTAAATAGTACATGAAGATTTAGGGATATTCAAGACAGCTGATTTGAAAATATTAAAATTTTTAGAAATTTCTTTGATTACCAAATTTCCTATTTCATTTGCCTTTCTAAATCCCCACACACCCTCCAGAGATGTTGCCTCCATTAGCTATCTAATTACAATTGATAACATTTGGGGAAAATAAGGTTAAAGTTTTTAAAATGATTATTTCATCTTGTGCATGTTGTAAAAGCCAAGAGTGAATATAGAGAAAATGTAAAAAAGAAATAATGGGAGAGTTAAAAAATAATTTTCCTACAAGATAGATAAATATAAATCTACTTTTGGAATTAGAGTCAACAATCAGAGTTAACCATGCCAACATAAACAAAGGGCTTGTGAACCAGCAATTTCTAACACTGGAGATGTAACACTAACATCATCCTGAAGGGGACAGCCTTTTCCTGTTTTCCTGCTTCCTTCTTCCTGGAGAATTGCTTAAAATTTGCTTCATTTTCGCTTGAATGACCAATTACCTGATTTTTGGTCACAAGGGGGGGCTATTTTCTAACTTAACTACCAAAGACTTTGCCATGGAAAAGTCTGAAAATGCAAAAATAATGTTATGTTTCTGCTCCTGTTTCCTATTTGTTTTCCCTTTTTTAAAAAGAGGTCTGTGATTAATAAATTATGTTCAATGATCAGAAATATTCTTTGAGAGAATAACCATTTGATAGAATTAACACTATACTGCTTTAGGTGTTTTAAATGTTAAAAGTTTTTATTTCCTAATTAGCTTTCTAGTCGTAATTGGGAACAAAAATGAAGCAGGTGTGTGTGTGTGTGTGTGTGTGTGTGTGTGTTATTTACAAGTATGCATATTACACTAGACATATATCCTAGTATCTTAAATACCTCTATATGACTTATTCTGATGACGTCCTCAAGATGGACTGAGCATCTGGTTAAAAATGATACTATTTCCTTAAAACCATGTAACTTGAAACTTTTCTAGAAATGACATCACTCCATAGCACAGAGGTCAAGGTATAAATCCCTGACACGGCACACAAAGCCACATCTGCCTTCTGCTTTCCTTTCAAACTAATCTCTCAGCAGCCCAATAGTTTCCCTAGGAACTAATAACACCGATTCATCTAAGGCTCCTAAAGCTGATTCAGCTTGTTGCCTGCACAGGCTCCCTTCCCCCTCCCTGCCCCATGGCCATACACTATGGTAGAGGCAAATCCCAGCTCCAGCCCAAGGTCCAGCCACTGTTGGTCTCATTTCCCACATCAGAGGTTGGTGTAGTTAGGGACAGCAGTGAAATTTGGGCCCATGAGACTAAAGGGGAGTCTACTGGGAAGTTCCTAAGAAAGATTTCCATACTGAGGAAGACAGCATTTCTTTTTCCTTTGACCAGTGTTGTGCCCAGACATAGTGCCTAGCACTGCTGTGGCCATTAGATGACCAGGAGGAGAACCAGCCTGTGGGGAAGGTCAATACGCCAAGGATAGCAAAGCAGAAAGATGAGATGGATCTGTGTTTCCGATGGTGGGTTCTGCCCCTAAATTAACCAATTCTGCTGTCACCCTTCCTCTGGGTTTCTTGTTTGAGCTCATACATTTTCTTACTTTTTTAGGCCATAATGAGTTTATTTTCTGTAGCTATCGGCCAAGAGCATTCTGACAGCTCCCCTAACAAGTGGGATACACTTTTTATGTCTTCATGCTTTTTCCTGAAATACAAGGCAGGATCCCTGTTAGACTAAGGCACCCCATCCATGGTTCAAGGCCAAGTTCAAATTTTGCTTCCTCTATGGAGCTTTCCCTGTCACAGAGAAGCAGAATTAGTTACTTCCTTTTCTAGGTTCAGTTCTATTGCAACTTATCACAATTCATATCTCTCCTTCTCACTGGAGTGTGAAATACCATATACATTTTATAAGAGTGGGAATCGGCCGGGCGCAGTGACTCACACCTGTAATCCCAGCACTTTGGGAGGCCAAGGCGGGCGGATCACAAGGTCAAGAGATCAAGACCATCCTGGCTAACACGGTGAAACCCCATCTCTACTAAAAATACAACAAATTAGCTAGGTGTGGTGGCACGCGCCTGTAGTCCCAGCTACTCAGGAGGCTGAGGCAGGAGAATTGCTTGAACCCGAGAGACGGAGGTTGCAGCGAGCTAAGATCGCTGCACTGCACTCTAGCCTGGGTGACAGAGCGAGACTCCGTCTCAAAAAAAAAAGAAGAGTGGGAATCAGTTACTGTTATCTCCAGTGGCTGCCATGCTGCCTGACCCATAAAGGGTGCTCCATAGATTTTTTTTTTTTTATGACAGAATCTGGCTATGTCACCCAGGCTGGAGTGCAGTGGCACAATCATAACCCACTGCAGCCTTGGCCTCCTGGGGGCTCAAGCAGTTCTCCTGCCTCAGTCTCTTGAGTGGCTAGGACTACAGGTATGCACCACCACATCCAGACATTTTATTTTTTGTAGAGACAGGGACTTGCTATGTATTCTAGGCCGGTCTCGAACTCCTGGTCTTAAGCAATCCTTCCACCTTGGCCTCCTTAAATGTTGGGATTATGGGAGTGAGCCACTGTGACTGGCCAGATATTTCTTATTCACCTCTGCATCTCTAATAACTAGCATCCTTCTGAAGACATAATAGGAGATTAATAAATGCATGTTAAATCAGGCAGTAGTATGTTTTCGTAGTTCTTTATGATGAAGGTGACATAGTTGTGAGATGTGATGGGGACAAGGGATGCCATTAAGGCAATGGACATATTCTTGTGGTGCTAAGAGATTGGACTATGTCCTCTATTTCAACTGCTAAACTTTCCCCAGGGAGTCATTTGTGCCATACTCTTGGTCCTAAGTAAACAGCTGCCATCAAACTAGCAATTCAAAAAAGAACTACTTTAAGTATAAAATATTTAATTTAAAATATATAATACATGATATGCTTCCCATTAGTCCTAGTGGCTAAAAACTATCCGGCCTAATTAGGTCTCACCAGGGCTTAGGAGTTACCAGAGTTTGGACTGTCAAGTTCCAGATTCAACTCAACAAAATTCACCAATATTTGTATTCCTGCTATGTGTCAGGCACTATATTAGTGCTGGGAATCTGGGAATATGAAGTCCTCAGGCAATTAACAGGTTAATGGAAGAAGCAGATACAGTTAACTCTCTGTGGGTTCTGTATCCATGGATTCAACCAACCACAGATCAAAAATATTTGGGAAAAGTATTGCAACTGTAATGAACGTGTACAGACTTTTTTCTTGTCATTATTCCCTAAACAATACAGTGAAGCAATTATTTACATACCACTTACATTGTATTAGGTATTATAAGTCATCTGGAGGTGATTTAGAGTATACAACAGGATGTACATAGGTTATATACAAAGGTTGTATTTTATATCAGGGACTTGAGCAGCCATTAACTGGTATCCAAGAGAGATCTTAGAACCAATCCTCTGTGGATACCAAGGGGCGACTTGACATAAATAAATACATAATATCTAAAACCGAGCAAGTACAAAAAGCTTGGGAAATACAGCTGAGGAACAATGGATTCTGCCTAGGGGCAATGGAAATAACCTCACTTGTATTTCTTTAATGTTTCCTCTTAATCCAAGGAAGGTTTCTTCCTATAATTTGAGTCCTAAATTTGCCCATGCAAAAGTTAGCATGTGACCACTTTCAAAAGCAAAAGTAGAGGTGTTAAGATTTCTAAATTTAACTAAAGCATTTACCCTTCTTATAAATAGTCTATCATTTGTTTCTTTACATTTCTAACCCCTCTCAAAGACAGTATCTGAACTGATAATCAGCTTAGATTTGCATCTTTGGAAAACATAGTTCTGGTAACTGTTTTCATTTTGTGCAAGCTGAAAAGGCTAAAGCAGTGAAATCATATAACAAAAATAAGCACAGTATATTTTAGTATGGTACTATTAAGGGCTACAACTTCATCACCCTAACAAGATTATCTCCTTTCTCTGACTTCATTGTCTATTCATTTGATCACTGACTTAAAGCAATTTGAAATTGCTAACAACTGCTTATACTTTATCTCTCAACTGAAGGGCAGAAACCATGTTTTACTTTATATTCCCTGCTAGCAGATAGTTGGGCAAATATTAGAAATTGGTGAGTGACAGATGCCACATATAGAAAGAGTGCTGGGCTCTGAGTTAGAATACCCACCTTAATTTCCTCGCACTCTTTTGATTAGCTGTATGAACTTGAGCAGGTCATCTTGCCTCTCTAAGCCCATTTCTACATCTATAAAATAGGATATTTTATAAATAACACTCACCTAGTGAGGGCCATTGGGAGCAGCACTAACAGGATAATGCATGTGAAAACAAAACATTGCAAAACATGAGATATATTGTCATACTGGTAAATTCTTACTGAATTGAATATTTTATTTATGTCCCTTGTGGGGATGGAAAAAGGCCCAAAACTACTATAAATGTCAGGGATTATTTATATTTGAAATGGACAGAACAAGTTGCTTTGATCTCTGAGAGGTTATTGCTAATTTCCTTAATGTTAAAATGTAAACTTGGGCCAGGCGCGGTGGCTCACACCTGTAATCCCAGCACTTTGGGAGGCTGAGGCGGAAAGATCACCTGAGCTTAGGAGTTTAAGACCAGCCTGGCCAACATGGTGAAACTCCATCTCTACTAAAAATACAAAAAATTAACCGGACATGTTGCCTGTCGCCTGTAACCCCAGCTTCTCAGGAGGCTGAGGCTGGAGAATTGCCTGAACCCAGGAGGCGGAGGTTGCAGTAAGCCCAGATCGTGCCATTGCACTCTAGCCTGGACGATAAGAATGAAACTTTGTCTCAAAAAAAATCAAAACAAAACAAAATATAAACTCATTCAGTGTTAGCAAACCTATTTCAGTCTATAATATTTTATATACTATGATTATTCCTATTTTTATTAACAATTCCAACTTAAACCCCTAGTTTGTAAGTAATGGTACATTAGGAATAAAATCAATGATGCACTAGAATTGTATAGAAACAACTCAAGCACAAATTATATCAGATATACGTTCTAAAGCCTCAATTAACATAAATACTCTAATTCTCATTAAAAGCATCTCAGAGACAGTTATCTTTGTGTATGTGATTGGGATTTAATAACAGCAAACAAAAGAGTATGAATTTGAAGAACAAGAAAAGAGATTTCACATCATATTCTTTAAAGAGTTGCATAGGCATAAACAGAGTAACTTTGAGCATTATGTTACTCTGGAATTAAATGTATAATAGAAATAAGAATGATTGTATTAGCATAAGAATAAAAAGTTAGTCTGAAAGGTCATCTTGCGAGATCAGGTTTTTATGTGTTGTGTGGAAGAGGCAATGTTCTGAAAACCCACTGGGAGAAGGAAATTCATAAATATTAATAAATGAAAACATTATAGATAAAATATGCAGCAGCATGTGAGTTTGGATGGTTTTTATTGTCACAATATATGGTTGATATTTGGAGAAAGTATCTTATTATAAACTAGAAACATGCATATTTATTTATACAGATCATATTCTGGAAAACTTCATTCTTTAGCTTTTCTGAAACTTGAGGTATCACAAGTTCTGAAACTTATGAAATTACATGGAAGATTTTTTTCTTTTTGATTATATGCATTCTAACCAGCAAGACCCTCATCATTTCTCACCCAGTTATTGCATTAGTAGTTCTCTTTACAGGTCTCTTGTCTCAAGGTGTGATGAAGAAGTTAAGTTCTTGCCAATGGAATGCCAGTAGAAGTTATGTGTAACACTTCAGGATTATTCACTTACAGGGAAGGTGTGCCATTCTTTTTCCCCTTTGCCCTCCCTACTTGCTGGAATGTGTTTTTGTTTGTTTGCTTGTTTTTGAGATGGAGTCTCACTCTGTTGCCCAGGCTGGAGTGCAGTGGCACTATCTGTGCTCATTACAACCTCTGCCTCCCAGGTTCCAGGGATTCTCCTGCCTCAGCCTTCAGAGTAGCTGGGACTACCGGCACATGCCACCATGCCCGGCTAATTTTTTGTATTTTTAGTAGGGATGGGGTTTCACTGTGTTAGCCAGGATGGTCTCAATCTTGTGACCTCGTGATCTGCCCACGTTGGCCTCCCGAAGTGCTGGGATTACAGGTGTGAGCCACTGTGCCCGGCCTGGAATGTGTTTTTACCAAAATGGTGGGGAGCCATACTGGACCAAGAAGATGAAGTCAACTCTCTGTGGATGGATGAGCATGACATCCATCTGTATGGATAGAACTATGACACAGAGGGACACTATGAAGATTCCCTATCAGTCCCATTCTCCTCATGCCCAGACTAGTATAAGATAGAAATACATTTCCATCTTGTTTAAGCACTCTTTATTTTTTGTCTCTGTTACAGCAGCCAAACCTCTAACTTAAATTATGCATGAAATCTATTGTGATTAATTCTTTTCAAATATATTTCCCCTAGAAGATGAAGTCCTTGAGGATTATGACTTTATCTTATTCATCTTTGTACCGCCAGTGTACCTATCCCATAGAAGTACTCAATAAAAGCTTGTTAAAAAAAAGTAAACAAATAAACAAATACAGGTCCTAATGGAAATGATCTTCCATTGCTACCGGATAGTTGCCCTACAGGCAGAGTCAAATGAAAATGATAAGATTCGAAGCTAAGTGTCTCATCAAGTGAGAGGAGGGAGGCTAATGAGCCACCACCCTGAGAAATATGAGGAGATATTCTGATGAGAGATGACATGAGTCAGAAAGCCTTGCCTGTTCTGAAGGTTTAGGGGATGCAAATCATCTCTACCCTACAACTGATCATCAGAGGTATTCTTTTTTTTTTTTTTTTAATTGAGATGGAGTCTTGCTCTGTTGCCCAGGCTGGAGTGCAGTGGTGCAATCTTGGCTCACTGAAACCTCCGCCTTCCGGGTTCAAGCAATTCTCCAGCCTCAGCCTCCTGACTAGCTGGGACTACAGGTGCGTGCCACCATGCCCGGCTAATTTTTTATATTTTTAGTAGAGACGGGGTTTCACCATGTTAGCCAGGATGGTCTCAATCTCCTGACCTCATGATCCACCCGCCTCGGCCTCCCAAAGGGCTGGGATTACAGGTGTGAGCCACCGCACTCAGCTCATAAGTATTCTTCAGGCAAAAAACAAGTGTTTATAAAGTGCTTAATATAATAAAAAGAGGAACAGGGCCGGGTGCGGTGGCTCAAGCCTGTAATCCCAGCACTTTGGGAGGCCAAGGCGGGCGAATCATGAGGTCAGGAGATCGAGACCATCCTGGCTAACATGGTAAAACCCCGTCTCTACTAAAAATACAAAAAATTAGCCAAGCATGGGGGCACGCCCCGGTAGTCCCAGCTACTTGGGAGGCTGAGGCAGGAGAATCGCTTGAACCCAGGAGGCGGAGGTTGCAGTGAGCCGAGATCACGGTCACTGCACTCCAGCCTGGGCGACAGAGTGAGACTCTGTCTCAAAATAAATAAATAAATAAATAAATAAATAAAACAAAGGAATAAGACAATTGCTTCTGTTGGAGGTAGCTGATTTGTGACAGAGAGGCTCCAGCAATATGTGGCAGCCAGAAATCATGGGAGCCCCAAGGTGTAACTGCCTGACTTTGGTTTTGGAAGCTTTTGTGTCTTCACGGCTAGAACCACACCACTTGCCTCAACAGGTTTCAATTCTGACCCAGACTCAGAAAACTCTGGGGAACTCTGTGAAGTTGTGCATACCACTTCAGGATTATTCCTTTAAAGGGAAGGTGTGCCACTCTTTTTCCCCTTTGCCCTCCCCACTTGCTGGAATGTTACCAAAATGGTAGGGAGCCATAGTGGATCATGTGGATGAAGTCAACTCTCAGAAAACCCTGGGGAGCTCTGTGTGCATCTAATTCTAGGAACTTGGCTCCAGCTTTGTTTCTTGTGACAATCTCTGTCTTGACATATTGACTAAGCTCGGGGAGTTCATCTTTCTCTAAGCTTGATTACATTTCCTTGAAGCTGGGGTTTGACCACATATCCTTGAGCTCCAACTCCTATGGCATGTTCTTGAAAGACACCTTTTCTCAACAAAGTTATAGTTGAGAATGAGTGGGAAGAGATGTTGGAAATTTGAAGAAAGAGAAGGTACAAGACAATTTTCCATAAGTATAAGAGTGAATTGGCTAGAGAAAAGGGATACATGGAAAGTACTGAGGTCCACCTGAAGTGTTTGATCACTAACTTTGGGTAAGCCAGTCATACTGTTTCAGTTCTCAGGCTCAAGCACAGAGTAGGTTAAGAGTCGTACTCAGTCAGGCAGAGGGTTTTCTTAGGTGAAAGAAAGACAAAGAGTTGAGGATATCTGGTGAATGATCTAAGGAAATGATCATATTGATGAACCACGAACTCTAAGCCAAGTACTGAGGAAAGTGTGGTCAGGCAAAAGGAAGTAGAGTCAATGGCTGGAGGGTTAGTGGATGGAGGGTCAACAAATGGATTTTTGATTTTGTTTGTTTGTTTGTTTGTTTGTTTTTTGAGACAGAGTCTCACTCTGTCACCCAGGCTGGAGTGCAGTGGCACGATCTTGGCTTACTGCTGCCTCCACCTCCTGGGTTCAGGCAATTCTCCTGCCTCAGCCTCCTGAGTAGCTAGGATTACAGGTGCCTGCCACCACGCCAGGCTAATTTTTTATATTTTTAATAGAGACAAGGTTTCACTATGTTGGCCAAGCTGGTCTCAAACTCCTGACCTCGTGATCCACCTGCCTCAGCCTCCCAAAGTGCTGGGATTACAAGCATGAGCCACCGCGCCCGGCAATGGACGTTGATTTGGAACAAAGAATCCCTAGAGTCAGGGTACTGGAAGGTGGCAAGCTGGAAAGTTAGAGAGTAATATCAGAGGGAACAGATACTTGGGACTGATATTTTGTTATTGGGATTAACAGGGTCTAGGTCTGGCATAGAATTGATAATATCTACCTCAAAGTGCTACAAAGAGCAAACAATATTTTTCGTGAAGCAAAATGTTAGCCATGGAGATGACCCACTCAGATCACCCTTAAAGACAGCCCACAGTAGGGAGTCTGGCTGGCTGATAGCCTCCAGCTGCCGCCCTGTGAGTGCTGAGGACACACTTTCACCAGTCTTGTCTCAACTGGTGAATGAGCATAGTGGGTGTGTTAGTGCTTGTCCATTCAGTGGGCAGCTCGGACTAGGTCCCTCTCCAATGGCCTAGCTGAGACTTTCTCAGGACTGTGCTGTGATCTGATGCTCTTCATGCCCAATCATGCCTTCCTGCTCCACTTTCACAGGTGTCAGATCAGCATAGTAGTGTACAGTCTCCTGGACTCCACCTGCTTCCTCCCCCTTTATTCTTCAGAGGCATTTCCCCCAATTAACTTCTGACATATTTAGTCCCATGTTGATATCTGCTTCTTGTAGGACCCAAAGCTCACACAAACACTGATAATACAGCCTGACACACAGTAGGTGCTGAATAATTATCTTTCTGGTGCCGTAATTAATAGATCCAGACATTACGCATATATGCCCCCCGTTTGGTTTTTTTTTTTTTTTTTTTTTTTTTTTTGAGACAAGGTCTCACTCTGTCACCCAGGCTGGAGTACAGTGGCACAATCTCAGCTCACTGCAACCTCCACCTCCTGGGCTCTAGAGACCCTCCCACCTCAGCCTCTCAACTAGCTGAGATTACAGACTCATGCCACCATGCCCAGCTAATTTTTTTAACTTTTTTGTAAAGATGGAGTCTCGCTCTGTGGCTCAGGCTGGTCTCAAATTCCTGGGCTCAAGCAATCTTCCTGCCTTGGCCTCCCAAAGTGCTGGGATTGTAGGTGTGAGTCAGCATGCTCAGCCTTATATATGCCTTTCTATAAACATAATTCTCCTCTTAGTAGCCTTGTAAACTTTTTTGGAAGACTATTTTTCCCCTTTTAGCTGAACCACAGTGGAAGGGATTTTCCCCACCTCAGCCAGGCTGGGGAAGGAATCTGGTACTAACCCAGTGGTCATCATGGAAATGGCAGCATCTGACTTGGCTCAGGACCCAGGAGATCTGATGGAGCCAGGCAAAGATTTTTTTTTAAAGGAAGCTGAGCATCCAGGAGAGAAAAAGAGACAGAGAAAGAAAGATAGAACAACCACCAGATAATTCTCCTGCAGATGCCCTCTCATCAAAACATTTCAATTCATATGGCAGACATTGCACCCCTCTTTTTCATTGTCTGGCACCTGAATCAACTTTAAATGACTCATCTTTGAGGAGGAGGAGGAGAGAGAACACAACAGAACTTCCATATCCAAACTGTCTTTTTCCTTTTCTTACACTCAAATGCAAAAAAGATATCTGTTCCCCAAATTAACTACTACAGGCAATGTCTAGAAGAATGTTTAACCAACTTTTTGTTGGTTACTTGTTAGCTTTGGACATTAACAACTCTGATATTCAGGGAAACAACCATCTGAAAAGTAAATAAACAGACCAGTTTTATAGCTCCGGACAAACCTTCATTCATTTTTTTCGTTATTCCACAGAATTTTGTGGAGCACCCAGTCCAAGCCAGGCATGTGCTAGGTGCTTGGGATAAAATACTGACTCAAAAAGAAGAAAACCCTGTCTTATCAAGATTTTATTATCAAACTTGAGGCAAGACTGCAGAATAAATATTAAAGTTAAACATGATTTCAAAGAGATCAAATTGGTTATGAAGTCTATTTCAACAGCTTTAAAAAAATGGGACATGTAGCTAATAAGTAGTGGGGCCCATATTCAATCCAGATTCCACAGTCAGTATCCTTAATCACCACTGTCTCTTGATGAATAAACCAAACACACATTCCCTAGAGTAGAGACCTGTCAGTAAAATGAATAAGTTTTGTCATGAGTCATCATTCCTTTTTATTTTATTAGTTTTGTAAGAATTAGATTTGACTGATGGATTTTTTTTTTTTTTTTTTTTTGTGAGACCGAGTCTCACTCTGTCCCCCAGGCTGGAGTACAGTGGCGTGATCTCGGCTCACTGTAAGCTCCACCTCCTGGGTTCACGCCATTCTCCTGCCTCAGCCTCCCGAGTAGCTGGGACTACAGGCACCCGCCACCACGCCTGACTAATTGTTTGTATTTTTAGTAGAGACGGGGTTTCACCATGTTAGCCAGGATGGTCTCGATCTCCTGACCTTGTAATCCACCCGCCTTGGCCTCCCAAAGTGCTGGGATTAGAGGCGTGAGCCACCGCACCCGGCCAACTGGGATTTTCTTAAAGGGAGCACCGCCACAGTCCATGGAAGCCAGAATCAAATAAATGACAAAGCTAAGCTGCTGAACCTGTTGAAGCCATTGTAGTTTTCTGCATAAAGAGAGAACCACCAGTGTATGTTCAATAGTCTAAAACAACAATTATACCCATACATGTGAAAATTCAGCCTGTCCTTTAATTCTTTCCTAAGTTGAACTGTCAATTATTGATTATGGCTTTAAAATCAGGATACTTCAGTAGCTGGCCTAGTGACTAGCTAAACCACCCATCAGGAAAATTGAATTATTTAAGAGAGGAAAAGCAGTAAGACTTGTAGAACTGAATGGTGCCTTGGAGGTTACCTGATTCAACATTTTCCCCTTAGCCTGGACACACACACACACACACACACACACACAATCTGTCCAGAACCAAAATCCATATTTCTTGACAACATAATGTCTTTCAAAAGTTGATAAGCCACGAAGATATATCTCCCAGATCCTTTCTCTTCTCTCCATTTCTCCTGGCAGCAAGCGTGACATCTTTGAGACTTCTTGCCTCCTAAGAGGTGACTTCTGTTCTGGCTTACCCTAACACTGCTAGAAAATTTGTAAAGCTTAATTTTGACATTTTCCCTCCTCTGCTCAAAAATCTTCCATCTCTCCTATTACTTGGGAAATAACAAAATCATTAGCCCAGCATCCAAGGCCCTCAATCATCTGATTCTTTTATTCCTTTCTATTTCCCTTTAATGTAACCCTCAATTCAGTCAGCTCAGCTACTCACCCTTCTTTGTGTGCATTCCCTGAGCTTTCTTGCCTCTTTCTCTTTGCTCCTGCTGGTCCTTCTCTCTTGCACCCTGGATATCCAAATCAAATCTCATTCAAGTCCCAGCTCAAATGCCAATAAAACTTTTTCGGAGCTCTCTCAACTAGGAGTCATCATCTCTCTGTTTTTCTCTTCCATATTTTATCATAATCATGGACAGTTAATCTCTTCCCATTAGACTGTAAGCTTCTTAGGGGAAAGAACATGCTTGATTTCTCTCTTCACTGCTACCATAGTACCTTGCCCTTAAATATTTGTTAGACTAGTAAATTAATATATTAAGAATAATGCATCTTTTTAAAGTGTGTGGTTTTTAAATCTACCAATGATGCTAATTATGCTTTTTGTTTTTAACTAGGAAAAAAACATAATGACTATGGAGAAACTGCCTTTAAAAATAATTTTCCATTTAAAAAATTATTTCACTTATATCACAGATGCAGAACTACCTGAAAACTTTCCCTCTAATCTCTATCTTAAAATATCGGTTTTAAAAGTCTTTAAATTTGCTTTTGTTAATGATAAGACTTTAGAAAGAAAACATCCTGAGAAGTCATCTCATTCATTCCCCACTCCCAACCCATATATGAAATCTCTCGGGAAAATAAGAACTCATCCTATCTTAAGGATCTCCTAAGATAAATTGCACAGAATTCCTGGTAATTCATCTCAATGTCTCTTGAGCTTCCCTGTCACAGTGTTATTCCACAATAAGTTAAACACTGAGTAACTTGTGCTATTATCTCGTCTCTTGAGAGGTACTATAGCATAGTGGTTAAGACACAAAGCTTCTTTTTTTTTCAGACTGAGTCTCACTCTGTTGCCCAGGCTGGAGTGTGGTGGCACGATCTTGACTCACTGCAACCTCCATCTCCCAAGTTCAAGCAATTCTCCTGCCTCAGCTTCCTGAGTAACTGGGATTACAGGCACGTACTACCATGCCCAGCTAATTTTTTGTATTTTTAGTAGAGACGGAGTTTCACTATGTTGGCCAGGCTGGTCTTGAACTCCTGATTTCAAGTGATCCACCCCCCTCTGCCTCCCAAAGTTCTGGGATTATAGGCGTGAGCCACTGCATTGGGCTGACACAAAGCTTCTGAAGTCAGACTTCCTCTCTGTCATTGGGAAAGTTATTTAACCTTTCTCTGTCTCAGCTTTTCCATTTGAAAAATGGGAATGATAATAGTATTTATTCATAGAATATTTGAGAAGATTAGATGAAATCATATATTTAGAAAAGTGTCTGAAACCGGCTGGGTGTGGTGGCTCATGCCTTTAATCCTAGCACTTTGGGAGGCCGAGGTAGGTGGATCACTCGAGGCCAGGAGTCCAAGACCAGCCTGGCCAACATGGTGAAACCCTGTCTCTACTAAAAATACAAAAATTAGCTGGGTGTGATGGCATGCGCCTGTAGTCCCAGCTACTTGGGAAGCTGAAGCACAAAAAAATCACTTGAACCCAGGGGAAACTGGTGAGCCAAGAGCATGCCACTGCACTCTAGCCTAAGCAACAGAGCAAGATTCTGTCTCAAAAAAAAAAAAAGAAAAGAAAAAAAAAGTTAACTTTAGTCAGGCACGGTGGCTCACACCTGTAATCTCAGCACTTTGGAAGGCCAAGTCAGGCTGATCGCTTGAGACCAAGAGTTTGAGACCAGCTCGGGAAACATGGAGAAACTCTGTCTCTACTAAAAATACCAAAATTAGCTGGGTGTGGTAGTACATGCCTATAATCCTGGCTACTCGGGAGGCTGAGGCACAAGAATTGCTGGAACCTGGGAAACAGAGGCTGCAGTGAGCCGAGATCACACCACTACACTCCAGCCTGGGCAAAGAGCAAGACTGTGTCTAAAAAAAAAAAAGAAAGGAAGAAAAAAGAAAGAAAAGTGTCTGAGACCTAGTAAATGACATATAAATGTTGCTATTAAAATGTCTTCTTATTTTATTTTGATACAGATATATAATAGCTGGATACTTAGTCTTACATACCAGAAGATTTTAAATAATCTTTTTCTTGGCTGAAGAATCCTAGCTCCTTTGTGCTAGTTGTTCAAAATCAGATGAATTTTCCAATCTTTAAAAAAGTCTTCCTTTGGCTCTTCATCTTAGTGCAGTAAAGGGGTAGTTTTGCTACTTTGTTATTACAACAGAGATATTTGAACCAAGCCTCTAGAAGTCTTATCAATTTAACACATATCTTTTTAGAGCCATTCTTCATGCTAGGCACAACAGGCATATAACATTGCATAAGATTGGCAAGAGCCCCACCCTCATGAAGCACACCAATTTTACTCCTAGAAACAAACTCTTTTACCATTAGCCAAATCACTTACCACTATTTCGAATTCTTTCTTCCAATAGGTCAGAATGCCCAGACGGAAGTTTCTTATTGAAAATCTCAGCTGAACGAAGGAACATAGCTTCAACCGCAGACCCTTTCAGCAAAGCAATCTGGTCTTCATGGTCCAAAGTCTGAAATCCTAGGTAATGATGATAATCAAATTGGTATCAAGGAGTAACAATATTTCATGATCACCATCATTGCCATTGATAAAACATTTACATCAAGTGATTCTGTAGTTGTTTAAAATTGGGTAGTCTAGTTGAGTCCATTTGTACTCGCCAATAAAATAGAGGCTTTTATCTTCATTGAGCAGAATTTATTAAACAAGCTGGGCAAAGGGAGATGTCAAGTCCAAGTAGATACATATATTATGGCATAGATACACTGATTCAGATGAAGAAACCCTCAGAAACTAGACACAGGTAGATTTTCTTTGAGCCATTATGTTAGTCACACCTGATGTGACAGGGTCAACTCTGCAGATTGGAAGCATCTACAAGCCAGAAGAAAACTTTATATGCACCCAGAATATTTGGCTAACTCATGAGTCTTTAGTCAAGCTAAAGAACGGGTAGTATTTCCCAAAAACAGCCAACCAAAGTCATGTTGATGTATCTGCTCTGAACTCAGCACTGCGACACACAGGGTGGGGGAAAATCAGAAAAATATGGTAAGAATTGCCAACCTGATGGAATATAACACTCCCTGGAAAATTCAAAGTTGTTATCCAGGCTTAAATAGTACAGTCCCAACAGCTTCTCTGAACTCATTTTCTACTCCTCATTCCCTCTACTCTTTGTGTTCCAGCCACACTGACCACCTGGCCCTGCTGTGAACACACAAGCCTCTTTTTGCCTCAGAGATTAATGTTCTTCCCAGATAACCCCATGCCCCATGCCCTGCTCCTTCCTGCAATCAAGCCTCTGCTCCAGCATTCCCCAATCTAAAATACACTCCCCACCACTACTAGTCTCTACCTGCTTTATTTTAGTTTATAGAACTTATCACCACCCGACATGATATTATAGATTTATTTGCTTATTTGTTAATTGTCTGCCACCTCTACTGGAGTGTACATTTCTTGGGGGCAGAGGCCTTGTTTTTCTTTACTTTTGTATCCCCAGTTCCTGGCACATAATAGGTACCTAAGAATTATTTGTTGGATAATTGACAGATTGAATGAATGAATGGGAAACAAAACACAAGCTCATGTGCATGCTGGCACATACACTCACATGAATAGAGATAACACCATCAGGGCCTAAATGGCTTGGGAAGAACTAAATAGCAAAGGGAGTATAGAGAAGAGAGCAACGCTAAAAATTGAGCCACCATCCGAGAGAATCTAAGAGCTTCTTTGAGGAAAGGGGCCCTGTCTTATTGCCCTCAGGGACTCCAGCACCTTGGACAGTGCCTGGCACAGGTTGTGCTCAATGAATACTGAATGGAATGATTCAATTCAGTTTTTCACAAAATATCCCTTCAGTACTGGTATTATATCCCTATTGTTACTACTTGTAATAATGCTATCTCTGTCATTATTGTCAATTTTTTTCCTTCTCAAGGGTTTTTGCCTTTTATTTCTTTCCATATTTTAAATTTTTTCCTTCTGCTTTACTCATTGAACACACACTAATTGTACTTGCTCCCTCAGGAACGAGGCTAGGCACTGGGAATTAAGAGATGCCAAGATATTGCTATTGCTTTCAGATAAGCTACCTTCTTATGAATAAGGTTTTTATTTGTCTTCAATTATTTCTTGATTCAAAACCAACTGACCATTTGAACTTAAAAAATCTCTTCCCATAAATAACCAAAAATATCTCCTTTTTCCAGTTCTTTCCTCCACAGTTTTTACTCTTATATAATCCAGTTTTTTATTGAGCTTGCCTTCAGTTTAATTAGCATATAGTAAATTAAGTTCCTCTTTCATTGTTAATAAAGAAATGAGAGCATATTAGTGTTTCAATGATAGTGAGAAATTTCTCCTCACACTTTATGAGTTTTATGTAGGCTTATGTCTATCTGTGACACATTTAATAAAATAATAGCATAATGCTGGCAAAAAGAAGGCAAATTAACATGTTTAACTAAAATCCTATGTCAGAAGTTATCTTCTATAATTTAATATTATAGTATTATGCTGCTATACAAGGTATTTATTATACTCTTCTAGACTACGGGATTTCAATACACCAATATTTTAATAAACACTGAAACAACTAAAACCCATTAGCTTAGATAGCATTAATAATGTGGCAAAAAGAATTTGAGGCTGGGATATAAGAAGACTCCCACATTCTAGTTTCTATACTGGCACCATCAGAATGAGTGTGGATAAGTAAGTCCCTCTCCCTCACCTTACACATACAACTGTTCCTCAAGCCCTATCGATTTTTGAATCTCTCTTCTTTTTGTTTCTTCTTCTCTTCCCCACTGCTATTGCTTTATTTCAAGCCCTGTTGCCTGGACTTGTGCAGTAGCATACTACTTGATCTTCCCTGCCCCCAGACCCTTTCCATTCAAATTCATCTTACATGAACCTGATTAAGTCATTTCTGTATAACAAAAACTTCATTTCCCTCTGCTACAAAAACCACCGAAATCTCTTTACTGTCCAGGGTACACAGATTAAATTCCTTAGTTAGGCCTTCATCAGTCTGGTACCAACTTACCTTATTGTCTAACCTAGGAGCCCACCACAGACACTATACTATAACCACACTGAATTTTCTCTCCTATCTCAAATAATCCTATTCTTGTTCATGCCTCAGTGCCTTATAACAAGCAGATTTCTCGGCCAGACATGGTGGCTTGCGCCTGTAATCCCAGCACTTTGGCCAAGTCGGGCAGCTCACTTGAGGTCAGGAGTTTGAATTCAGCCTGTCCAATATGGTGAAACCCCATCTCTACTAAAAATACAAAAATTAGCTGGGCATGGTGGTGTGTGCCTGTAGTCCCAGCTACTCAGGAGACTGAGGCAGGAGAATTGCTTGAACTCGGGAAGCAGAGGTTGCAGTGAGCCAAGATCATGCCATTGCACTCCAGCCTGGGCAACAGAGCGAGACTCCGTCTCAAACAAAACAAAACAAAAACAAAAAAACAAGCAGATCTCTCAACTTGGAATGCTGCTGCTTCTCCATGCCAACTGGAAAACTTCTTTTTCTTTTAGACTCAACTCAAATATGATCCTCCCTGAAGTCTCTCCATCTTTCCTAGACACAATTAGCAACCAGTTCCTCTGTGTTCAAACAGCACTTCGTGTGTATGTGTATGTATGTGTATTTATCATTATTATTATCACCTTTGATCACTCTCCCTGAAGGTAATAGCCAGGCACTTAGTATAGAGTAGGTATCAACAATTGCTTATTGAAGGAATAAATGGGTGAATGACAACTTTGCAAAGTTTCAATTTTTAATCTATTGATTTGAAAGAATTATTATACATTATTTTAAATATCCTTTCTAGTTCTAATATCTTATGTCTATAGTAGTTCGACAGTTACTTTAAATCAGATATTAAATGATTTTCATTTTACAAAGAACAGACCTGCCTTTCTCAATGTCACAAGACTATTGTAGAGAATAGCAGTGAAATAAGTACATGTGAAAATACTTGGCAAAGTAATAGTGAAAATAGAGCTGATCTCACAGGAATGTTTTGAAAATTAAAACACCGTATGTAAAATAGGTAATCTAATCTGTGGGCACATATTTAAACTCTCAATAAATATTAACTTTGATTATTTAAAAAATACCTGGTAGCTTTTTTGTGAATTCTACAAGAACCTGTACATGATTGGTTGCCATTTCCGTCAAAATGAGAAAATTTTCTTCTGCACTGAATTCTTCTTTTAACTAAATTTTAAGAAAAAAACCAATGATTAAAAAGTAGATAAGAAAATGATAATATAAAACCATTAGACTAAAGAAAAACTAGGTTTAGATGATAAAATTTGAAAACCCATCTTACTATTTCTCAGATCTTTGGAGGGCAATTACCATTATCAAGATAGGTGGGAGACTTCATACTCTTGAATTGTTTAATGTTGCTGAGAGTTTAAAAGTCTAACTTGAATTCTCAGCTCTAATCATTTCAAAGTAACATATTCACATATAAATTATACCTCCAAGGCAATAAAAACTCCAGAAAATATTAACTTTAAACCCACATATTTTCAGATATTATACATACAATTTTATTTGTTATTTCCTGAGGCATCCTCTGTTTGTTATATGAATCCATAATAAAATGTAGAAGAGTCTGTTGATCTGGGGTGAGTTCAGTTTTCTCCTACACTGGCAAGAAAATAAAAGGTGTTAGGGAAGATGTGTATAAAGCCTTCTTTCTATATGTGCATTCATCTGGAGGGACCTAATAGCAGAAATCATAAAAAAAAAAAGGCATAAATACAGCAGGAACTATGAGTTCTAAGAGAGTGTATAATTTCTTTCTCTGGGTCCTCAGGCAGGCCATATCACATTTCACTGAATTTTCCTATCTATAAAATATGAATAACAAAATATTCCACTTGTGTATTTCTTAGGAATAAATGGTAGTCTGGATATGAAGACTATTGAGCCCATTCATATTGAAGGTCACTGAAAGTTCAAGCTTTAATTATAACTAATGAAAGGTTTTCATATAGTATGACTACTATGAATACTATATTCATATACTATTCTACATGAATTCCACCTGGTGAAGTCATCTGAGAGTATTCATGTGGAGGAGGGATCAACAAACTGTGGCCCATGGACCAAATCCATTGGATTTTATAAAGTTTTATTGGAACACAGTCACACTCATTTGTTTATGTATTGTCTCTGCTACTTTTGCACTAAAATGGCAGAGTTGAGTAGCTGTTGTAGATACCATGTGGCCAAAGCCCTTTAAAGAAAAAAAGTTTGTCAACCCCTAAAATAGAGAGTCAACAATCTGGACAATTCAGACCCCAAACATCTCTTTCTCCCTCTACAGCATCTTTTGAAGAGTGTGAATAATTATGTCAACTCTTTGTTTTCTTATACCAAAGTGTTACTGATGAAGCACTATGGCAAAATAATGCTTTCATATAAAATACTTTTTCTTAAATAAATACAAAAATACGTATTTGTAAAACTAAATGTGGATAAAGTTTTCTTTGTCAATAATGTAATAAATATTGAGAAGGGTGTGGTTTGGACAATCATAGCTTACTGGTTTTTCAGCTAATGGCAAAATAAAATTCCATCAAATGTCCTGTGCATTATCACAATGTGTGTGTCTAAACACCTTGGATGCTGTTCCCCTATTTTGTCCTAAGTTGCTCAATGGATTTCTTGAGAAATTTGTAACCCCAGTGGGTAGGACTTTTCTCTATTCATCCACATACGTGTATTCACCCTGTTTTACTCATTTATAAGGATTAATCCACAGCCTCTATTGAGACCATGTTCTTCCCAGTTTGAGACTGTCTTCTCAAAAAGAGGGAAAAAATGGTCATCAATACTCAGTTGGAAAAAATCCATTTTATACACCAAATCATTTCTGCTGGCAAACACTAGGTAGTAGGACTGGAATGGAGTCAGAGAGAAGGAAAACTTTCACTTTTTAGTTTATGCATTGCTACTATTTGAATGTTTACATCAAAGCATGTATTAGGAATCCATTTTAATGAACAATTGGACTAGAAATTCAGCTGTGCCTGTGGCTTTAATTTGAAAGCCTCCTGGCCAGCTCACTATGTACCTAGAAACTCAGTTCCTGCCAGTCTTGGCAGACACCATTGCATATTATTACCCTGCATGACTTTGTTGTCGAGGTCACTTGTCGCAAGTCACGACCTTCACTGTCTTCATTCACGGTCTGATCTGCATGCTGCTTCACATTTTTTCTCAGTCGCTTAGATTTACACTGAATTTCAGTTAACAAGCCTAAAACAAATAAGCATAGAGACTTCACCAATCACAGAAAGTACTGTTGGGTGTGTGGTCATAAAACCACTGATATGTACCTGGCCCAGAAGATCCCCTATGCAATGGCACAGAACTAACGCTAGCCTTTTATGCATTTTAGAAAGGGAAGGCCAAGGTTTGAGACTTAACCTTGAACAAGTAGTTTAACCTCTGTGAGTCTCAGTTTCCTCATTTGTAAAATGGGAATAATATCTACCTCATAGAGTTTTGTGTAGATTAAAAGCAATAATCTACACAAAATAAAAGCAATAATCATTTTTAAATGAGCTTTATATAAAGAACTTGTGATATGAAAGCATTGTACAAATGCAAGGGATTCAGTCAATGAAAAGGTGAATGACACTCTCCCTGTTCCTGCTCTAGGGGACTGTGAAAATTGGTGTTTTAAAACATGCCATTAATATTATTTTCATCCATGTTTACATACTGTACCAGAAGAAGGATATTGAATTTCACATTAAATACATATAAACTTATTGAGAAAAACAAATGTTAACATCCTTTAGGGAAATTTTTAAAATCCTGTTAATTTTAAGAACAGTGCCAATTCCTGAGAATACAGTTAAAAATAAAAATAATACAAGGTGACTTTTAAAATGTCTTTGAATGATCATACAATCAACCTCATTGATTTACACTTAAAGAGAGCTATTAAGGCCGGGCGCGGTGGCTCACGCCTGTAATCCCAGCACTTTGGGAGGCCGAGGCGGGTGGATGAGGTCAGGAGATCGAGACCATCCTGGCTAACAAGGTGAAACCCCGTCTCTACTAAAAATACAAAAAATTAGCCGGGCGCAGTGGCGGGCGCCTGTAGTCCCAGCTACTCGGGAGGCTGAGGCAGGAGAATGGCGTGAACCCGGGAAGCGGAGCTTGCAGTGAGCCGAGATTGCGCCACTGCAGTCCGCAGTCCGGCCTGGGCGACAGAGCGAGACTCCGTCTCAACAAAAAAAAAAAAAAGAGAGCTATTAAAAATAATGTAAAACAATCTTCCCTTCATCCCATTTAACGTCCTTACTCTTTTCTCAATGCCAATAAAACAAAGTTCCAGGAATTTCTTTGTACAGGGAATTTATTTTATAGAACCATGAAATATCCGCATCTGTTACTGGATGAGTTTGTGTTCATAAATATTATAGACTGCTATATGTGGCTTCATGCAAAATGTCCTCAGCGCTCCAGCTGGAACAAGTTCATATTTAAGTGATGAGCTATATGAGCTGTGCAGTGTCAGAGTAAGTGTTTCCATTGCAAGATTGGATTCCAGCAGCAGCCCCTATTGCAGGTTCTCATTTCATGTATGCTAAGATGAGATTGTGATCAGCTACTATAAAATTTTCATCCACCCAGAGCTGGATTATTTACACAGACCTATTTTCCCCCAACCTGCATGCATTATTTCCCTGGGTCCATCCCAGTTGCCCGTACAGTTTGGTAACAATAGAACTGGAGTCACCTTCTGAAGGCTTTTATTTCATTTGGCATTCCCTGCCTGAATGCTGTCATCCCCTTGGTGACATTTGTCTATTTGTGTTTTGAGGAGAAACAGGACATATCTCAGAATCTGAGTGGTCTGTAGAATTTGCAGAATGAAAAATTAATTATGTTATATACTAGCATGCATTCCAATTTTTGATGAAGATTACAGTTCCTCACAAAGCCAGCAGTTAATACAGTGTCTCTTTATCAGATAGAAAGACAAAATTATATTAAAACTGGGAGTAGTTAATTTCCTGTGTAAACCTATACAAATTGGTTCAAAGCTGCACTAAGAGAAGACAGATCCTTAATAAAATGACTTGGTTTAGAACTCTATTTAGACAATTCAGAGGCAGTTATACCTTATAAAGCATTCTCATTTTTTTCCACAATAGTGAATTTGTATGCTAATTAAGCAATAAATAATAAGTATATTAAAATCAAATTTAGAGGAAACTTTTAGATGTCATTCGTAGCTCATTAAAGCACATTATTTGAATGGTATGTTAATGCCACTGGGCTCCATGTATAGTTCACTGCGACAAAGAAAAACAACAAAAAAAACCCATTTCTTTCGGGTGACTAAAATGCTCTTTAGTTGACAGTTTGGACAATTTCAGTGGTTCATTACCCTTTTCAAGAACTTAGATGGCTTAGTAGGTTCCTTCTTTAATATGTGAAGTAGCACTCTCGTGATGAGTTACCTGACATCTGCCTCCTTAAGAGATTTTTAGTGAAATGTAATTGCTTGAAGTGAATACCTGTATACATACATTCAGCCAACATTCCCATCTCTTTGCATTTCCTTAGTCGACACTCTTGACACTTTCTTCGCATGTACATATCCATCACACAGTTGCCCCCGTTTTTACACTTGTACACAGCGTTTTTGGTAATGCTTCTCCTGAAGAAACCTGTGGGAGAAACACTGAAAAGTGTAAAAAGTCCTCTCACAGCTTCTCAGGAAAAAAACAGGTTTGGATTGAGAGATGCCAGGACATTTTCTCACCAACTGCTGGAGAGCACCCAGGCCATCCTTGAGCACACCAGTGACAAATACTTTATGTGACATTGTGTTGTTGAGAAGCCTGTTGTTTTTAATTTATCTCTCAGAAATAAAGACAAATTTGAATTATAGCCTCTCTTAGGAAAAATGTGAATTTGTTTTCTAAGACAAATTACTTTCATAGATCTTTATTGGGGGACAATTCTATGCCAGTGAGCACTAAGTGCAGAGGGTACAAAGGCAAACAATTCACCCCTGGGCTCCAAGAGTTTAAAGGCTGGCTGAGGACAAAGACGCACAAACAACTAAACAAGTGAAATTACATGTTGCCTGGGCTCTAAAAGCTGCACTGCGGCAGAGCAGACACACAGATTCCTCAGTTTGGGATGAAGAGGTCAGGATAGGGAGTGAGCACTGAGCTAAGTTTTGGAAAGTGAGTTGCTGTTAACCAGGCATTCAGGGAGAAAATCGCATTCAAGGTTTCAATTCAGTACTTTATATGCCAGCCTGGCATAATAATAAAAATGCCAACCTTGAGCTAAAAGCAACCATCTCCCCCGAGAAGGTATAGCACAGCTGCAGCCTGTTAACAGGTAAGATGCCTAGAGTGAAGAAGGGAGGTAACCGACTTCAACTCTGCTGCTCCATTTCCCCACTTTCTGCTTTCTCCTCCATCTGACTAACCACAGTTCCTGACACTTTCAGAGTCAAGGAGGCAGTGTTGAATTCAGGAGAGGATTGTGAGAGGTAAGAGAAGAAATGACAGGAAGGCAGTTACTCGCCTAGTATTTCTGTAAGCTGGTTTGTGCATAGCAAGTTTTCAAAGTTGTCTCTTTCTCCATTGGGTTGGGTTGTTTAGAGACCTCTCATCTTCGGGATACTTTCATCTGAACTTTGTTTTTTGTTTTTTTGAGACAGAGTCTTGTTCTGTCGCCCAGGCTGGAGTGCAGTGGCACAATCTCAGCTCATGCAGTCTCTGCCTCCCAGGTTCAATGGATTCTCCTGCCTCACCCTCTGGAGCAGCTAGGATGACAGGCGCCGCCCACCGCGGCCGACTAATTTTTGTATTTTTAGTAGAGATGGGGTTTCACCATGTTGGCCAGGCTGGTCTCAAACTCCTGACCTTAAGTGATCTGCCCGCCTCAGCCTCCCAAAGTGCTGGGATTACAGGCATGAGCCACCACGCCCAGCCTCATCTGAACTTTTTTGATGAGGGCAAATACATATCTATTCTAGCCCATGGTATGTGTCTCCTTCAACATCTAGGAATCTGGCGATTCACTCCACAATTTTTACACTGAGGTCACTCTATGTGGTTCTCTTCACATGGACCTAAGATAACCCCATAATGGCTTTCTCTGATCTAACAATCTCTGTGGAGCAGAGAAATCTCTCCCATTTATCCATGAGCAGTCAGCCACCCGGCTTCCTGCCTTTCAACTTCTCGGGTGAAAGTGAGACACAAAGTCCCCATGTCTGTCAGCTTCAGGGGATACATGTCAACCTACTCAAGTGATCGTCTTGAAGACTCTTTCATTGGGCTTGGGGCAACAGGACCTCTTTAGTATACATTTTGGGGGCATGAGGGGACACCATTTTCCAATTCTCACAAAGTTACTACACGTTCCAGTGGTGGCCCGAGGGACAGACACTCCCATTTCCAACATTCTCCTTTGCAGTAGGGATGTAAGATTCACACAGCACACTAGTCACATGCTCCAAAATCTTTATAAGACCTCTCTATAATTTCCAACTCCTGATCTCTTCATTCCCTCAAAATAAGTGAGATGTTTAACTGGTTCTTGAATATCCACTGTGAAATTTCTGCCAGATGGGCTCACCTTGGAATGTAGCATCTAGTGTCTTCATGTCTCTGTCAAAATTGAGAGGAGTCCTTCCTATTTTAACAGACTGTTGGAATAATATCTAACATTTATTAAGCACCTAGTAGCTATTGTTTGAGCTACTTTACCTCCATTTACTGATGTAATTCTTATATCAATTTTATGATGAAGATAGTATTATTTGTCCCCATATTATAGATGAAGAAAAAAAGGTACAGAGAGTTTAAGTATCTTGGCCATGATCACATGGTTAGTAGTTGGCTAGGAAGGTTCAAACCCAGGCAGTCATGCACTAAAGCCTGTACTCTTTACTATCTTGCAATTGCCACCCTTGGGTTACAAGAGAGTAAAATAGTTTACTGTTAAGTACCAACTATCTGAAAGCTGCATTCTCTGACCTGGGAAATACCAAGATGAATAAGACATTCCTTGTCTTCAGAGTTGCATACTTAGTTGGAATAAACAGAAGTAAATTTACAGCATAATATAAAATATGAGTGATGAGATAGCTAAACAAGGAATAAATTATTGAAATGTAGAAGCAGGTCCACACCATATGCTTGTAAAGATTGTGCCACATTTAAGGAGGAGAGGCAGCAATTACACTGCACCCATGTAGAGCTGCATATTTCTTATGACAATTTTCCAGCAGAAGGCACTTAAAAATTGTTCTAGCAAGATAAGTATAATATGAGGATTTCCCAACTGCTAGAAGTCAAGCGCCCCGAAGAAAAGGCATTGTATAGACTGGGAGTGAACCTGATTAATTAAGAGTAGCCAGAATCAGGGAGGGGTCCATGAAGGAAATAGAATTTGATCTGGGCTTTGAAGAATAAGTAAGGTTTTAGAAACATGGACCATGAGGGAGGAAAGACATTCGGAAAAATGAGCAAACACAGGGTGTTATGAAAATTCCAAGAAAGGGTAGATACTCCATCTTGGTGGCGGTTGGGTAGAGTATGGAGAGAATTAGTGGGAGATGGGTAAGCAGTTGTAACAGGAACAGAATGTGATTAAGTGTCCTTGAATGCCAAGCAAAGGAGTTGAGTCTTTACCATGTTGAAAGAGGGAAGCCATTAAAGGCTTTGACAGGGGACAGTATGACCTAACCTGTATGTTGGGAAGCTCCTCGGAGCAAGGTAAAGGTGGAACGCGTATTGGAGACTAGAGAGAGGAGACTATTGCCATAATACAACTGAGAGGCTACCAATGCCTGAACTAAAGTGGGACAGAAGAGAAAGGAGGAAACAGAGAGAACATCAGGTTTTGGTAACTCATGAAATATGAAAACAGAGGCTGAAGGAAAAGTTAGAGATGTCAAGGTTAAGAAAGTCATGGACTTGCTTGTGAATTTTTCAGCTGGTGTAAATTTCAGTAGGAAAGATCTTAACATTTTTCTAAATGTCAAATCCAACCAAATAAAGTCTAAAAAAAGACTTTGTGCTGCAGATCAGTGTTGATATTGAGAGTGCAAATACCAAAGCATGCATTTTAAGAGACTAAAAGCAAAAAGAGGACTTTTTCTTTCCTGGTACCAAATCATGACCTCAATGTCCACTTGAGCCTACATGAGTCAGCCTTCCTACTAATAATCTTCTACCCCTCCCAGGAATGATTTCCTTTAAAACTGTCATAGATACTGATAGACAGCTTAATAGTTAACAGAATAAAGGTCTTTCTTCCAAGATGAGTCAAAGGAACAGTGCGTAGAACCATTCTGCAGGGTTTTTTGACTCTGGTATTAACTGAAAAAGAAATCATTATCATCTCAATAGCTGAATTAATTAGCTTTCACTCTGAATAGCAACACAATATTATCATTATATCATTTAAATATGGGTACATATACTGTATTTATACTTATGCAAATCTATCCATACACATACCTCTGCCTCTTTCTTGTGCATATTCAACAATGCTCATATCAGAAAAGTCATTTGAAAATGAATGGAAAGGAAATTCACTGAGGAACAGAGCCTTGCTGGTAATACAGGATAAGTAGACAGGGTTGGCATTGCCATCTGGGGAATGTGTAGCACCAATGGGATCCCTGGGGTAGCAAGAAAATAGCTATAGGATGGTACTTTTACATGGATTCCTCGATTCTGCAGAATATTGCACACTGCTTTTCTGCCTCTTTTTTTTTTTTCTTTCCCAGATGGAGCCTCACTCTGTTGCCCAGGCTGAAGTGCAGTGGCGTGATCTCAGCTCACTGCAACCTCTGCTTCCTGAGTTCAGGCACTTCTCATGCTTCTTTATACTGGTAGAAGCCACATACCACACCCTATTCTCAAGTCATACACATATATGTGTACATACACATGCACGTGCCAGACTCCAGTGACTGATACTGATAGCCACTGGTAGTAGGCCACCCATTACTTTGCAATCAATAAAATATTGGTTGATGTTGTAAAACTTTAAGGGTCTACAGGCTTTTAAAATAGCAGCAAACACACAGAGGTGAGTAACTAGAGATCCTTCCATTCAAGATGACCTAAATAGAGACAGCTTCTAGGTCTGTCTCCGCTTATACAGCACTTATTTTGTGCCAGGCACTGTTCTAAAATGGTAAATGGCAATTCATTTCCTATTCATAACAATCCAATGAGGCAGATACTACTATTATCTCTTTCTTTTTTTTTATTATTATACTTTAAGTTTTAGGGATAATATACAGCCATAAAAAATGATGAGTTCATGTCCTTTGTAGGGACATGGATGAAGCTGGAAACCATCATTCTCAGCAAACGATCGCAAGGACAAAAAACCAAACACCATATGTTCTCACTCATAGGTGGGAATTGAACAATGAGAACACATGCACACAGGAAGGGGAACATCACATACTATTATCTCTTTCTTACCAAAGAGGAGACTGAGTTACAAAGAAGTTAATTTGCTCAAGGTCCTGCAGAGAGCAAATGGTAGAGTTTAGATGTGAACCTTGATAAGCTCACACCCTACACTCTTTTTATTTCCTATTTTTTTAGACAAGGTCTTGCTCTGTCGCCCAGGGTGGATTGCATGGTGCAATCATAGCTCACTGCAACCTCAAACTCCTGGGCTCAAGCGATCCTCTCACCTCAGCCTCCTGAGTAGCTGGGACTATGGGTGTACCCCACCATGCCCAGCTATTAATAATTTTTAATTTTTTATAGAGACTGAGTCTAGCTATGTTGTCCAGGCAGGTCTCTCACTCCTGGGCTCAAGCAATCCTCCTGCCTCAACCTCCCAAACTGTTGGGATTACAGGCATGAGCCACTGTGCCCACCTGACTCTGTGCTCTTAACCACTGCCTTATGCTGTCCTTTTAGTAGGAAGTTTACATTTTTAAAAATTATCTTGAGACATGAATCTACCCAGGTTTTACACAGCATGGCAAGTGCCCAGCCCATAACAAATTTGTTACCGTCCCCAGTTTGAGTTCATAAATGATTGTTTTGCAATAATTGTAGGAGCATTAAGATGAAAGGATAACTGATCAAGGTATTTATGTGTGCTTTTTTCTTGCTTCTATTGCTTTTTCATTTTCTTTTCCATCCCAAGAGGGCGGAAACTCTTGTTCACTTGCTGGGACAAAAGCTGCAATTTTTCTGTCTCTAAATAAAGATAACTCTCACATAGGATTTTTGTTTTCGACCTCTCTTTGAAACGGTTATATTGCATCATCTCAAAGGTGTTGGAGGTGAAGGGCAATGCTTGTAGAATTGGGAATGGGATGAGTCTGGGAGGTTCTGTGAGTATTGAACCAGCACTAATAAAGAGCTTCTAGAGGAGTGACAGATCTCTAATGATGTAGCTCTGAGACAAGGACAGGAAGATACTAAGAACCATGGCCTTGAAAACCCTGGGGTAAGATGTCCATGCTGGACTGTGGCTGAGTTGTTCACTTTGAAGGGACCAATTCAAAGTTGAACATGATCCTGAGGTTTGCGCACGATCCTGGAGGAAGGAGTATTCTCAAACATAGACCAGATGAATTTCACATCAGCCGGGAGAGTTGTGAGCTTAGAAGAGATTAACTTTGATTTAGAGAAATATAGGAATATAACATATCTTACATCACAAAGGTTTCTAAAAGGTTACACATAATGCAAATAGAAGACATAGAGGTGACTACTTAAAGAACTAAGTGAAAATGAACTAAAGGGAAATGAAAATACAATTTATCAAAATTTATGGGATGTGACAAAAGCAGTGTTTACAGAGAAATTTATAGCATTAAAATGCATATATTGATTAAGATCTAAAATCAATAATCTAAGCTTCCACTTTAGGAAACTAGAAAAGAACAAATTAAATCCAAAATAAGCAAAAAAAAAAAATACTTAAAATTAGAGCAGAGATCAATGAAATTGAAAGTAAGAAAATGATAGAGAAAAACCAGTGAAACCAAAAGCTGGTTCTTTAAATAGATCAATAAAAATTAATAGAGTCAATAAAATAGATCTATAAAATTAATAAGGCTAGGCTAACCAAGCCCAGCAAGGCTAACCAAGAAAAAAGAGAGAGAGAAGACACAAATTACCAATATCAGAAATGAAGGAGAGGCCCATCGTTACTAATCCCATGGACATTAAAAGAAAAATAAAGAAATATGAACAACTCCAAGCCTGCTAATTTGCTAACTTAGATGAAATTCCTGGAAAGACATACCCTACCAAAACTCAACAAGGAGAAATTGGTCATCAAAATAGGCCTATACTATTAAAGAAATTGAATCAATAATGAATAACCTAAAACAGAAAGCAACAGGCCCAGATGGTCTCACTGGTTTATTCTGTCAAGCATTTAAAGAAGAAATGATACCAATTCTGTACAATCTTTTCCAGAAAATAGAAGCAGAGGGAACACTTTCTAACTTATTTTATGAGGCCAGCATTACCCTAATACCAAAACTATACAAAGACTTTGTAAGAATTTTTTCTCATTTTTCTTTTTAAATTTAGTGTGTTAGCATTTGTTTTTGTTTATTTTTATTTTTCTCTGGCATTGTGTTTTGATTTCATTATAAAGATTAGGTCATCAGGTGGATTTTGGAAGTTATATTCTTTTGACATGATTTGGACCAAGCTTTTAATCAGCTTTTCCCAAATTTAAGCCTACCTCGGGACACCTTGACTCCAAGCCCTATCTCCAACGTACTGCAGGACCTCTCAGGCATCTCTGCTGAGGATACCCATATTGGCAACTACTGGCTCATCACGACCATCAACCAGGGTAACTTGGTCACCATGCAGTTGGCCTGACACACCCTAACTAGGAAAGAGGTAGCTGTGCAGATCATTGATAAGACAAAATGGAACTCCTTCAGACTCCAGAGACTGTACAAGAACTGCATGCTGCTGTGCATGCAGCCACAGTGGGACCAAGAGAACTCAGTACAGTGGAAGATGGAGGTGTGAAAATTGCTTTGGAGATATCTCAAGAAGTTTCCATTTAAGCATATATCCCAGACTTCCAAGTCTTTTAAAAGCATCGTCTCCAAAATAACTGATGAGTTTAAGCTTTAAAAGGCTGCCAAGAGCCACCTGGGAGACAAGAGGAGGGGCTGGCCATCTTCCCCATATCCCCAAGACTTCCACCTCAACACTCCCTCTTCAAAACTGCAGAGATTGGAGAGGTGTGTCCCCCAGGGCATTTCTTCCCACCAGCCCCTTCTTTTTTTCTTCCATGTTTGTTGGGAGGGAAGATGGTACTACAGAAATAAATAAAGACTATCCACACAACAAAGAAAGAAACAATAAAATACAAAAAGCAAAGAAAACTGAAGTGGTTCTTAGGGGTTGCCTCTAGGAGCAGTTGAAGAGGGTAGGAGTGGGGCTTTTTTCTAATGATATGCCCTTCTTACCATTTGACTTTGGAATCACATGCACTCATTTCTTTGACAAAATGCTTATTAAGTGATGAAGGAGGCTAAAGGAGTAGAAAGCAAAAACCCACTGACACCATCAGACCTACTGGGTTTCTGCTGAGAGGATGAGGACAGGGGTTATGATGAGGACAGCCAAGCTGTGCTGGAGTTTGGCTTTGGATACCTTCAGTGACCATTTAAAGTGCCAGGTAGGCAAACCCCCAGAAGCTAGTGGCCCACAGTGACCGGCACCTGGTCCCCAGCATCTTCCCTGAGGTTCCTAGGGGTGTTCTGGGTTTCTAATAGGTGAATTCCAGCACTGGGAGGTGCCTGATGCTGCTCGTAGCTACCTGAGCCCAAGTGAATTCGTTTGCTCTGTGGGGTTAAACCTTTCACCTCCAAACTGCTGCTTAAATGCCTATTTCCATTTTTTTCTTGAGTGTAGATTTATAACTTTTCTCATTTAGTAATTTATGCTTTAAGACGTTTCTTTTAACCACTACTTATACATATTGCTTATATGTTTGCTTTAAACATTTTTTCTTGTTTAAATTTAGTTTTTATCATC
This sequence comes from Homo sapiens, assembly GCF_000001405.40. Classification (NCBI taxonomy): domain Eukaryota; kingdom Metazoa; phylum Chordata; class Mammalia; order Primates; family Hominidae; genus Homo; species Homo sapiens. Next base: position 100,524,096 of record NC_000012.12, on the reverse strand, counting down.
TTAGTTTGTCTTGCCTCATCACCTATATGTTTATGTGAAATGTCAGTTCATATTCCCTGGAAATCATTTTATTACCATTGCATTTTTCTACGTATTCTTTTCGATACTCTTTTACTGATTTTATATTTCTTAATCTTTTTGTTTGCTTGACTGTTTTCTCTTTTTGTCTATTTTAGCTGAGTTATGTAGACTATTTTTCTGCTTTTGCTTTAGAATGGTGACTATGAAGGCAAGAATTTGGTCTGGTTTGCTCACCAAGGCATCTCCTATGCTTAGAATAGACTCCGGCATACAAACTGGTACTTAATAATATTTGCTGAATAAAGAATTGGGTTAACTAATAGGAAGAGGGAGAGTTTTGAAAACAGTGTATGACCCAGACTGGGGAGGTTGAATGAACAGAGGAATAACAAATAAGAATTCACCAACAAAATCACATCTAATGATTACTGAGCATGTAAGAGTGCCAGGTACATCAAGACTAAAACCCCAAAAACAAATGCAACAAAAACAAACAAATAAATAAATGGGACCTGATTAAACTAAAAAGATTCTACACAGCAAAATAAATAATCATCAGAGTGAACAGACAACCCACAGAATGGGATAAAATATTTGCAAACTATGCATCTGACAAAGTACTAGTATCCAGAATCTATAAGAAACTCAATAAATCAGCAAGGGAAAAATCAAGTAATCTCATCAAAAAGTGGACAAATGACATGAATAGACATTTCTCAAAAGAACACATACAAATGGCCAAAAAACACATGAAAACATGTTCAGTATCACTAATCATTGGGGAAATGCAAATTAAAATGACAATGAGATACTACCTTACTCCTGCAAGAATGCCCATTTTTAAAAAGTCAAAAAATAATAGATTTTGGTGTGGATGTAGTGAAAGGGGAATGCTTTTCACTGTTGGTGAGAATGTAAATTAGTACAACCTCTATGGAAAACGTTATGGAGATTTCTTAAAGAACTGAAAGTAGATCTACCATTCGATCCAGCAATCCCACTAGTGAGTGTCTACCCAAAGGAAAAAAAGTAATTAGATAAAAAGACACATGCATATGTATGTTTATTGCAACCCAATTCACAATTGCAAAGATATAGAACCAATCTAAGTGCCCATCAACCAATGAGTGGATAAAGAAACTGTGGTATATATACACCATGGAATACCATTCAGCCATAAAAAGGAATGAAATAATGTCTTTTGCAGCAACTTGGGTAGAGCAGAAGGCCATTATTCTAAGTGAAGTAACTCAGGAATGGAAAACCAAATGCCATGTGTTCCCACTTACAAGTGGGACCTAAGCTATCAGTAAGCAAAGGTATACAGAGTGTATAATAGACTTCAGAGACTCAAAAGGGAGGAGGGGAGAAAAGTGTGGGATAAAAAACTACATATTGGATAAAATGTATACACTCTGGTGACAGGTACAACAAAATCTCAGAATTCATCACTATACAAGTCATTCATGTAACAAAAAACCATTTGTACGACTGTACCCCCAAAAGCTATTGAAATCTAAAAAAAAAAAAACTTTTTAAAAAGAGTGCCAGGTACAGAGCTAGATATTTTAAAAATAATATCCCATTTTTTTAAATTCACAACAACCCAATGATAATAGTAATAATAGCAGGCAATGATTGAGGATTTTCCATTGGGAAGAACTCTGTTAAGTACTTTACAGGTATCAATTTATTTAATCCTCATGACAATCTACAGATACCTGCTTCAAAAGACTGTCCTGAAGATTAAACAAATTAGTACATATAAAGCCTCCCAGAACAGTGCCTGCACATAGTAATCACTTGATATAGATTATCTATCAACATGATTATTACTATCATCATCATCACATCACCAACATTACCATAATTACCATCATCATCACCATCACCATCATCATCATTATCACCACCACCATCACCATCACCATCACCATTATCATCATCACCATCATCATCATCATCTCCTCATCTTTATCTCATCTTCATTGTTGTCCTTATCTTACAGGTGGGGAGTCTAAAGATCAGAAAGGTTAAGTAATTTAGGACACCTGGGAAGAGAATCAGCTGGGATTGGAAAGCATGTTGTTTGCCTTCAGGGTCCTACTCTTCCCACGATTTTCATAACACTTACTACAAAAGGGTTCCAATGCAGTGAAATAGTTTGGAACCCCATCTTGCATCATACTCCAAGATAATTTGACCTCTAGAATTCATTAGGATCATTATTAAATTGTATAAAATCAGACCTTGCTTGATCTTAAATAGGATGTCAATAAGTTTATATATAGGTCAGCACTCCTCAGCTTTCACAAATGTCCATAAACAAAGGATCCTTTGGAAACACTACATCTATTCTATACTGGAATAGTTTCAATACTTTTGGAAGCTTTTTTAAAACTTCAGACCTAAGTCTAATGCTGGTTCACAATCCTACACAAAAATATATTCAGAAAGGCAGTAGGGTCACTCATTTACTCAGACAGCATCTTTTAGGAATTCTACCATTCTCGGATGTGTGAAGACTCTCTTGGCATTGAAACAAATGTGACAGACACTGACCTATTTGGAAATGCAGCCATTTGAAATTTTCAGTTAGATGCTGATCAGTTTTGTTGGTTGAGGTTTGAGGTTTGAATCAAAATTCATTCAGACATTAGCACATTTCCATATGCTGCACTGATAACTGAGGGCAAAAGAAAGCTCTTGATTTAATCTAGTCCTGAGAAAGTGGCAGTCATTGTCATTCTGCGTGATGCTTGTGTTCCCAAGTTATTACTTACAAAAATTGAAAACCATCATTTCTCTCATTGATGCTATAAATACTTATGACAAATAAAACACTGAGACAAATTAAAATATTTTTAGTGGAACCAGAAAAAGAGACCAATGTAATGAGGAAATTTAACCCTGATCTTTGTTTTGTTTCTAAGGTTGCTTTTTTTTTTTAAATTCTCTTGTGTTTTCTTTGTTTGTTTTAAGTATCACAGGACTGACAAATCTTCAGTGAAATACTAAAGCAAGAGAGCTGGTAAATTCTAATATATAATATAATGTAATATAAATCTTGTACAATCCACACAAATGTCCCACAAAATAGATAATATCCCTATTTTGCAGATCTGAGGCTCAGAGGAATAAATATTGCACGGTCTTAAGAATTCGCTAGCTTTATATCTTCTGCACCTCCCTTCTAGTCTAGTGCACATCCTATTACCAGAGAGGCAGGAAAGTAGAACATAACCTTGCCCAGACTTCCTTCGCAGCTAACATGGTGGATATGATTTAAGCTCTCCCATAGAGATGCCCTTGTAAGACTTTTGGAAAGGAGAAGCAAGCTGTTCTTCCGTTGTTTCTACTGGTAAGCGGGATTGTGGAGTTTTGCTGTGGCAGCACTCTGGCTTCCAGTCACTAGCTTTGAGGGTATTGAAAGGCAGGGGACAGGGTATTCATTGTTTGCAGGTGCAGATTTGGCAGGCAAGCCCCGTCTCTGGAGTTAGTGATTGCCAGTGAAGGCAACTTCCTGATCCCTAGATGGCAGCTGAGGTGGTGTCTTCCTGGAGCCAACAGTCCTGAGGTGGCTTCCTGAGTCCCCATCTTCTTGATTTTGGCAGAAAAGCAACCGGCGGGCCAGTTCTGCAGTGTGGCTCTGAGCATCTCCCAGAAACTTAGCATAGATCCTGTTACTCTGACTCTTCCAACTTCTGTATTAATTCTTTTCTGCTTGAATTGTTGGTTTCTGTTTTATTTTGCTGAACTCTAACCAGTAAATATTAAGTAACTTGTTTATTCAGCCAAGAAGTGCAGAGCCTAGATTCAATGTGAGCTTGTCAGCCCGCAAAGCCCGTGCTCCCTTTGATGGAAAGTTACAGAGTATAATTCGCTTTGCATCTGCTGAGTGCAGATATCAAGAGATGTGCATGGGGGAAGTGGGCTGCGGGGTCAGCGGGGAAACCAGGTTGGCTGAGCAGCTCTCACAAGACCTGCAGGCATGAGGCATTGGTCCTCTGATATGCATTCCACTCTATTCTGTCCTTCTCCTCTGGTTTTCCTCACAGCCCTTCCTCATTCCTCCATTCACTAAGGTAGGATAATTTTCATTTGTTTTCACAGGAGAACACATAAGGAAGATAAAGGAGCCTGTTTTTGGCTTTTCAGACGCCAGAGCTTAAGCCCCCAATCCTGAAGACCAGATAAAACTTATTCAAGTCGGGAGGAAGCAGACAACTAAAGGGGAAGTCAAAGAGCTAAGACATGTTAGGTACCTGAGAAGGTCCTGAGCTCTGTCCCTCCCAACTCCCTATCCCCAGACAGAATCCTAGGATAGGTGGATTGAGAGATTATAGAAACTCCACGTCATTTGGGATCCTGGAAGACGAGGATTCTTATGCCCTTTCCTGGGTAGAACTGGAGAAACCCCCAGGGTTCTCTGCACCCAGCATGGCATAGAGCAGATGAAATGGCAGCATGGTTTCTCTGGGAAGCCAGGCATCCCAACACAGCACTGATGCAACATCAGAACCCACCCACCTGAGCTGAATGAAGGAGACAGCCAGGGCCAGACGTGATGGAAGAGTGTGCTCAGTACCCCAGGATGGTGTCACAGAGACCTTTCCCACTGGTGACTGAAGACCAAATACAACAGCACTCCAACAGATCTCAGACTGTGTCAACAGCTGTGGCACCAAGCCCCACCCAGCCCCACAGCTGTGGGGCCAGAGCCCCACTCCCCAGTGCCCAATCCCTCCACAACCCTCCCTTAATCCTGGTACTTAGATAAACCGCCAGAAGAATTTTGGCGGGGGTGAATGGAATGATACTGAATAAAATGAAATAAAGTTTCCACCGAGCTCTAGACTGAATTAAATCCAATTTTAAAAAATAAAGTTACATTTCTCTCACATAGGGGCTGTGAGTTGAATCTTGTGCTCATTCACTACACAGCTTCCAGTTAATTCGTACACCAACCCTTAAGAGTCATGGGTCAAGGCCAGGCACGGTGGCTCATGCCTGCAACCGCAGCACTTTGGAAGGCTGAGACGGGTGGATCACTTGAGGTCAGGACTTCAAAACCACCCTAGCCAACATGGTGAAACCCCGTCTCTACTAAAAATACAAAAATTAGCTGGGCATGGTGGCTGGTGCCTGTAATCCCAGCTACTTGGGAGGCTGAGGCAGGAGAATCACTTGAACCCAGGTGGAGGTTGCTGTGGGCCAAGATTGCCACTGCGCTCCAGCCTGGGTGACAGAGCGAGAGTCCATCTCAAAAAAAAAAAAAAAAAAAAAAGTCATTGGTCAAGAACAGTGTTCAGCAAACTGCAGCCAGCCCACTGTCATTTTTTTTCCTGCCTATTTTTGTAAGTATAGCTTACTGAAATATAGCTATGCTCATTTTCTATGTGGCTGCCTTTGCACTCCAGTAGCAGAGTTGATTAGTTGCAACAGAGGCTGCTGTGGTGTGAAGCCTCAACTTGTTATTGTCTGGATGTTTACAGAAAAAAATGTGCCAATCCCTGGCATAGAACATGGGCCCTGCCTGGTTCCAACCCATCCTCTCCCTTGCATGCTTGTCCTTTTCCTGACACCATGGGGGCAACGTCTCAAATCAAAATCAATGGAAAAATTTTGTCTTTCTCTGCTCTTAAAAATATATTTATGTCCAAATCCAGCTTCTCCTTCCTAAACCTCCCCAAAGGTTGGCTCTCTTCTGACTACTTTCTCCATCTCCTTGCCTTCTGTGATCCTGCACTTCCTTGTAGACTTCTATCTTGATTACTTCTATTCTATATCCTTTGTGGGCTTCTCTTCCCCTGACCACCTTTAAGGTAAGTGTTTTCCAGGGTTGTCCTTGGCCCACTGGTCTCACTCTATTTACCCTGCCATGCCCCAGAACTCTTCGCAGGTGGACCAAGTTTCACTTGGTCATAAGCACAGTTCACAAGACAGAAAGAAAAATTCTCTTCTAAGGAGGTAAGCTATCCAAGGTTAGTGACTTTAGGGATTCATTCCCTTGGCTTAGACACTACTGATTCTTTAACAGCTAAACGGACTGCTTCGTTTTCTTCCTCTCGCCATTGAATTAGTCAATATTACCCTTGAGCAAACAACTGAAGAGCAGAACAATCACTTAGTGGACAACCAATAAAAGGCATCATAGCCTAGTGGTCAATCATACAGGCTCTGGAGTTAGATTATAAGCTATAGTTTTGAAGCTCTTATTAGCTATGAAAACTTGGGTAAATAGATTAACAACTTATGCTTCAGCTTCCACTTCCATAAAATGGGCATAAGGCACTCAACACCACTAATCATCAGGAAAATGCAAAACTACAATGAGATATCACCTCACTCCATTTAGAATGACTATCAATAAATCAAAAGATAACAAGTTTTGGCAAGGATGTAGAGAAAAGTCAACCCTTACTGCTGGTGGGAGTGTAAATTTGTGTAGTCATAATGGAAAACAGTATGATGTTTCCTCACAAAATTAAAAATGTAACTACTATATAATCCAGGAATCCCACCACAGGGTATATCTCCACAGGAAATGAAATCAGTATGTCAAAGAGATATCTGCACTCCTATGTTTATTGCAGCATTATTCACAATGGCCAAGATAGGGGATCAACCTAAGCGTTCATCAATGGATGACTGGATCAAGAAAATGTGGTATGTATACATAATGGAATACTATTCAGCCATAAAAAAGAATGAAATCCTGCCATTTGTGATAACATGGATGAGCCCGGAGGATATTACATGAAATGAAATAAGCCAAGCACAGAAAGACAAATACCATATGATCTCACTTATATGTAGAATCTAAAACGTTGTTCTCATGGAAATAGAGAGTAGAATGGTAGTTATGAGAGGATGAGGAGGATGGGGGGAGAAGGGGACAGTGAAATTAGTCAACGGGTCCAAGAATACAGTTAGATAGAAGGAATATGTCTGATGTTCTATTGCATAGCAGCATGACTAGAGTTAATAATAATGTACTGTGTATTTCAAAATAACTAGAAGAGAGGTTTTTTAATATTCTCATAATGAAGAAATGATAAATTAAGCTGTTAGATGTGCTAATTACCCTGATTTGATCATTACACAATTATACATGTATGAAAACATGTTGTACCCCATAAACATGTACAATTATTATGTCAATCATAAATTTAAGAAAATAAAATAAAATGGACATAAGATATGAGAATTAATAAGTGTATTACTAAAGTATAGTAAACACATCACACAAGCTATTAGCACTGGCATCTCTATATCTTAGCTTGTTTTGGAAATGATATGCTTATTCCTCATTTTAAAATAGACACAATAATTCCTACTTTCCATAGTTGCTGTAAAGATCAGAGAGAATGTTTCCAAAATGCCTACCATAAGAATTAGCATGTCATCGGCCGGGCACGGTGGCTCACGCCTGTAATCCCAGAACTTTGGGAGGCCGAGGCGGGCGGATCACGAGGTCAGGAGATGGAGATCATTCTGGCTAACATGGTGAAACCCTGTCTCTACTAAAAATACAAAAAATTAGCCGGGCGTGGTGGCAGGTGCCTGTAGTCCCAGCTACTCGGGAGGCTGAGGCAGGAGAATGGCGTGAACCCGGGAGGCGGAGTTTGTGAGCTGAGATCGCGCCACTGCACTCCAGCCTGGGTGACAGAGCAAGAATCCGTTTCAGAAAAAAAAAAAGAATTAGCATGTCATCAGCACTGAAATTTGTAGGTTCAAAAGTATGTATATTGGAATTTTTCTTTTGAATCAGATTTTCCGAATAAATTATGCGTGTTCTTTTCTGCTTCTTTCTCTCCCAGCAGGAAACATGACTTAGATTAGGCTTTGTGTCTTTCCAGTCCAGGTTTCAAGTCTACATTTTATTCTACTGAATTGTGCTTTTGATGACCTCATGGAGAGTAGCATTCCTCCTATTCTCTTTTCCCATCCTGTGGGTTTCACACTCACAACACAAAACCAAGATGCTTGGCCAGATGAGTGGCCTTAGGAAGATTTTGGATATGATTTTTACGCCAGTATTCTCAAACTTTAGCATGTAGTGCTGGTTAAATCACAGATTCTTGGGCCCCTTTCCCAGAAATTCTGATTCAGTAAGTCTGGGGTAAAACCCCACATTCTATAAATTCTCTAGTGATACTGATACTGCTGGTCCAGGTACTATGCTTTGAGTAGCACTGGTCTACACAGACAAGTTGAAGTGGCTTTAGGTAATCTGAATCTATGTCAAATAAATCTTGTTAAACAACTCACGATGATTTGAGCATCAATATTTATCAATATAAGCAGAAAACACTCACATTGCCATTACACGATATGTAAATCAATTCTAGGACCATAACAATAATAACAATAGACATCTATTGAGTTTTGACTATGTGCCACACTTTTTTCTAAGGCCTTTACACATATTAAATTTATTTTTTACATTTTTATTTTATGCCAGTCTTTAAAAAACTAATAATAGCATTCTCTGGATCATATCTATGATCATCTTATACTGATATTCAAACTAATCACCCTCAGTTTTGTTTGTGCCCATTAGCAGCAAGAAATATGACTTGTTTGTCAAGAACTATGACAGGCCAGGCACAGTGGCTCATGCCTGTAATCCCAGCACTTTGGGAGGCTGAGGTGGGTGGATCACCTGAGGTCAGGGATTTGAGACCAGCCTGGCCAACATGGTGAAACTCCATCTCTACTAAAAATACAAAAATTAGCTGGGCATAGTGGAGGGCGCCTGTAAGCCCAGCTACTCGGGGAGGCTGAGGCAGGAGAATCACTTGAACCCAGGAGGCAGAGGTTGCAGTGAGTGGAGATCATGCCATTGCCCTCCAGCCTGGGCAACAGAGCAAGACTCTGTCTCAAAAAAAAAAAAAAAAAAAAAAAGCTTTGACAAAATGGCAAAGGCAAACTTCATATGCCTGAGATGTACCCAGCTCAGGGATGGCCAAATGGAGCTCTGGATGAACAAAGGTTTGGTTGAATCAATTCTTCGAAGAGAGAAAAGCAGTGGAGAATTGAGGCCTCATATGACACATGGTCTAGTGATACCAAACTCAAAAGAACCTGAGTTTGGTAACATTTTGGGCAACAAAACCATACAATCTAATATACTTCATTATTTTATTGGTTTTGTAGTTTTGTTTGTATGTAATTTTGTAAATTTGTGTTTGTTCCTTTGTGTATAGAAATTTTTCAGTGTATAAAAGATGATACACAATATAATATAGCTATTATAATATAATATAGCTTATGCTATAATTGCTTGATAGCATAAGTAATTCATTAAAAGCAATTTAAGTCAACATTAGAGGCACCCAAGAAATATTATAGCTTCCCTCAAGAAATCTCCAGGTGTAGCTCAAGTTTGAGAAGCTCTATATTATACTTTTCACTGAATAGTCTCTCTCAGTGATTCTCAACTGGGGTGATTGTAACCCCAGAGGACATTTAGCAATGTCTGTAGACACTTTTGGTTGTCACAAGTGGGGGGTTGCTACTGGGATCTAGTGGATAGAAGCCAGGGCTACTACTAAATATCCCACAGTATGTACAAGACATCCCCCCACAACAGAGTTTTTCAGCCTAAAATGTCAATAGTGTCAAGGTTTAAAAACCATGGTCTAGCTTTCCCTTTCATCAGTTCATAGCAACAGGAGGGAGTACATGAATTATAGTCACTTTTTAACTTATGAAATTTATAAACTTGCTTAGAAGATGAAACAGGCAGATTAGAATATTATAAATATGGTACTACAGATTCACAGAATTTAAGGAAGGACTTCAGAAGCCAGCTAATACAGTGTCCCACCTAACATACAAATCTCCTGTACTCAAACCTGTTTATCTAACCTCTTTTTGAATTCCTGTAATAATGAGAAGTTCGTTACCACCTAAGGCAAAAAGCCAATCTCATTGTTGGGACAATTCATGTTAGTGCTAAAAAATTAATTCTTGAATTAGGCCTCAAAAGATGCCATCCTATAAGCTTCATCTTTTGGTCCTAATTTGCCCTCCAGTGTAAGAGCCCCAGCCACTTTTTGACTAGAGCTACTATAAAGTTTGTTCTTTTTCTTTCCTGTAGATCAGCAGTTGGTTTCTCAAACCTAACTGTAGAAGTTTTATTTTTGTTTATTTTAATTCCAGTTCAAGGCTTGTCATTTGGAAACTACTTTATTTTTTCCTTCCTTCCTTCCTTCCTTCCTTCCTTCCTTCCTTCCTTCCTTCCTTCCTTCCTTCCTTCCTTCCTTTCTGTCTTTGACGGAGTCTCGCTCTGTCATCCAGGATGGAGTGCAATGGCACAATCTCAGCTCACTGCAACCTCCACCTTCTGGATTCGAGGAATTCTCCTGTCTCAGACTCCCAAGTAGCTGGGACTACAGGTGCGTGCCACTATGCCCAGCTAATTTTTGTACTTTTAGTAGAGATGGGGTTTCACCATGTTGGCCAGGCTGGTCTTGAACTCCTGACCTTAGGTGATCCCCCCACCTCGGCCTCCCATAGTGCTGGGACTTACATAAGTGAACCACAGCGTCCGGCCTATTTTATTTTTCTAACCAATTAGAAATGTTTTCCTGCTTTATTCCACACCATTTTAAAATCTTTAACATAAGCAGATCTCGATCTCCACAGCTCTGCCAGCTCAAAAAGATCTGCCACTTCATATAGGAATCGAGGGTAATATTTACTTTTTATCATTCGGAGATGGGAAAGAATTAAGTATTGTAAAAAAAAATTTTAATGTGTTTTTGCAAAGTAGAGGCTGATTAATTACGTACCAGTGATGAACATGGTTTTTCATTGTGTCATTCAAAAGACATTCCATATTTACTATGTACCAGGCACTGTGCTAGGTGCTATGAGTAGCAATATAGGTAGAGAAGACTTAATCTATGCTTCCAACGAATGTATAAGTTCATTTACCTATTCAGACGTGACTCTCCACAAAAAGGTTAAGGACATTCTGAAGGCCATAAGTGGGATCTTTTAAGTTTTCTTTATAGATCTGCTTTAGTTTGTAAAGTTGGTGTACAAATGCTTCTTTATTTAAAAAAAATTCTAACAATATCATACCCAGTTTTTAAGAAGTGACTAATGTGGCTTTACACAATCTGATCATTTGAACTTTCAAAGGTTTGAAATGTCCTTGAGCCGATCTTATGTGACTGGGTCCTCTGTTTATTTCTGTGGCAACCACCAACATCAGGGAACCCCAGTGTGTCACACCATCCGAAAGATTCTGCTCAAGAGATGGTTTTTATTCAGTATTCAATGTTCTAGATGTTAGCAGAGTGCCTGACCCATGGTAGGTGTTCCCAAAATATTTGTTTAATGAATAAATACCACGATTATCTGTGCCTTAGTTGAGACAGTAATCACATGGGATTTTACATTGTCTTTTTTTTTTTTTGGAGACGGAGTCTCGCTCAGTTGCCCAGGCTGGAGTGCAGTGGCGTGATCTCGGCTCACTGCAACCTCTGCCTCTCGGGTTCACGCCATTCTCCTGCCTCAGCCTCCTGAGTAGCTGGGACTACAGGCATGCACCACCAAGCCCAGCTAATTTTTTTGTATTTTTAGTAGAGACGGGGTTTCACCGTGTTAGTCAGATGGTCTCATTCTCCTGACCTCATGATCCACCCGTCTTGGTCTCCCAAAGTGCTGGGATTACAGGCGTGAGCCACCATGCCCGGCCTACATTGTCATTTTTATATTTCATTTATTATATTTTATCCATCTTAAATGGATTGCAATTTTGTTATGATTTCTCTATAGCATCCATAACAGAACTGTATTACTGCTAAATAAAATATATATTTTTTGAGGCAGGGTCTCTCTCTGTCATTCAGTCTGGAGTGCAGTGGCATGATCACGGCTCACTGCAGCCTCAACCTCCCGGGCTCAGGTGATCCTCCCACCTCTGCCTCCCAAGTAGCTGGGACAACATGCGTGCTCCACCACACCTGACTAATTTTTGTATTTTTTGTAGAGATGGGGTTTTCCCATGTTGCTCTATCTAGTCTCGAACTCCTGGACTCAAGCGATCCACCCACCTCAGCCTCCCAAAGTGCTGGAACTACAGGCATGAGCCACCATGCCTAGGCTAAATAAAAAAAAAAAAAATTATTTTTTGAGATGGATTTTCGCTCTTGTTGCCCAGGCTGGAGTGCAATGGTGCGATCTTGGCTCACTGCAACCTCCACCTCCCAGGTTCAAGCGATTCTCCTGCCTCAGCCTCCTGAGTAGCTGGAATTACAGGCACCTGCCACCACACCCAGCTAATTTTTGTATTTTTAGTAGAGACGAGATTTCACCGTGTTGGCCAGGCTGGTCTTGAACTCCTGATCTCAGGTGATCTGCCTGCCTCGGCCTCCCAAAGTGCTGGGATTACAGGCATGAGCCACCATGCCAAGTTAAAATATTTTTTTGTAATATAAGCTATTATTACTTGGCTCTTTCTTTCTCTCTTTCTCAATTAACTAAAGTACATGAAAAATATTTTTAAATATTTATTGAATAAAGTTGTATTCTTCTAGATCTTAATTTTAAAAGAGATGTGTTCATCACTTTCTTCTTTCTTTTTTAAAAAAACAACAAAAACAAACAAAACCTACAAAAAATTCAATTTAATCATAAGTTCCCTTTAGCTACGTGTGAGGTTGTGAAAAGGAAGAAAGCTAAACACTCTAAGCTAGATACTCTAACAGTCTTAAACATTAAGCTAAATACTCTAACAGTCTTTTCCTACAGATCTTTGACTACACAACAAAGGTGAGGATGTAGGAGGAGGTAGGCGCACAGGAGGAGAAAATGGGAAGTTGCCTGGGAAAAGGGAAGCAATTAGTTCAAGGGATTTCAACAACCAATATAGTAAAACCTGAAGGAGAAAACTGCCAATCAAAGATGCTTACCTTTACACCCCTCACAGGTCAGTGCATTATAGTGGTATCCAGAGGCTCTGTCTCCACAAACAACACACAGCTCATCCCCTTTGATCCTCCCTGCTGACGCGCCCATGCGGGGCTTCTTTGTTACAGGCATCTCTGCTACCTCAGTTTCTCCCTGGTAGAGAGTCTCAGCTGGCATACGCCTGAGTTCATATATTCCAGGAGAGTACCACTCTTCAGGCTGCTGGGGGTAGAAACCCAGGTTGGAATAATAGGATGACGAGGAAATCTGTGGTTGAACTTGGGGAAACTGAACATTGCTGTATTGCGAGTATGGTTCCACTTCCAGGTTCTGTCCCAGAGGACCTGCCACTTGTTCTGTTAAAACACCTGAACAAAAGTGACAACAAAACTGGAATGAATGTCATCATTCTGGAAATTAGAGAGGCAGTTTGGCGTAATGGTTAGGAGTGTGGGCTCTAAGAAAAGATTGAAACATTTAACTACATAAAAGTTTACAACTTCTTTAGAGTATATATATATATATATATATATATATAAAATTAAATGACAAATTAAAAATTCAGAAAAATATCTGCAACATAGAGGACAGACTCATCTCATTAATGTATAAAGAGCTCCTGAAAACCAATAAGAAAATATTTGAGAAGCTATGGAAAAAGGGATAAAGGAAAGGAATAGTCAATGTTAGAAATATAACCGTGTTTTGTAAACAGAAAAATGTGCTCACCTTTGCCAATAATTAAATTTAAATTGAAACTAAAACATTACAGTTTTCATCTTCAAATGTGTGAGGGTTTAAAAAGTTTAATAATACACACTGTTGGGGAAACAAATATTTTTGGGGGGAAATTTGTCAATATTTTCCAGTTTTTTAAACTTCAATGTCCTTTTCACCCAGCATAAATTTTCCACTGCTTGAAAATTTATTTTAGAAATATGCTTGAACCTCTATGAAAAAGTATTTTGTAAAAATATTCACTTGCAGCACATTCGCAAGAGCCATAAATTGGAAACGATCTAAATATTCATCCATAGGAGTCTGCTTCAATAAATTTGTTACATCCATACACTATTAAGTAGATGTAAAACAATTATTTAGATTTCTATGTGCTGTTATGGAAATTTTCTACAATATGGTGCTATATGAAAAAGGTAAGCTATAGACCAATGTGTATATTCACATCGGTATTAAACACCAACTCTGTGTGTGTGTGTGTGTGTGTGTGTGCGCGCACGTGCCCACGTGCAAAGACAAATTTCTGCATGATACAGAAGAAAGTAGGTGGTGGTGACTGTGAGAGGTGATATTTTTACATTATATTCTGGGATAGAAGATTGCATAATTTTTTTTACTGTTTGTAGTTTTTGCCATGTGTATATGTATGTGTTATTTTAATCATTATAAAACAAAGGAGGAGCTTTAAAAAAAAGAATACAGTGCCTGCAATCTATCTACTGGATTCAAATTCCTGCTCTGTTACTTACAATCTGTGTGCAGCTGGCAATTCCTTAATGTCTTTAAGTTGCAGTCTTCTTCTAATAAAACAGAGAATAATAACACCTACCTCATTGGGTTGATGTAAGGATTATATGAGATAATGTGTGCCAAGTGCTTTGCTAAATGTTTGGCACACAGAAGTGCTCGATAAATTATAGCTGACTTAAAATAGGAATAATAACAATTATTCTTACTACCATCATTATTAAAGGAGTCCCTTATTTAGAAAACCTCTAGGTAATAGAAAATCATCAGGTTATGAAAATGCTTCTATTTCCTGGAAACATCAACTATGGCTCTTTAGAAAATAAAAAATTGAAATTATGCAAATGCTGAAAAAATAGACATAAATAAGAGATAGGAAAGTTTACAAATGTGTCTGACTCTTCAAAGTGTTGTCAGACAATTCTAGACCAAAATTCCAATTCCATCTCTTATGAACAGTGGGATTTTGAGCAAATTATTCAAACTATTGATAAATCTTGGTTTTCATGGCAGCAAGGTTGGGATGATAATATCGATATCAAGAGTTAGTCTGAGGATTGAGTGAGATGATACAGATTCACAGTTCCTTATCTGAAACCCTGGCAGTCGTATGTGTTTTAGAAGTCAGAATTTTCAGGATTTCAGAACAGAATACAGTGCTATTTATATATCCCTCCCAGCACAGTCTGGAACAGAACCCAGAATCAAATACAGCAATATTTTCCACAGGGAAACGTATGAATATTCACAGCAAGTGCAATAAGTAAAGACCATAAATAGTTTCACATTCATTCAGGTCAGGTTCTGTCACCAAAAAAGTGTGTGCCAAACTTTTAGAAAAACGTGGTTTTTTGGGGCTTTGGGGATTTCAAATTGGCAATGCTCTTTGCTGTGCTCAAAAGATAGTTGAAACGATTACTATAATTATTATGATTACTATTACCACATTTTGCAGAAAACTTTTATAGAGTTCTTCGTAGTAGCAGGCACTTGTATGTTCTCATTTATTCCTCACAAAACTCTATGAGGTGGGTAACATTATTAACCCCCACTTACAAATGAGTACCATGAGGCACATAGTAGTTAAGCAACTTTACTCCTACCTACCTAAGTAGATGAGACTTGAGCTCTAGGAGTCTAATCTCAAAGCCCATGCACTGAATTGCTGCTCTCTGGGGGTAATTTCAGGTGTGTGATACTTAAAAACATGATCTTCAAAGCCCCTCTCTGCATCCTCCTACTTGTGTTTGTTACCCCCTTCTCGGCCTCCGCTTGCACATAACCTATAACTGGGCCTGCAAGCTTCTGCATGACTCTACCCTTGCTTTCTTTTCCAGCCATTTTGCATGTTCGGACATCTCTGTTTCTTGAATGTGCCTTGCCGCTTCCAGACTCAGGACTTCTCCCACCTGCTGCTTCCTGAGCCTGAAATGGTTCTCAACACAGCCAACCCCTTCCAGGGCTTCATCTCACTAATGTCCACTTACCTCTAAATTCCCTGTGGGTATTGCTTCTCTTGGGAAGTCTTCCCAACAGAAGAGGTTTCTAGGTCCCTGGCAGTCATGTTCCTGAATCTAGTTACATGCCATTTAAAAACCATTACTTACCCTACCTGGGCCTCCCTCTGTTCATCTGTAAAGAGAAGACTCCACCCTAGATAATCTTCTAGTTCTTCTTTATATCTAAAAGTCTCCATAAGTATATGACTAATAGTTTATGAACATTAGAATTTAGGGCTTTTCTACACTGCCAAATTTCAGAATATACATATTACATGTTGAAAATAATGCTTTCTGCATTAACCCAGGAAATGATTGACAGAACACATGGTATACAGTATCTGTACAAAAATCAATTTCCTTTCCTTCTGTGTGACTTATCCATATAAAAACAGCATAGGCCAGGTGCAGTGGCTCACGCCTGTAATCCCAGCACTTTGGGAGGCCGAGGCAGGTGGTTCACAAGGTCAAAAGATTGAGACCATCCTAGCCAACATGGTGAAACCCCGTCTCTACTAAAAATACAAAAAAATTAGCTGGGCTTGGTGGTGCACACCTGTAGTCCCAGCTACCTGGGAGGCTGAGGCAGGAGAATCACTTGAACCTGGGATGTGGTGGTTGTAGTGAGCCGAGATCGCGCCACTGCACTCCAGCCTGGAGACAGAGCAAGACTCTGTCTCAAAAAAAACAAAAACAAAAACAAAACAAAATAAAATAAACAAACAAAAAAACGAGTATGTCTGATGGACAAAATATTTTAGAAATGGTGCCTTGTCTTATGACCGCAAAATGGAAGGAGAAAAATATGGAATTATTACACAAAAAGAAAAGATAAAATAGAAGCAAAATCCTGATCTATTTCATCACCAAATACGATGAAAATTTCTGGAGTGAATGGAATTGAAAAAAACTAAAAAGTATTAAAAGCATTAGTTTCACGTACACTTAGATTTTATCCTCTAACCTATCTTATTCCCTTAACTCCCCTTCCTCCCTTAGCCCAATTTCTCTCTGCCACAGGTCTAGTAAGGTTAAGTAATTTGCCCAAGATCAAAAACCGATAGAATCTGGATTCTGTAGCATCCAAGGAGATGTGTACTTTTTTTCTCCTCATATGACAATTCTAAAATCTTTAAGCATTATTTCAACAAAACAATTATTTTCATAATCAAGAAATACAAAGGAGTCCCAAGTCAAGTCAGATAATAATATCCCTGTCTTTCAGTCTCTGGAATAATCTAGATCAAAATGGAAAGCTTTCACAAAGATATAGATAATATCATGCTAAAACAGTAGAACATCAGTAAAAATATGAGAACCGTACACAATAATATTAAATAATACTTCTATTCTTGGCCAAGTGCAGTGGCTAATGCCTGTAATCCCAGCACTTTGGGAGGCAAAGGCGAGTGGATCACCTGAGGTAAGGAGTTCAAGACCAGCCTGACCAACATGGTGAAACCCCGTCTCTACTAAAGATACAAAAATTAGCTGGACGTGGTGGCAGGTGCGTGTAACCCAGCCACTCGGGAGGCTGAGGCAGGAGAATCACTTGAACCTGGGAGGTGGAGCCTGCAGTGATGAGCCAAGATCATGTCATTGCACTCCAGCCTGGGTGACAGAGCGAGACTCCATCTCAAAAAACAAAAAAAACCTTCTATTCTCAAAGCACATTCACTTCTAGCATTTCATAGTGTGTCTCCTAAATCTCCACAAATAGAGAAGTAATTACAAAGGAACTTTACAACCAAAGAACCAGCATGGCCAAATATTCCAAAATGGTTGGACTAGAACAACTTCCACAGTTAACTGACCATGAGATCTTAACTGGCTAAGCTTTTCCTATTTCAATCTCTCCTATAAAAATGGGACTGTTGCTATCTCAGAAGGTAGTTCTGAGTGTAAAATACGGTTGCTGAGAAGCAGTTTCGGTAAGTTGAGTGTCATTAAAAGACATGTTTCCTAAAGAACCTAGCAAAATCCTGATTTTAATCATAGTTAATTGATAGTTAATAAGTAATTATTAACACAGTCTGTCTTGATGATATAAGTATTAGGATAGTTCTTTCATTACAAATTATTATTTATAAACATATGCTCATGTTCTCTCTCTCTCTCTGTGTGTGTGTGTGTGTGTGTGTGTGTGTGTGTGTGTGTGTTATAAACACTTGCTATTTAGCAGTCACTGTGTTAGGGTCTGAACATATGAAAGTGAAAAGACACATACGAAGGCCCAGCCTTTCTCTTGTTTGTGTGTTTTGGGAAGTGGGGATGTCAAGGGTTAGGACAAAAATAAGTAAACAAGTAAACAAATACAACATTGGCAGAAAATAAGATGTGGAGGGAGTAGAGGTAGTTCGACTTTAATTTAGAGTATGCTTTCTGAAAAGGTAAATTTATTTCTATTTTGATACAATTTAAAAGGGAAAATACATATTAAAATTTAGATTTAGGAATCTTTATTTTGGAATTAGCCTATCAAAGAGTATGAGAATTAGGATTCCTTTGTGACGGTTCTCCATGGAAGTTTAGGGACGAGTTCTTAAATGAGAACACATGGATGGACTCCAGGGGAGTCTGAGAAGCCCTGAAAAGAAAGTAAAATTCTTCTGGTTAGACAGTCTCCAGGTTTCAACACCTTCTCTAAAGGAGTGCCATCTGAGGGAGCTTTCTGAGGTGATAGAAGGGTTCTGTACCTACCAATATGGTAGCCACTAACCACATAGGGATATTGAACCCTTGGAATGTGGCTAGTGATACTTAGAGTCTGACTGTTAAATTTTATTTAATTCTAAGTTAAAGTTGAATAGCCACATGTGGCATATTAGCCAGTGCAGCTCTAAGGAGTTTGGGACCAGAACCACTGTACCCCCAAATGGGAAATCAGGTTTGCATAAAAACAATGGCACTCCCCCATAATCTCACAGTGAGTTTCTGATGCTCCTAAGAAAGGGTCCAGTTTATATCCAGTTTTTCATTCCTGGCACAATGCTGACCATAGTAAATGTTTAATGAATGTCTGTTGAATTGCAGTGCCTAGAAAAGTCACTTTTTTTTTTTGCCTTCCTTTATTTCTTAATCCATGGTTTCTTCACTAAATGGCAGGGCTTTACTGCAAAGTTGTTTGCTGTTCCTGGCATCAGGCCTTTGTGATGTCAGTGCCTCTCCCTGCCTTGTCAGCTGATCACCTACTTCTGGTCACCTACTCTGGGAGGTCTGCCCCAGTTCCCCCAGGTGGAATTCACCTCTCCTACCTCTGTACACACTTCTATTATGGCACTTATTGGAAGCACATACAATCATTTCTTTTGTTTACAGGCTTATCTTCCACGCTGAACTTGAGATGGTATGAGATACTACCTAAGAGTGCCCTCTGAGCAGACAAATCTGGATTCATTTCACCCACAACTTGTTAGGTATATGAACCTGGGAAAGACATGGAACTTCTTTAAGCTTCTGTTCCTTCCTTTACAAAGCTGAAAGAATGTAGTGCCTGCATGAGAGGCTGTAATAAAGATGAACTAAGACAAAGAATGGAAACTGCATAGTGCCTGACACCACATACACATGTATACTTTTGTGATTGTTGTGATTAGTCTGTGAACTCTTTGAGGGAAAATATTAGACTATATTCTTTTCTTTATATTCCTGGCATCTAACTCAATGGCTGACACATAGTAAATGTTTATTAAATGTTGGTTAAATTGAAGTAAATAGAAAATTTGCTTCCCCGGCCTTCCAACTCATTTCCATTTCTAAATACAGTGTCGGTCACTTTTAAACATCGCATTTAAACAAAATGGTATGCTACCAAGTCTATGACCAAAAACATGTTCACAATTATCATTATTATAAAAATGACTCGAGTTTTTTCTTGCTGGAAATTTAAAAGATGAATTTCTGTTTTAAAAAATATTAAAATATGATTTACATTATACTGTGTTTTAATTATAATCGATGTTTTAATTCAGAGAAAACCAAGAGCCTGGGCCTAAAGCTCAACTCTGTGCTTATCTGATTTTTCATGGACTATTGGGAGAAACCTGCTGTGAAACTACTTCATTAATTCGTGTTTCCCAAACTCTTTTCATTTTTTTTTTTACCACAACCTACGGTTTTAGATACATTTTATCTCATATCCCTCGTACATACTTATACACATGTAACTGAAACAAAATTTCATGAAATACCACTTGTCTTTACTCCTTGAGGGACACTAATATTTCTATTCTATTATATTCTAATCCAGTTTTTAATGCTGGTCACGAGACACTAAATAAATTTTGTGATCCCCTGGGAACTGAGACTTGCCATTTTAGGAGCACTGCATTAAATAATGTCTGTTAAAATGTTTTTTCAAGTGTCCATTGATATTAATATTAGAATTGTCTAATGTTTGGTTTGGAAGAATAGTGATAATTTGACATAAGAGTCTATGAAGAATATTAGGGGAAACATCCTTGGATTTCATCCCCATAAGATATTCGTCTGTTTAGAACCCTATAAAAATCACCCCAACCCAAACTCTCATTCCAGTCTTCTGGGTCTGACTGAGCCACTATCTTTGACAGACATCTGTTACTGTCATCTCCAACCAAAGTCCCCAGATTTCCTCAGTCCAGTTGCAAGAGCTCGACCTGAAAGCACCTGTGAACAGTGTCCTACCTTTCGCGGGCTTCATACTCATCATTTCCATGAAAAATCCTGACGGCGTACAGCTGCAGTGAGGACTAATTTGAATTGGATTTTCTAACCCCTGAAACTGCATTACCATTCTTAGCTTATTCACAGCCACTGAAAATGAGACTAGGTAAGGAGTGAGAGAGGACAGAGGTTGTGTGGTTTACTGATTAACTTCATTACGGAGCAGAATATTTGTAAATGTTTATGAGGAAAGTTCTTAATGCCAAATTGCCTAGTAAGCTGGAAACCAGTCTCTTAGATAAACATTTTGGGGGAGTACTTTTCCAGTTTAAGAACTTTTAGAGGGTGGGTTTCTGTTCACTGGCTCTAAAACTGGACTTGGAGGTCAAGTGCCATGCTCCGGGTCCTGACATTTGTCCCCATCAAAAGGTGGCAGAATGGTATGATTTAAAATGGAATGGTATGATTTAAAATGGAAGAATTTAAAGCATAATGCTTGATATGGTTTGGCTGTGTCCCAACCCAAATCTCATCTTGAATTGTAGCTCCCATAATCCCCACGTGTTGTGGGACGGATCCTGTAGGAGATAATTGAATCATGGGGTTGGTTTCCCCCACACTGTTCTCGTGGTAGTGAGTAAGTCTCACAAGATCTGATGGTTTTATAAGGGGTTTCCCCTTTTGCTTGGCTCTCATTCTGTCTTCCCTACCACCATGTAAGACATGCCTACCACCATGTAAGACAAAATCATCTAGCACAAAGCCTTTTTTGTAATAAAGAACTGAATATCTCATGCAATTTATTGAAAACTATGCTAAAAGTGTCTATTTCACACCATTGTAAAGTCTAAACATAGTAGGTTGAACCATTGTAAGATGAGGATGTATATATGTTGAAGCCTTAAACCCCAGTACCTCAGAATGTGACCTTAATTGTTGATAGGGTCATTACAGAGAAAATCAAATTAAAATGAAGATCCAATATGACTTGTATCCTTATAAAAACTGGAAATTTGGTTACAGAGACAGAAACACAGAGAGGGAAGTTGATGTGAACACACAGAGAGGAGACGGAGATGGCCATCTGTGGGCCAAGGAGAGAGCCCTGGAGCACATCCTCCACCCACAGCCTTCAGGAAGAGCTAACCCTGCTGACACCTTGATTTTGGACTTCCAGCCTCCAGAA
The DNA here is from genome assembly GCF_000001405.40 of Homo sapiens. Classification (NCBI taxonomy): domain Eukaryota; kingdom Metazoa; phylum Chordata; class Mammalia; order Primates; family Hominidae; genus Homo; species Homo sapiens. The sequence goes on along the minus strand of NC_000012.12, from coordinate 100,502,331 downwards.
CTATGGGATAATTTCTGTGGTTTAAGCTACCCAGTCTATGTTACTTTGTTACAGCAGACCCAGCAAACTAATACATCCAGGCTGTCTTGGCACTTATTAGCTCTGTGGACAATGGACAAATTCCTGAACCATTTTCTGCCTTTATTTCCTTGGTTGTAAAATGGGGTTGATAACTATACAACCTCAAAGAATTATACGTGATTATTAACTAAAATAGTATTTATAAAATGCTTAGCACAACAGGTGGCTACCCATCATCACTACATTGATGTTATGATTGCTCAGCTTTGGACTCATGTTGTACCTTGGGTTGCTTATTGAATAGGAATAATTCTATATTTTATCCTTCAGCATAACTTTTGTACATCAAGCTTAAGTCTATTGGTTGTTTTTTAGAAATGAGGGCTTTAGAAGGGGACTCAGTTGATCCAGGGTGGAGCCCAGGCATAATGTAGCGAGATGCACTGTGTAACCTTAGATGAGTCTCTCAGCTTCTGTGGGCCCCATTTGTCCACATCAATAGATGGTAAAACATAGATAATAATTCATGCCCTATTTAGGCCTGTTCTGAAGATAAAATGAGATAGTAAATATGAAAGCAATTTTGAAAGGCAAAGGTGAGCTATACAAGTGGAATAATCATTGCTAAGACATTTCTATAGCCTTCACAAGTTTCCAAAGCGGTTCCATATGCATTATCTCATCAGATCTTCACTTGCACCCTTGGAGGGAGGTATTATTTCTAACTTCCACTATCTTTAAGCCTATTTTTAAACTCAGTGAGTTTCAGTGATTTGTCTATAGTCATCCCATTAGTAAGGAATGAAGCTGGGACTTTAACCCAGGTCTTCTGACTCAAAATCCCGTGGTGGAAAAACTAAGGTACACTTGCCCTAATTGCCAAGAAAGAGGAAAAGAGTGGTGGTCTATGGGTATATTTCAGTTTGAATTGCTTGATCGGGGTCACCATCTGCAAAGCCATTTTCAGTCCTCAGTTTACTTCTGACCTCGTTCTCCCTTCCTCACAATCCCAGAGCTATCCTTTCCCTGAGAGGGTCATAGGTGAAAAAGCTACCCAAAGGATATGAAGCTAGACGAATGATTCAGAATTTTCCATTTCAAGAATTCTCCACTAAGTTTTTCACTGGCCAAAATAAATGGACCTGTCGGTTGCCCTCAGAAACATCTATACTAGATAAGAAATGAGCAGGATTATTTAGCTGACCCAGGAAACCCTTGTTGCTGAGTGAAATTCACACAGAATGTTCTCATAACAAGACTGATTGGATCCCTTTGAATTTCTCTTAGAGATGATCAACTGTCTCATATTATTTTTTCCCTAAAAAAATATTTTTTCCTGAATATCTCTGCTGTCTAAAACAGTAGCCACTAGCTATGTATGGCTATTTATTAGTCTCTTTTCACACTGCTATGAAGAACTATCCAAGACTGGGCAATTTATGAAGAAAAAAGGTTTAATTGACTCACAGTTCTGCATGGCTGGGGAAGTCTCAGGAAACTTATAATCGTGGTAGAAGGTGAAAGGGCAGCAAAGCATGTCCTCAAAAGGCAGCAGGAGAGAGAGTAGGAAGGGAGAAGCACCAGATACTTATCAAACAACAAGATCTCATGAGAACTCACTCACTATCATGAGAACAGCATGGGGAAACCACCCCCATGATCCAATCACCTGTCACCAAGTCTCTCCCTCAACATGTGGGGATTATAATTTGAGATGAGATTTGGGTGGGGACACAGAGCCCAACCATATCAGGCTATTTAAATTAAATTGATTTAAATTAAATTAGAGTCAGTTCCTCAGTCACACCAGTCACATTTTAAGTGTTCAATAACCACATGCGAATAGTGGCTACTGTATTGGACGAAGTAGAGCTAGAACATTTCCTTCGTCACAGAAAGTTCTATCTGATGGCACTGTTCGGCAGAGTATTTGGGAGCACTGTGAATGTTGTACCTCTCACGCTGAGTGGGGCATCAGCTATGAAGGCATGAAAAAAGGGAGGTCCTAGAGTAAATGTTGGCAATGTTTTTTTTCTGAGAACTATCCTTCAGAACAGACATGGTCAGCAGACTTTAAAGGTAGATAATCTTATTGAAAGACCTTCCCAGTTGACAAGGTTAATAGAAGTATTCTCTAAGCCTGGAGACTTAAACATTGGATTTTGTTTCCTTGTCCTGATTATATTTCAGTTGCCTACTTACTAATTATGGAATGTTTAGCAGATTATTTAACATCACTAAATATTCCTTTTCTCACCATAAAAGGGGAACAGTAATGGTACCTACCTTATAGGTGTGTTGTGAGAGTGAATTTTAGTGGCAAATAGAGTACTTGTGATGTGCCAGGCATTCTTCTTATCACCTTATTTAAATAAGGCAAGTAACTTGTGCAAAGTTAAGGAATTTGTCCAAGACCACAGGGTAGTAGATGGCAGAGATTGGAACCAACCCAGGAAATCTGTTAACAAATCTAAAATGTACTTAGCTTGATATCTGACACATTAATTTCTATAAAGCACTCAAGAAATACTAGCTGTTATCATTACAATTATTTTTATTGTTGTAAGTTAATATATTTGCAATATGATTTTATAGTCAATCTTTTTTAACTTGGCATCCCTAAGAATCTGTTTCTTAGCCTGCAGGGTTGAGAGCTAAGGCCTAGACTGCAGTGGAATCGCCTACCAGCTGGCCAACTCTCTGACTCATTGCACACCTTTTCCAAACTCTGCAAGCCCCTGCTGAAAGAATCAGTAATCTATTTTGTAATAAGAAGAGGCTCATTCAATATTTCTTTCCTTCTCCCATTTCTTTACTCCACTATCAAGAGAACCAGAACTGAGATTCCTTGAGAAAGAAAAAACCAAAGTAACAGTAAATTAAATGCCTTAGAGACTGCTTACAGCTATGGAAGAGCTGTGGAGAAGAAATAGCAGTGACAAAATATTTCAAGTATGCTGAAACAAAGCTTCATTTTATCTGAGACAATGGTATCTCTCTATCTTTTGGAAACTTTGAACTTTAATTCACCCAAGAAGTCAGAACTACGTTCACTTGAGTTGAACTCAGTGAGATGGAAAAATACCTGAAATCAAATGTCAGAAATATTCTACAAACTGCATCTCAAAACCTTTAATTGCATTTTAAAACATCTGACTGACTCTGTAACATCTGGAAGATTCGTTCAATTTAAGCATAAGTCATAGGGAAGAAGCAGATTTCAAAGTGAGTGTATTCTGATACAAATAAAGCATGAAGAGGCTGAGGAGGGAGGATTGCTTGGGCCCAGTAGTTCAAGGCTGCAGTGAGCTCTGATTGTGCCACTGCACTCCAGCCTGGGTGACAGAGCAAGGCCCTTTCTCTATAAAAATAAAAATAAAGAAATAAAGCGCACCCTAAGAAAATGGGCATACACAGCTAAGTGAAGCATAAGGCAATGAGAAATAGCCAAAGGAAATGAAAGATAAGTGAATGGGATTGTATAGGATCTACCTCCTGACACTTGCTAGGCCTCAATCAGAATGGGGCTCCGGAAAGACTGTTAGATACAATAATAAAAGCAATACAAGACGTGGATTCCAAAGCTGTTGTTAGCAATGTAATAATGCAAAGGTGAGGTAACCAGAAATTTATTTACATATTGTTTGTTTTTGTTTTTTGGTGTTTTTTTCTTGTTTTGTTTGTTTGGTTTTTTTTTTGGAGACTGAGGCTCACTCTGTCGCCCATCTCATTGTAACCTCCGCCTCCTGGGTTCAAGCGATTCTCCTGCCTCAGCCTCCCGAGTAGCTGGGATTACAGGCACGTGCCACCACGCCCAGCTAATTTTGTATATTTAGTAGAGACGAGGTTTCACCACGTTAGCCAGTCTGGTCTCAAACTCCTGACCTCTGGTGATCCGCCTGCCTTGGCCTTCCAATGTGCTGGGATTACAGGCATGAGCCCCCGCGCCCAGCCTTATTTACGTATTGTTGATTCTCTCTGGCCCCTTGAAAGTTCTTTGCACTCCACAATGTTGAGATAAACAGTACTTCCTTCTTTTAATGAGTGGAATGGTGTTTATCATTTCAACAATTTAAAATATGACAACTACATTTCAAACTCTGGATTAATTGTAACATTTTAGGATGCCTTGCAGCTTACAGAGCGCTTTCCCACACAGCCCATTCCTTCCTCCCAACAACCTGTGAAGTGTGACATTATTATCCTCATTTTATGTGGGTAAAAACTGAAGTTCAGAGAATCTCACTTGCCTCTGAGATTTCATTTCCCGCTATTTTATTCCTTATTTCCATTCCCAGTGTCACTGTGCTAAGTGAATCAGGAATCACTGTGCCCAGGAACATTGGGTGTGGGAGGATAAGACTGTATTTTCTCTTGCTTCTTCTCTTATTGTTGGAATGCTTTGTCTCTTTAGTCTCTAAATTTTTGTAATTTTTGAGTTTTAAAAACATAATTTGCTAAAAGTAAATATAGACTTTAGTTAATATACCATCTCCTGTTTTATTCACTATGTCAGATGGTGGGGAGCTGTGGACTTTGTCATTATTACTTTTTATTATGCACTAATTGCATAAAACTTTGCCTTATTCATTCATCAGAGACGCCTTTTTTAATCCACTAAATTAATCTTTGACCAAGCTTCCTGGCTTGCAGGATCTCCCAGAGGAAAGGAGACGAATCTCTGTGTGGTAACTGTGTCCTTCCACCCCCAGGCCTCTACGTGGATTCAGTTACCGACGGGCTAGATTTCCGTCTGGATTTGTCAGGGATGTCTGGCAACAGAATAAATTAAAGGACTTCAGGGAGGTGATTCCAACCCCCATCTCTCTGATTCCATTCTGTCCAAGTTTCTTTTCTTCTTTTTCTGGTGGAGCTGTCACATCCCTTCAGCCCGTCTCTGATCTCGGCCATACCTGTGGCAGCTGATCATACACGAGCTCAGATGATGACTGCAGGCTGACCACCTGTCATTTCAAGAGCATGCCGCACGTTCCTATGCTTTCTGCCCAGAACTTCTCTAATCCCACAGGAGACAGCTTGGCCTGAGCTCAAAAACAGTCCAGAAGTGCGGGGAATTAATGCCCCCTGGGGTGACGCTCAACCAACGGGAGCCGAGGGGCAGTTAATATTAATATATGCTCCAGTCCCTGACCCCTCTGCTGACAGTTCTCTGTGCTGCTCCCAGTGGCATCAAGCTGGCCTCCCCCACACCAGGGATCTTGACAACTGACCTCTTTGGTTTTCCCTCCTTCCCTGTTGCATCGCCCACTCCCTCGCCTCCACTCCCTCATCATGTCTCACATAAACTGCCTTCACACAAGTCCTCATTTGGGCTCTGCTTTTTGGAATAAACATTACAGGGGTGAAGAAATTTCCCCTTCACCTTAAGCAAAGCCTTTGAAGAGTAAGGGGCCCATGGTCACCTCTAGAAGAAGCTGCAAGTTATCACTGAAAAGGTCATTATTGTCTCCAGGACCCAGTAGTGAGTGCTTGTCTGTATTTGTCTTCAGGTCACCTTCTAAATGCCTTAAAGTTGTCATTGAATTATGACCTTTATAATAACCTGCAGTGAAGGGGACCATGCCCAGGACCACCTTAAAAGGACTTGTTGAGCCGTGTACCAAGTGAGTACCATTAAGTCACCACTTCCTGACGTGGACAACAGTAGCATTTTTGTGGACTCAAATGTTTAATTTGAGTAAATGTCCTAGAATTCCCAGCCTGATAATCTACTTTTACCAACTGAACTTGAGTGAGCTGTTCAAGGCTGCACAGCTGGTTAATGGGAAAGCAGTTGTCCACCCCTAAATAAAAATGAGTAGAAGACAAGGTCCTTCTGAGTCCATTCCAGACTTTGGGCCGTTGCACTTGTTATTGTCTCCTCCCGGAATGTTCTCTCTGGCTTCTTGTCTTTCAGGCTGTGCTCAATTGTGGACTCCTCAGGGGCCTTTCCTGACTATACCACTTAGAGCAGCCCATCACTCCAGGCTATAGGGCATCACCCTATTTTGTTGCCTTCATAGCATGTATCACTACCTTGGGCATCTGTAGGTCCAAATAAGGTATAAAAATAATATTATTTTGTTTATTGATTTACTTACAAGTTTATTGTGAGTTTGCTTTCTACTAGGATCTTGCCTGTCCTATTCTCTGCTTTATTCCAAGGCCCAGCGTATTGTCAGTGTCCGATATTTGAAGAGAAGAAGTGACAGCTATCCATAGACTATTCCATTAACCTTGTTTGCCTTTATTATAACAACATGACTGCTGTTTTCAATACACAGTTAACCACTGGAAAAGAGTCCAGCTTTCTGGGCAGTTGAACCCATGGATTAACCCTTCTGAACCCCTGGCGTAGCTTAGACTCAGGAGTACTGAGTTAGGCCTGTGGGCTACTCATTCATGGGCCAGTCTTTTCCCTGGTGCCTTCCACCCTACGCACATGAAGGGGCCATAGAAGCCATCAATGTCATCATGACACACAAGAAGATGAGGAAGAGGAATAAAGGAATCAAAATTTTCTTCGTCCTCCCCTTTGGCATACCTTTAGCTCAGGTATGTTTTTTTTTTGTTTGTTTTTCTTGAGTTGGAGCCTCACTCTGTCACCAGGCTGGAGTGCAGTGGCGCGATCTCGACTCACTGCAACCTCTGCCCTGGTTCAAGCGATTCTCCTGCCTCAGTTCTCTTGAGTAGCTGGGATTATAGGCATGCACCACCACACCAAGCTAATTTTTGTATTTTTAGTAGAGACAGGGTTTAACCATGTTGGCCAGGATGATCTTGATCTCCTGACCTCGTGATCCACCTCCCTCAGCCTCCCAAAGTGCTGGAATTACAGGTGTGAGCCACTATGCCCAGCCTAGCTCAGATGTGTTAAGTGAAGTGAGACTGAGGGCCTAGGGGAAAGAGATTTGAAAATAATGCTTAGACGTGGCTCTACAGCTTAGTGGAGAAAAGGAAAAGGAGTCCTAATGGTCACACATGGTCAGATTAGTTTACCAGAAGAGGGGACCAGATAAAGAGTTGAGGAAACTGCTCCAGCAAAGAATTACAGCTCTGCATTGCAGCTCATGCAGCTTGTGCTATATATTCTCAGAAACCTTAAATGCAGTGTTAGGAAATGGAATAAGAATGTGGTCCAGCAAAAGAGAGAGAGGAGAGAACCACACCATAAAAGCAGAAGGCACAGTGCTTCCTTAGCAATCATCTTTAGATGCTTCTAACCTGACGGCATCTTCGTGGCTTTTTCTGAATTTACTGGCATCTTTTTCACCTTATGGCTGCTGAAATCACCCTGAAATCTTCTGTGCTGGCTGAAAATTGGGCTAGCTTGTAAGGAAAACCCTACAATTTTCTCTCTGTATGCAAATTGGAGCTGAATAGATTGGTTTAGTAATGATGAAGCCTAAGCTCAGAGATCTCAACCTACAATCATAAAATTTTACAGCAGGAAATGGAAGTTTCTGTTTGAAAAAAAATCTTGAGTGCAATTTTTCTTTATCTGTGGTATGTGCCAATAGTCCTAATTATTCTGTGAGTTCTGATTGCTAGAAGAAAAAATCATTAAGATGTCTATACATTGACTCTGTTCTGAGGAACCACGGAAGGGCAGGCAGGCCAGAAGCAAATGGTCAAGTGGCTAGACATGGAGGCAGGGCCTCCCACTGCCCTTGACTGCATCTACAGGATGAAGATAAGCCAACTGGAAGAAATAAGATGCAGCAAGTACTTGGGAGAACTGGCATTTAATAAATAATTACTGCCGCCTTTGGTCTCTCTAAGAGTTACGGATCAACATCTGTTTTTTCCATAAACCTCTTTTTCTTTTCCCTTCTATTATTTATTACTGGACTCTTATTTATCAAGTGCCTACTAAATATGCACTGGATAATAAAATATTAATGAAATATGGTCACTGCCCTTAAATGCATTTGTACTGTATGGAGGCAGGTACACATGTAAATAATTATTACAAATAATGACCCCTTTTTGGAAATGGCCTAATCAACTATTACACACTAAAGTGCTAATGACTAATAGGTAACAGAACAAATTATTAATTAACAGGTCCTAGGAATATCAGCAACCAAATAAGCGGTCATGCCTTCATACATTGAACTTTGAGGAACTTCTAGTGTTTGCATTTTCACTATTATGGTATATCATGGCCCATATATTAACGGAGGGTGAAAACTGGGAGCATCCCAGGCTGCCAGCAGGGCTATTATGCAGAAGGGAATTATTTTAACACTGGCAGAAAGGCTCCCTGTCCCACCCAAAATATTGCCTTGGTTAAATCTTTGTTAATGTTTGCAGTTGAAACTCTTTATAATGAGATGTTTTTCATAAATGCATAAAGTGGAGCAATATATCATTTTATGGTATCATCTAGTTACAGATCTACTGAAAACTGCTTAGTACAATTTGTCCTCAATCCTGCTTAAATGACTAATCCTGACACTGTGCCATAGATCCCCCAGCACCGGAGGAACTGCAAAAGGAAATCTGCCCAGCTATAACCTAAGTAAACTCAGCCTTTAATAGGTGTCATATTAAGCCATAAGAATCATGATTTCATAGTTTAGTACCTGCTATAATAATATTGGAATTAGCCTTAGAGGAGGAATCGCTTTCTACTCCCTGCTCTGTTAATTATCTAGCCTCGCGGCCTTGAGCAATTCACAAAGCTTTTGCAGTCCTCATCTATAAAAATGAAGACCATTAAGTCCCATGAATCCAAGGTCCGATCTACCTCTAACCTTGCAGAGTAGCTAACATTGATTGAGTACTTGGAAGGAACAAAAACATGTTCTTGACCCTGGGCTGGACTCATCATCTAGGCATTTCCTCATGTATTTCCAAATCGTAGTTTGTTCTTATTGATATTCAAATGAACTTGACAACTTACCAAATAAATTTTCAGAAAAAGAAAATTCATCTGTGGTAGGTAAATGGGAATGTTCAATGAGATTCATTTTTGATCCCATCCAAATTTTTCAATTGAAATGCACTTTCTTTATGGTGGTCTTCAAAAAAAACTCCTGAAAGGAAAATAAATAGTTTGTGACTGTGGGAATGCGGGAAGGGTTGGTTAGGAGAGCTGGGGAAGGAGACAGCGAGATAGTTTACGAAAGTACAAATGGCTCCCTTTGAATGCATTTTACTATAGCCTTTCTGTATGTATCTTTTCTCAATATTTATCATTTTTATACCTCATTTGGACCTAAAAATGCCCAAGATACGTGCTTGCATAAAAGATACTAATTTATCTGAAAAAAACACCGTATGTTTTCATTCAAATTTCAGCCCTTGGGAGATTTGGGCAAGATATGATGACATTTTGACTATGTCTTTATTAGAAAAAAAAACAAATATAAAAGGCCTTGATTTAAAATGAGATGAATCCATGATTTATTATCTTAAACTTTATTCTAAAGTTGAATAGGTTTTTATAAACATTAATAGTGATTTAAAGCCACTTCCTACTGGAATTTTTTTTGACTATTTAGGCATTATGTCAGCAGATCAGAAAATCAGAGATATTCCTTGTATCTGCCTTTTAGAGGAAATTTCAGGGGCTTTCATTTTCACTGTCATGATCTACCTTGGTCATGTATTGATCCGGGGCTTTTTAAAAAGATATAGTAAGAAGAAAAATAATGGTAAATCTCACCAAAGTGTCTGAAGTTTCATCTTGAGGAAATGTCCAGAAGAAATCCAGGAAACTAAGAGAAGCAGTGTTCACTTTGAGCTATGTTTCTAAGTCTTCTTTTCTTCTTTCACTCCTTCTACGATGTCTTCTACCTCCCTAAAGAAGTAATTTGAAAGGTTAAATAATGAAAAGTGATAATGTGTGCTGTCAGAATCTCTTTTCCCAAGCTGTTTTCTGAGGATGATTTTCAAACCTTTTTTTTCTGTCTCCACCAAGGTATGACTTTATTTACAAATAAATAGCTGTCTATATTTGCTGCCCAGGAAGAGGATATAGTGGGTTTTTTGGATAAGTATGTATTTCATTAGGATTTCCCCATTATTCGTATCTCTCTTTCTCTCTCACTCACCAAATGTCCTAGCTCAAACAGAAGTGAGTTTCAGGTGCACTTGGCTGCTGGGAAAGTCGTCCACCAGAAACCTGTTTCCTTCATTTATTCATTTATTCAATGCTTGCAACAAATATTCAGTGAGCACATATTCTGCACTAAACTCTGTGCTAGATATTTGAAGATAAAATGGCAAAAGGAAAATAAACATTCATGATCCATGATATCAAGCTTAATTAGGAATAAATATTAAATAATCACCCAAATACATAGATAATTATATATTGTCATGAAAGCTGTTTATGAAGGCAAATAACAGGATGCTGTAATAGAGAGGTTTGGATGTGAAGAGATAGAGAGTCAAGAGATAGAGAAGTAGCGGAGGGAGGATGTAGTTTCAAGGGCAATTTTTAAAGATGGGCGATACTAGAGCAATCTGCATTGATGGGAAGACAACAGAGAAGAACCACATGAAGAAGCAAGAATGAGGGAGAGTCTTCTGAGAAGAGACACAAACTGTGTCCACTGTGGGTTCCAGGCATATCTGGGTCCATCTGGTAAACCCACGGCATAGCCCATCAAATTCCACCAAGCCCTACTGCCAAACTCTACTATCCATTAATATAAGCGGCTTGGTGGGAGAAAATCCATTCTAAACTCATAGAGAGCTAGGGACCATGAACTTCACCCCAAAGGAAAGCCTTAGCCATTAGAGACATATGTAATTTTCAGTGTAGCTGTGTTTGACCAACCCATACTAGATTCAGGAGACCTTCCTACCACCCAGAGGTGAGAAGAAAAGGGTTGTAAATAAAAATGAAGTCTGGAAACATTGAGGTATAAGGCAGATCCGTCCAATGCAACAAGCAGAAGAGAGAGAGAACTCACTTCAACCTCACCCTCATCCTCAAACAACTATGCCATATATCACAGTGGAACTCCGAACCCAAGAGGGCTGGGCAGCAGAGGTGCCCAGCAGAGGAATCATGACTACTGGTTGGGCACTGCTCTGCCCCATGGACACAAAATGGAGTGGAAGGAACAGCCAGAGCAGACTTAGTTATAAACATGAAGAGACCCCAAGGCACTCCTGAAATAACTGGGGTGTTGTCGGGGAGGGAGGCTCTGATAGGAGCGGGAGGTCCTGAAGAGTAAGCCAGTAAAAGTTGAGTTTCTGGCTAGGCACAGTGGCTACTGCCTGTAATCCCATCACTTTGGAAGGCCAAGGCAGGAGAATCACTCAAGCCCAAGAGTTCGAGACCAGCCTGGGCAACATGACAAAACTCACCTCTAATAAAAATTTAAAAATTAGCTGGGCATGGTGATGCACACCTGTAGTCCCAGCCAAGCTACTTGGGAAGTTGAAGCAGGAGGATCACTTGAGCCTGGGAGGTCGAGGCTGCAGTGAACTCTGATCATGCCACTGCATTCCAGCCTGGACGACAGAGCTAAAGTCTCAAAAGAAAAATGTTGAGTTGTTGTTATTAACAGGACCTCATTCATACTCATAAGCTAGTTGAGGACTAGGGAAATTCAAATTTCAGCATGTACATATCAATTGTATAAGGATATATATAATGTGTATATATGAATACATATATGAATCATGATACTAAATATGTATATGTGTCTGTATATTGTATAATAAATGGGCTTAAATACCCCACTCCCCATCAAAATTTAGGCAATTATTGTTCTAGAGTTTCTCCTATCTTGGGAATAGGAAATTCCACAATTTCCCATAATAATATTTTCCAGGAACCCACAATGTGAACGGTCAGAAAGTTTTCCTAATATTCAACCCAAGCTTATACTCTGTAACTTAAGGCCCATTTCCTC